>NT_187383.1:1048989-1367513 GCF_000001405.40 Homo sapiens | reverse complement strand
GATCATGACATGTCAAAAAGACATGCTTTAAGGGGGAAACAGTTGCAATCAACACAGCCATGGGAGACATACAGCTATGCTTGCTAGGATTTCCAATACTTCTGTTTCATTTCTAATATAGTACAAGTCATTAAAAGCAACCACATAAGCATATCCATGCTGGTATCTCATCATATTTATGTCCATATGGTATCAGCATGAAGAGAGCATAATTAAATATGCTGCAGTCATCACATGGCATATCATTAGATCATACAATAAATCGAATACCTCACTGGGTCAACATGGATAGATCTGAAATATATATCACTGATTTTACAAAGACCAAGTTGCAGTCATTGTGTGCACTGTCTGAACTTTTCTACAAGGTTTTAATACACAAAATCACGTTCTACATGTTATCTATGAATGTGCACATATGTTATAACAGGTTTTTAATGTGTATTTGGGTGATTTCTTTTTCTTTTTTTAAAAAAAATTAAGTTCTTGGTTAGATGTCGTCAATAAGTTTTAGTAGTATAGAAAACCCTAAGACCATGACAGCTCAGAATGACTGTCTTAAAAGGCTATGTCTACCAAAGAGTCAGGAAAGCACGACTACTTACTTTCTTCATTTTTAAAACTCAGAGGTACCCCACGCACACTCCCAAATAAAGCTGCACACAAGTTCTTTAGTTTAATTAGATCCCATTTTTCAATTTGGGCTTTTGTTGCCATTGCTTTTAGTGTTTTAGTCATGAAGTATTTGCCCATGCCTATGTCCTGAATGGTACTGCCTAGGTTTTCATCCAGGGTTTTTACACATTTAGAACTTACTTTTAAGTCTTTAATGCATCTTGAGTTAATTTTTGTATAAAGTGTAAGGAAGGGGTCCAGTTTCAGTTTCCTGCATAAGGCTAGCCAGTTTTCCCAACACCATTTATTAAATACGGAATCCTTTCCCCATTGCTTTTGTCAGGTTTGTCAAAGATCAGATGGTGTAGATGTATAGCATTATTTCTGAGGCCTCTGTTCTGTTCCATTGGTCTATATATCTCTTTTGGTACCACTACCATGCTGTTTTCATTACTGTAGCCTTGTAGTATAGTTTGAAGTCAGGTAGCATGATGCCTCTAGCTTTGTTCTTTTTGCTTAGGATTGTCTTGGCTATATGGGCTCTTTTTTTGGTTCCATATGAAATTTAAAGTAGTTTTTTCTAATTCTGTGAAGAAAGTCAATGGTAGCTTGATGGGTATAGCATTGAACTTGCAAATTACTTTGGGAAGTATGGCCATTTTCAAGATATTGATTCTTCCTATCCATGAGCATGGAATGTTTTTCCATTTGTTTGTGTCCTCTTATTTCCTTGAGTGGTGGTTTGTAGTTCTCCTTAAAGAGGTCCTTCAAATCCCTTGTGAGTTGTATTCCTTGCTATTTTATTCTCTTTGTAGCAATTGTGTATGGGAGTTCACTCATGATTTAGTGCTCTATTACTGGTGTATAGGAACGCTTGTGAATTTTGCACATTGACTTTGTATCCTGAGACTATGAGGAAGTTGCTTATCAGCTGAAGGAGATTTGGGGCTGAGACAATTTGGTTTTCTAAATATACAATCATGTCATCTGCAAACAGAGACAATTTGACTTCCTTTCTTCCTATTTGAATACCGTTTATTTCTTTCTCTTGCCTGATTACCCTGGCCAGAACTTCCAATACTATGATCAGAGTGAACAGGCAACCTACAGAATGGGAGGAAATGTTTGCAATCTGTCCATCTGACAAAGGCCTAATATCTAGAATCTACAAGGAACTTAAACAAATTTACAAGAAAAGAACAATCTCATCAAAAAGTGGGCAAAGGATATGAACAGACACTTCTCAAAAGAATACATTTACGCAGCCAACAAACATCTGAAAAAAAGCTCATCATCACTGATCATTAGAGAAATGCAAATCAAAACCACAATGAGATACCATCTCACGCCATTTAGAATGGCAATCGTTAAAAGGTCAGGAAACAACAGATGCTGGAGCAGATGTGGAGAAATAGGAATGCTTTTACACTGTTGGTGGGAGTGTCAATTAGTTCAACCATTGTGGAAGGCAGTGTGGTGATTCCTCAAGGATCTAGAACCGGAAATACCATTTGAGCCAGTAATCCCATTACTGGGCATATATTTGGTGCGTGTGTGTGTGTGTGTGTGTGTGTGTGTGTGTGTATGTACAGTGGCTTGTCCCTATAATCTCAGCTACTCAGAAGGCTGAGGCAGAAGTATCACTTGAGAAGCCCAGGAGTTTGAGAACAGCCTGGGCAACATAGCAAGACTCTTTACTAAAAAAAAAATCATGCAGGCTGGGCACAGTGGCTCATGCCTGTGATCTCAGCATTTTGGGAGGCCAAGGCGGGTGGATCACGTGAGGTCAAAAGTTTGAGACCAGCCTGGCCAAACATGGTGAAACCCCATCTCAACAAAAATACAAAAAAAAATTAGCCAAGTGTGGTGGCACATGTATGTAATCCCAGCTACTCGGGAGGCTGAGACAGGAGAATCGCTTGAACCCAGGAGGCAGAGGTTGCAGTGAGCCGAGATTGTGCCATTCCACTCCAGCCTGGGTGACAGAGTGAGACTTCATCTCAAAAGAAAAAACAAATCATGAACTTTTGTACATGCCTTAGACCTTGTAGGAAAAATATTATAAGACTTTGATGCTTTATTACAGAGACTCTCATGATTTGTTACAAAGCAGTGCTTTAGAAACATACTTGGAGGCTATACTAAAATTATTATTTATACTATTTGTAGGCAACTAATGAGTTAAGAACTCTTATTTCCTTTCTTACATGCTTAGCATATACTTATCAAATGCAAAGAAGAATATATTATCAAAATTTGTTACCTTACATGTGAATTGCGGTATAAAATAGTCATAATTCTAACAGAATTATATCAGACTGACAGAAAATGGCATCATTAGTAGAATCAATATAATGAGCAGGCATTGTCAAAGAACATGATTTCTGGACAAATGAACCAGGTGCAGCTAGAACAGCAGTCCCCCTTATCTGCTGTATGTGTAGAAAACACATATTCAACATGATGTTCCCCTTCTCTCACACCGCAACAACAATCATCAACACAGAAGATTTCTGTGACCAAATATGTATTTTTCCCCAGCAACAAGCAAACAATCAATTCCGATGGGTGCCCTCTAATTCTGACACTATCTACTTGGGGATTATCTACAGGTTGAGGGCTCAGTACCACAAGGCTATTCCCCCACAGCAGTTACAAGTCTGGGCCTCCAGAACTTCTAATCAACTTCCAGTTGGACTTCAAGTTGGGTTTCCCAGGACCCCCTCTTTGGTTTGATCAATTTACTAGAGTGGCTCAGAGAACTCATGGAAACACATTTACCAGTTTCTTATAAAGAATATTAAAGGATACAGATAAAGAGATGCATAGTGCAAGATATGGGGGGAAAGTAACACGCTTCCATGTCCTCCCAGGGCACTCACCCTCTGGGAACATCCATGTATTCTCCATATGCCTTCATGTATTGAATGAGAGCATCCAGGTAGCTGAATACAGCTACCTGGATGCTCTCCAAATCCAATCCTTTTGGGATTTTATGAAAGCTTCCTTACATAGGCATGACTGATTAATTGAACATTCAGCCCCTCTCACATCCCAGGTGGTGAGGGGTGGGGCTGGAAGCCCCAACCCTCTAATCACACCCTGATCACTCTGATGATGAGCCCCACCCTGAAGCCATCTGGAGGCTGCCTGCCATAAGTCAATCATTAGCATACAAATGATATCATGTGGGAAGTTCTGAGGATTTTAGGAGTTGTATGACAGAAAATGGGGTTGAAGACCAAATATATATTTCATAATATGACATTGGTGGTTTTATTGACTGCAGATTCAGTTACCCACGGTCAACCATGGTCCATAAATAAAATTCCAGATGTATATACATCATAAGGTTTAAATTGCATAAGATTCTGAGTAGTATGATAAAATTTGAGCCATTACATCCCAGTCTGCCCAAGATGTGAATCATCCCTTTGTCAAGTGCATGCACATTATATATGATATCTGCTCACTAGTCATTGACATAATCTGTACCTAACATCCAACCAACAACATCATCATGGCTCACGGATCCAAGATCACGTGAAGCAGATGTTCTTCTTTCTGACATATAGTCAAATAGAAGGTCAATAATAGCCCAAGACTACATGGCAATGCCTACTGCATTTGCCTCACTTATCACATAGCCATTTTATCATCTCACATCAGTGCAGAAAGTAGGGTGACTATAGTACATGATATTTTGTGAGCTCACATTCACTTAACTTTTATTACAGTATATTGTTACAATTGATCCACTTTACCATTAGATATTATTAATCTCTTATTGTGCCTAATTTATGCATTAAATTTTATTATAGATATATATGTATTTTTAAAAATTATTGTATGCATAGAGTTCAGCACTATCCATGTTTTCAGGCATTCACTAAGGGTCTTGAAATGTATCCCCCATGTATAAGAGGAAATTACTGTACTTATTTTGTTGAAACACAAGTTTCTCCACTTCTTCAGTTTAAACTATTCAGGATAAAGCACTCTAATACAAAAAATCTAGGTCTATGAAAACTGTACTCTATTCTATGGCAAAACACAGCATACAGACCAGGGTCAAGGATCCCTGCAAAGACTTTTCAGCTGCCAGTGCAGAAGAGCCTAAGAGAGATCAGTATCCTTACCTTCACTAATCCTCTCCTAGGGAAGATTCTGGTAAGTTTGCTTAGTTCTAGCTATTCATTCACCCTATGTAGGGCACAAACAATGCTTAAATTCAGCTTTCATTTTAGCTCCTTCAAAAAAACACACACAGAGGAAATAGCACTCCCTTAAAAGCTTATCCAATCTGAGTCTTGTCTCCTTTTCAGAGAGAAGCTTATGAAGAAACGCCAGGGAGGTATGGCAAGTTGCCAGGGAGGACTTTCTAATATATAAAATATATATAAAGGAACCATAAACTCACTGGAGCTACCAAGATGTGCCAACAGTTGTCCCACTACCTAGTGTGAAAAACAACAACAACAACAAATCTTTGTCACTTTAGGTAAACAAAAATAGTATGACTCTCTTGGCATTTTTCATGATGGAGAACCTAGTTATAAGTGAGTCATGTTATAATAATATAGACTGTTTTCAAACTGATCCCTCAAAGAAAGAAGGTCAATAAGAAACATATTTGTATGCCTATAGTATTCACTAGCTGGTCTTATTTCCAACTGCAAGGTAAATAGGAAAGACTTTCTGACTCCAGTTTTATAAAGTACAGCCTCTTGAGATTGTCCCTTTCCACTTCTAGTCTATCTGGACCCATCTCACAGAGAAGGATGATCCAGTTATTGCTGTGTAGTATACAGCATGAAGCCATTTTCCTCAACCCTCCTCATTATGTGGCAAATGTCTATATAAATTATGCTTTTTCAACATGTAAAGCATATGCCATTAAATCCTACATTAATAAACTAAAAGCAAAAAAGCACAATGGATAGCTTAATTGAATACATTCAATTATCTTGGAAATTTATGTTTTGTAATATTGAAAAAGATATCCACTATATTATCCTTAATATATGACTATGCTGGACATATCAAAACTATGGAGACAGCAAAAATATTAGTAGTTGACAGGGGTTAGTTGGGAGGGAGGAATAAAAAAAGAGAGACGAATTTCAGGGCAGCGAAAGTATTCTAGTGGCAGGTACATTTATTATACATTTGTCCAACTATATAGAAGGTACAATACCAAAAGGGAACTAAGATATAAACTATGGACTTTGGGTGATTATTATGATCCAGCAATGTAAGCTTCTCAGTTGTAACAAATGTACCACTCAGGTGGGAGATATTCATAATGGGGGGAGCTATGCATGTGAGGGGGGATGGCATATATGAAAAATCTCTTTAGGTTCTTTTCAATATTGCTGGGAATATAAAACTGCTCTTAAAATAAAGTTATTAATTTTTTTAAAAGATTTTCACTGCATCTTCTATTACTAATATATTGCTATAATATATTGCCATATATTATAGCAAGATGTACTCAATTTGAAACACAATATGAATATTCTCTCCAGAATTGTAGTATATAAAAGTACATAAAGCAAATAACTATATTAACAGGGAAGAAAATAATGGATAAATGATTGATTTTTTAAATTTCATAATTATAAACAGAAATTTAACAAAATATAAAACAAAACTGAAACCTATATAATTAAAATGAAACAAATTTTTTATTTTAATTTTAAACCAGAAATCATTATTTATTTTATCTATTTTACTGAAAGGTTAATTGAATAAGAACAGATTATAATTACCTAATATTACCATAGTAACTTCTGTATAGAAACCTGTTAAATATTCACCAAAATTTCAAAATCTAACAGCACAGAAACTTAGTATTTCATATTAAGTTGCAACTGACGCAAATGAAATAAGCACCATGCTATGTTATATCACCATGTTATTCACTATTAAATAGAATTTTTAAGACACTAAAATTAAGTTGGGGCTGTAACTGCTGTGAAGAAAATAATTCATATAACAGTCATAAGACTGTCATTCTTAGAAATGCCTACATGCAAAACTGGCCCTTCGCTGGTGTTTGGAAATTTGCATTTTAAAGGTTTGTCACCATTTCCTGAGAAAAGTAGCTCACTGTACCTAAACTGTTTGCATAAACAATGTGGTTGACTCTGAACAGCTGCTTTTCTTCTGGAAGTGTGGAATTTTTGTATATGTGTGAGAGAGAATGCTTATGTAACTAGCTTCCATAAAAACCTTGGATACTGTCTTGTCAGACTCATATTGGTAGACAATACTGCCCATGTGCTGTCAAAATTCAAAGCTACAGGAATTCAGCACATCCTGGTAACTTCACAGAAGAGGGCTCCTGGAAGCTTGTGCCTGGCTTCCCCAAGACTTGCCACATGCCCCTTTGCCCTGAGCCAATTTTACTTTGTATTCTTTCACAGTAACAAATCAAAGCCCAGAGTAGGACTGTTTGCTGAGTCCTTACAAGTGAATCACCAAACACAGAGGTGGTCTTGGGAAACTCTGACACAGTGGCATTACATGAAATTAGTTTTCTTTAAGGTGATGTGACCTGTGACTACAATCAGAAGGCTGTTTATAGAATACCTTTCCCTAATCTGTTTTCCTTAACAGTTGCCTTTGAGATTCCTGTATTTCCGCATGAATAAATCCATAAAGGAATAGAAATAATTATGCCAAAAAAATGAAAAACAAGCAGCAATCCTATTTTAACCAGAATAAAAAATTGAGAATATGGATGATTAAAAATATACCCCATAGTATGAAAGCTTCTAGAAGAGAAACAAAAAGATCACAGCCAATTGTCTTCAACTCTCCAAGGTTTCTTTTATAATAATTGGGGATCAGGCCAGGCACAATGACACACACCTGTAGTCCCAACTACTCCAACGGCTGAGGCAGGAAGATTGCTTGAGATCAAAAGTTCAAGGTTGCAGTGGAGATTGTGCCTGTGAATAACCATTGCACTCCAGCCTGGGAAACAGAGTGAGACCCTGTCTCTAAAATGTATTAGTAGGCTGGGGGCGGTGGCTCATGCCTGTAATCCAAACACTTTGGGAGGCTGGGGCGGGCGGATCACAAGGTCAGGAGATGGAGACCATCCTGGCTAACATGGTGAAACCCCATCTCTACTAAAAATATAAAAATTAGCTGGGCGTGGTGGTGCACGCCTGTAGTCCCAGCTACTAGGGAGGCTGAGGCAGGAGAAGCACTTCAACCCAGGAGGCAGAGGTTGCAGTGAGCCAAGATCACGCCACTGCACTCCAGCCTGGGCAACAGAGTGAGACACAGTCTCAAAATATATATATATATATATTAATAAAAACATATGTAAAAAATTTGCATCATTCAGGTCATTGTGATAATTATAGAAATATATGTAGCCATTGGTTATAATACTGTACTATCAATCATAGAGCTCATTTAATTTGTTTCTAATCTTTTTTCTTAAGTTCTTATAAAACTAAAAATATCTATTAAAACTAAAATCATCTGTTAAAGTAAGGGCCAATAGGACTTTAAACTCATTTTGGGGAATAAAGGAAGTTATGGACCAGCACGATGGCTCATGACTATAATTCCAGCACTTTGGGAGGCTGAGGCAGGAGGATCACTTGAAGCCAAAAGTTTGAGACTGGCCTGGGCAACAGAGAGAGACCCTTGTCTCTAAAAAATAAAAAATAAAAAAGTTAGCTTGGTGTGGTGGCATATGCTTGTAGCAGTCTCAGCGACTTAGGAGGCTGAAGTAAGAGGACCACTTGAACCCAGAAGTTTGAGGCTGCAGTGAGCTATGATCACACTATTGCACTCCAGCCTGGGAAACAGCAAAAGACTCAATCTCAAAAAAAAAAAAAAAATCAAGAAAGTTATATATAGATGGTTAAAGGTGTGGTAATCCAACCGACCAAATATTCCAGCTAAGTAACAGATTACCAATATTCGAAGAAATATAACACCAGAAAAGTGTTTTACATTAAAACTGTGTCAAGTTTGAAAATTTAAAAGACACCTTAAGTGTCTTAACTTAATTTGAAAATTTAAAAGACACTTAAAGTTTGAAAACTTAAAAGAAACTTAAAATCTTAAAGGACCAGCATCACTTACACTGTCACTGTGCTAAAGATATAAAGAAGTTTAGCATTAAAGATTAATAGAATACCAGACATACTTTAGAATAGGTAGCTAATTCTCTTAAAAGAAAATCATATATAGTTGTCAAAAATACCTATGTTAGAAATGTGTTCTAATAATATTTTCTTTAGGGATGAAATTCAAAAGAAAACAGTAAAAGTAGAGATATTAGAAGAGGTCATGAAAAGGGAATTGCACTAAAACAAAGTGTCCCAGAACACAGAGACTTGGTATACTTAGCATATCACCTTATATTTTTCTCCATAACATTATATAAAAGATGTCAGCTTCTCCAAACTGCTCGTCTGTAGACTACTTCCAATTGAAACTTGAAACTCTCGAAATGTGGCTGTGTTATGATTCCATGTTGGAGGGAGTTGGGATGTATGTGCTTTGGACAATCTGGTTCCAGTTACTGCTGCCAGACTTTTGTTTCAGAATGCATCCAGAAGAACTTATCAGGGATTTCAGTACAAACTAAGTATTTCCACAAGGAGCAGATAAGAAGACCGCAGTTTTTCTCACACATTACCCTTAGGTTTTGACAATTCTGTAAAAGAGTGGGCACATGTAATCAGAAGTCAAGACCATTTTCCCTGACCCTGTGCATGTAGCTTCTGCAGTTACAAAAGAGTTACGTAGGATCTTGGTAGATTTGTTCCTCCATATTTGGACACCAGATATACCAATCACATCAACAGCTCACATTACACCTCAAAAATGGTTCTTTTGAAAAGGGTACTGCCAAAGAGCTTTTAAAAGTTAAATCTAATTGGCTTTTTAGTAATCTTACTTGTTAGAATTGATACTCCCTCCTTAAAATTCTCACATTTTTATTTTTGCCACATCACTTCCTCTGACTCCTCTCCTACTTTTCTCTAGCCACTGCTCATTCTCCTTTACCAATTCTTTTTCTCCTGGGGGCGGGAGGGAATGTTGACATTCCCAGGGTTTTGTCACTGGATGCCTTCTCATTCTACATCTGCATCATGGACAGTTGAGATCGATGACTTTGCCTAATAATTATAACAACATCATTCTACGTCTGCATCTCCAACCTCAGAGTTGGAGGGAAGGGAAGTTACTCTTCTCTGTTGACCAGCTGTACTTCTCCATTCAGTGAACACATCCTACTCCTTTCTCCTGTGCAGTATAAAGGCCAGTACACAACCTGGAAACCTATGAATGATCCAAGATTTCTCTCTCCCCACTAATGTTTTATATTCAATGTTCACTAAATCATATTAACTGTACCTCTTTTCTGCTTCTGCTTTATATTTCTACTGCTACCAAATAAATATGTTTATATTTCCTAGATCAACATGGCCTCTTCATTGATGGTTTTCACAGGAAAAAAGTCCCTACCAACTATTATTTTTTTATAAATAAAAAATTAAGTAAAACAAATGAAGAAGCCATAAGGGCAAGAAAAAGACCAACATTTTAAAATGAGTAAATGGAGTAAATTTACTTTATTTTATCATGGATGGGTGAACACCTTACACTAGATTGATAGTAGTTCAAGCATCGAACTAAAAGGAAACTACAGCTTTAACTACTGCAAAACTTCCTTTCTCTAGCTTACTTTCTTGTACTCAGAATACAATATATAATATATATAACATACCAAATATGTATTTTCATCAGCATGGGCATTGGCAGCACTAAATCCCATGTTGTTCAAGGGCCAACTGTAATTACTGATTCATTTACTAACTGCAAAGAATTTATTTTACAAGTTAAATAGAAGTTCTAATTATATAAAAAGTCTAATTCATTATTATGTGACTATAAAAAACCATGCAATGTAATAACTTAAAAATTTGTTTTCTTATTTACACAAAAAGATCATCTAGAATATTAGGAACCATCATAAAATAATAATTTTTTCAAACAATACTGAGATTATAAACTACCTACAATTAACTTTTTAAATAATTAGAAAATCTAGACTACTAAGTATTTTTTAAATGTGTGCAATTTAAATTGATTTTTTTAAACTGTTTTTTTGTAATCAAAACATCTTTATTCTTTTTTATCTATGGTAGTACCATCAAGAGTAATTCACTATCAGAAATCTTACCCGGATTGCTATTTATAGAAAGCTCTTCATATTTCTTTCTTTTGTATTCAGAAATTAGTCCGGCAATGCTATGTATAAAAATAAATGAAATTAATATTTTAATACCATTATCAAAAACATTTACCAAATATACTAAATTATTAGAGTATCTTGAACAATATCAGGATGTTAATTATCCTATACACTTCTCTTCTGTAAGCTCTACAAACTTCTTAGTACCTTTCTAATTAAATAATAAAAACAGGTGAAGTACTCATGAAGTGAAGGCAGTATAGCTCAGCAAACTATCTCACATCAGCTTGACATAATGGAAAGTCACCTTCCTGGCTCTTACTGGAAGGTCCTGGCTCTATAGTCAACAGGTATTTGCTCTTAAACAAGTTGCTTCTCTTATGCACAATGTCTTCTTCTAGATTTTACTATCTTCTTTCACTAGGTTGTTATATAGGTTTAATGAAGTAGCATTTTTAACATTCACAGAGAAATAGTAAAGCAGTGGAATTTGTTCTTGAACTTTATTGCTGAAACTATTTTGAAATCCCAAATCAAACCCAATGTGTATTTTTTCATAGGTTCTAATATTCAAATGCTTCAGTTTAAGAAAAATGTTAAGTCCTAATTTTGCTTATTGTTCTATTATTTGTGGCTTATAATTCAGGGCATCTCAACTATTTCATAATTCATAAATAAATTAATTTATGAATACATTATTTCATTAAAATAGGTAACACGATTGTTCACTATTATTGAGCTCATCAATTCCAAGGGCAGAAAACTAACAGATGTCAAGATCTGGCTTGGGCTACCACTATTACTTCTCTGCAGACTCTAACTGAACCAGATGTTTGCTAGAATGATGGTTAATCTCCATCAGTGATGTTATCTCCAACTGACATGGAAGACAAAACCCTACTTTCATTTTTTTTAAGTTCCATGAAGTAGATGAAAGTTGACATTTTCTCATTTCCAAGATACATACTAACAAAATATTTACACAACACCCCATGTGTTACTTATCTCCATTCTCAGTTTATAGATCACCTTACACAAATGTTTTTGTAGTGAAAAATCACAATTCAAATATAAGGGGCCACCCATTTTGTTTCGATTCAAACTGTGACTTAGCTAGCCAGCAAACAGTCAAATGACCTTCCCCTGACTGCAAAATATGAAATGTCTCACGATGCTAATTTTCTCTGTATTGTTCCAATTTTAGTATTTGTGCTGCCAAAGCAAATACAAAGCCTTACTTTTACATATAAATGCTGATAAGTCATGGATGAGGGTTAGCTCTGTTAAATCTAACTAACCAACTTGAGACTTAGATAATTCCGATGAATGGCTTCCTGTAAGGTAGAATCTGAAAATATTTTACAAACTTGAGATAGTGATGCAAGCAGCTTGGGAGATCTTCATTATTATAGAAAACAAATCACTTGAGGGGCCAACCACAAGTTGATGCCTCCTACTCTAAGGAAGGATGGCATAGAAGCTTCCACTACCTGAGAAAAGCTCTTACACTGTTTATTTAAAAAGTCTCAGGGTACAGATCTGGTAGCAATAAAGAAAAAACTGTGATCTCTTTCTACAACATTATTTGAATATCTCTGACAGTTTAGAACTATCCCAACTAATATTTGAAGAGAAAAAAAGGGACTCAAAAAGTAACTCACCATGAAGGTCTAGAAGCCCAGGTTAAAATGCGGGCTCTACAGCAGGTTTTGAGTGTGGGTGAAAGTGTCAATTTGCTCAGTATGTATGTTGATAAAGTTAGAATATCCAGCTAACAGAGCAAGGTTCTGCTGTTTTGGAAACAATGGCTGAGCATATAAGTATGTGCAAGTGAACTAAAAAAATAGTTGTAACTTTGAAGCCTTTTTATGGATCAACATGAAGATTGAGGGACCTCAAACAGAAAGGGCATCCTGGTGGCAAAGGTTAATCATTACCAGACTGCAAGAGTACTTTCAATGGCAAGAAAGCAGCAACAGAATCAATGAAAACAAAGCAAAAATTAGAATACCCTTTCCCCTTCTCATTCTGACTTGTAGACACTGATTGTCTTCCTTGGACTTAGGGAACCCCTTAGGTTCTTGAAAAATTCAATGATCAGGCTATAGTAGATGGTCCGCAGTACACAGCACAAGATTTTTTGATAAACTGGACATTTTGAGACCCAAATAACTATTTAGAAAAATCAAACATATGAAACTACTTTATCCTATGCATAGGGGTTATACTGGAAATAAAATGTACAACATTGGAATCCCTAAGGAGAAAAGTCCTAAAAGTTTCAATATCAAGAATCCTGCACCTGCTGCTACTTATCTAGCCTTTTGCTTGATTTCTGGCTGATGAAGTTGCACAACTCTCGAAAACTTAAAAACTTGAAAATTTGTCACTTGAAAACTACTTGAACCAAACTATGAAATCTCACCTGATATATAAGATGCAATTGTTACAATTATTTTAAACTTCAATTTAGTGTTCACTAGCCTTTTTATGTAAAGACTTACACTGAATTCCCAGCCTCAGAGGCATAATCTTCTGCAGTCTTTCCACACACATCTCGAGAAAACATATCAATATTTGCTGCAGAAGAAGAATGACTATATCTTTGTGTTCACGAATAACAGCAAGTGTGAGGGCCGATCTAAAATAACAGAGAGGTAATTAAAAACTTTAATGACATTTTAAAAGCTAAGTTTATATACTTTATCAACTTAATATGTTGTCTGTCCATGTAGAATTAACCCAATTACATGTACTAAGAAACAAGCATCTTGGGTGCTCAAGGGTTTATCTTTGCAAGTTACCACAAAGGTTAAAAGCAAGGAACAAAAAGGAAGCCTCTTGTCCCACTATGGTATGACATAAAGTTGCTAACTTAAAGTCTTTTGATGGGCAAGAAACTATGCTCAGGCCACCTATCTACAGTAGGCAAATTTAAGTGAAAAATTATTCATTTCTTCCCTAGTCTGATACTATACATTATAATGCAAAATCACCTAAAGGGTCAGATAAGAGCTATCTGCAGGCTTAAAACAATAATATTAATAGGAATGCTAATAGTAGTAGTCGTAGCTTCAGTTAATGATGCTCATAAGCATGTGCTAGGCATTTAATTAAACACTATATATAAATATATGTATATGGAGGATAATAATATATCCTTCAAGGGTGTTTGTGTATAAGTAACATAAGTAACATCATATATATATAAAATATAAATATTGTATATTATATATTATCTACAAAATATATAATATACATTATAGATTATTATCTATAAAATATATATTGTATATATTATATATGATGTTACTTACATTATCTTCTTACATACATATGTGTGGGTATATATATATTATATATATGCACATACTTATATGCTCAGCCATTGTTTCCAAAACATCAGCACCTTGCTCTGTAAGCTGGACATTCTAACATTATATATATATATATATATATATATATATATATATATATATATATACATATAATGTTACTTACACACAACCACCCTTGAAGGATATATTATTACCCTCCTTTTCACAGAAGAAAACATACTTGGTGATAAGTAATGTTACCAAGGTCACACATCTAGCAAGTGGGAAAACTAGGGATTAAATCCAGTCCTGTGTGAACCTAAAGCTTGTTTTCATTAAAGTAAAGTTTTATCCATTTAAAGCTATCTTTTCTCCCTCTCCCCATATCAATTAAAAACAACACCAAAACACAGTAGAAATGAAAAACATGAAACCTCTTTAGCTAACATAAGATCATACAATCAAAAGCATCACATTATTACATTATAAATAACACCACATCATATTACAAATAACAAACATCTATCAATATACAAAGCTTTCTATATATAGAAGCCTTTTATGTGTATAATGTCTATATAGAGAGACAAATCCTGCTATATACTGTTCTTTATGTTACTCAGTCCAAATAATTGTTTTTCTACGTGTGATGATCTGTGTTGATATTTCTCACTATATCCCAATAATTAAAAGTTAGTCTTCTTATTAATATAATATTTGTGACTTGAGTGACCGCTACCACTCTACAATGACACTCAGGTTTAAAAACAACACAATAAGAACTAAGGTCTGTACCTGTTAAGACAATTAACTGCATTTATATTTGCATTTTTCTTTAATAAAAATTCCACCATTATCAGTTTTCCTAGATGCGCAGCCAGTAAAAGTGGTTGACATTCAATCTGTAAAACAACAGCAACAATTTATAATCACATAATTACATATTTATCAACTGAACTGAAAACCTTATGTAAGATCCTGTGAGCTTAAATATATACAATTGAAAGGACGTAAGAGGTAGTCCCTTTCTTTTCACTCCTCGGTGCTTTTCTACGTTCTGCTCCTTCCGCTGGAAACAGCCTCCTCTGCCTCACCACAGAACTCTGGTCATCTCCAAAACTCACTTCAAACATTTCCCAGTTCCAAGAATCTTTGCTTCTGTCACAGCATTTAGCATGGCATGTTTCAAGGATTTTATTGTTTCCCACCTGAACCAAGAGCTTCTTGAGGGCAGCAGCTGTATTTTTTTTCTCTATGTCCTCAAACTCTAAGACACAGTAATAAATGTTTCAGGTATTTTTATAAATGATCTAAATTATTATCTATAGAGCGGTGTTTCTTAAACTATTAATATATTCCAAAGGATATTTACTTTACCAGAAGCTCAACATTATACCCCAAAAGAAAGACTTCATGATCACCCATGTTTGAAAAATGTTACAAAACTGTGCATTTTGTGTCTAGTATTTGAGAAATCTTTTTAACTTCACCTAATCCCTATTTGTAAATACTTATTTTGGAGAACGTTAACATTTGAGAAATGAGAGTTTCACGGATACAGTTGTGAGAGCTTACCAGTAAAGGTGGAGGTTTCCTCTGGGTGATACACACTTGCCTCATTCTCTTCTAACCATGGTGTCAGAATCTCAGATGACAACGTCAGGTGCGAGCACCTAATGTTGTCGTCTCAGATTCTGACACGATTGACAGTTCATTTGAAGCCTATCTCTTTTTAATTTGGAGAGCCAGGCTCTGAATTAATAGAGATAGGCTTCAAATGAACTTTCACTGCTTATTATTAAATAGTCCATGGGTTTTCTCTAGTAATATTTTTATCTTAGCTGTCAGAAAGCTCTGTATGAAATGTTATTCTCAATTACAATCTTAGGACCCTGATGCAAATATTTATGTAATTATAATCTTAGGACCCTGGTACATAATTCCTTTAAAAATTTATTTGTATTCTAGTTTCCATATTAATTCTTACTTAACTTTTTTATTTTAGATAAAATATAAATCAGAAATAAAAATACAGTGGCTTATCAATTAAAGCTCTAATAATGACCTATATGAATTATTTATAGCATAATGAAAGCCACTAAATTATTTGCATCATTCATTTATTTATCTATCTATCTATCTATCTATCTATCTATCTATCTATCTGAGACGGAGTCTGCACTCCAGCCTCGGCAAAAGAATGAGACTCTGTCTCAAAAAATAATAATAGTAATAATAATAATTTTTAAAATAAAGAAAAAAGTATTCATGACTCTTGTTAAAGACAGGTAGGAAGACCTTATTCCAGGGGGGCTACCACAATAGGGTTTTGCTGTAGGAGAGCGAGATTGGGCTCAGTCTCACTCTACAAAGGATGAGTAGGATGTACAGTCCAGGAGCAAGGGTGCCGGGTGGGTGGAAAATGACAAAGAGGAGACATTGAGGAGAGGGGATGCTTGCTCGGCCAACTCAGCAGGAATCTTCCTGAAAGCAGGCCAGGGTAACAAGATATCGAGAGTGGAGGATGAGGAATTTGATCAAATATTGAGGGTGATCCCATAGGATTTTCACTAAACTGACCCAGCAGGACTCTTGCTAAACCTGAACTAAACAAGCCGAGGACAGAGCCTAAGGTCAGCGCCTTGAAGGCTTAGTGGAGTAGAGTTAGGTCTAGGAGAGGGTCAGTCACCTGACAGCCATCTGATCATAAGAACCAAGTAGCTTTTCTATCTTTTGTCCAATAACCTTTCTCTAAGCACTGTACCCCAAGGAAAGAAGGCAAATGTTAAAAATCAAAGAAAGAAAAGGAAAAAGTCAGTGGTGTCAAGATACTCACAGCTGCACTATATTTGTTTGTTTGTTTTGTTTTGTTCTGTTTTTTTGAGACAGAGTCTCGCTCTGTTGCCCAGGCTAGAGTGCAGTAGTGTGCACTCGCCTCACTGCAATCTCCACCTCCCAGGTTCAAGCAATTCCCATGCCTCAGCCTCCCAAGTAGCTGGGATTACAGGTGCGCACCACCATGCCCAGCTAATTTTTGTATTTTTCGTAGAAATGGGTTTTTGCCACATTGGCCAGGCTGAACTGCACCATTTTTTAAATAAAATGTTGTCAATAGCCCCAAAGCCTGACAATAGAATCCCAAGTGAACAAAGGCTGGTAAATTGCTGCCTCTTGAAGCAGCTGAAGCTGAACGCTGGGGCTTGGGAGCCAGAACGCTTGGGTTCCAGCTCAGCTCCTCCAGTCACCAAGTGACTTTAACATCTCTCTGCCTCAGTTTCTAACCTGTAAACTAAGGATTGTACTAACTCCTACCTCAAGAACTACCTCCAAGCTTCAGTGAGATCGTGGCTATTGCCCAGTGCCCACGGACTGTGGGAAATGTCCTGTAGCCATGAGCTACAATCAACCACTGCACATCCTTTCCATCCAAGCGCTCTATGAGATCGGGGAGAAAATGGAAACCTATATGGGGTGACCCAAGGAGCTCCCCAGCAAAGCGGGATTGAAGTACAGAGCCAAAAACCAGAGGAGAGTTACCCAAGCATGGCTGGGATGTCCTGAGAGGAGCAGGAGCAGACCTTTCATGCCATCTCCAGACCAGGCCCAGGCAGGTAAGAGGGTGAACAGGACCAGGAATTCGCACGACCCCGGGGGGCCGACAGGAGAACCTGCAGAACCATGGACCCCAGACCTGCAAGACACCAAGATCTGCGCCGGCCCCAAGCACACCCCAAATGCACCTCAACAGGGGCCTGGCCAGGCCCCTGGACCACTGCCTCGGCTCCTCACTCAGGCCCTGCCTCCCTGGCGGCCCTCTCGAGCCCTACCCCACAGCCAGCTCCTGCTTAAACCTAGCAATGCCCCCCAGGCCTGCAATTCTATTATCAGCTTGAACTAGGTCCCGCTGAGAGTGACAGGAAACCCAAATAATGGAAATTGCAACCAGGCAGAGTGTGTTGAATTCTCCCCGGGAGGATGCAGCCTGGAGCTGAGCTACACAGGACGCTGGGAAGCAGGCCCCTTCTGCGCACCATGGCCATCCCCAGGGAGCCCCTCATCAGGCGGCTTAGGGTGGCTTGCCAGCCAGAGAATCAGATGGAGGAAAAATCAGAAAAGAAGAGAAGCAACGCTAGCTTCTGGCAAGAGGCTGGGACTGGTACGTGACATTCTCCTTTTGCCCCAGTGGCCAAAATGTGGTCACGTGGCCATGCTTTACTGCAAGGAACGCTGGGAAATGTAGTCTTTCTTCTTTGCAGCCGTCTTATCATGGAAACAGGGGAGAACGGATAGTAGGGGACAACTAACCAGCTCTGCCACAGCTGAAAATCCAGATTCCGCCATGGCCTACAGGCTCCTCCTGGCCGACCCCCTCGGGAGCCCGGGTGCCTCCCTTCCTCCATGCCTGGTCCCTCTGCCTGAAGCCTTCCTGCCCTCTCTCCTGGCTCCAAGCATCCTGTGGGCTTCCCCCAGCGCTGGTGCCAGCAAAGCCCGATCTCCTCTCTCGAGGCCGCCTGCACTCCCCCTGTGCGTGCATCGCAACCTCTGTCCCTGACACACAGGGATCCTTACCCTCCCCAGGGTCTGTGCTCCCCAGGGAGGAGCCGCACCTCTGGGCGCCCTGAGCCCCAGCCCTGCAGGGTAGGCACCCCATGCGGTGGTTGCAGGCACCCGGCAGTCGCTCCATCCTGGTTTTCAGCCTTTAGTGCACAGAAGCGTGAAGAAGCGGGGGTCACTGGCACGGAGTCCTCCTTGAGAGTCCGGCCGGGGATCCGTACCAGTGGTCCCTGCCCACCTGGGTTAGGAAAGGCTGACTGGCCTGGGGAGGCTGTGGACGACGTCTGCGGTGTCATCTGAGTGCCACGGCCATCACTTTGAGACGGCGTCTGCTTGCTGCAGCCAGGCAAAGGTCTTAAGGAAGGCCAAGGCCACTGTCGACAGGTGTGTGGCTCCAGATTGAAATTGTGACAATACCCCCAGCCATGCCCTTCCATCTTCCCACCGTGCAATCAGTGCACCACCTCCCACCATGCAATCCAGAGCACCACCTCTCAGCAAAACCTCCAGGATCCACCTCAAACCCAGCCCCATCCCACAGCCATCACCCTGGTCCGGGCCACCAATAGCTCTTGCTCGGACACAGGCAGTCACCTCTCCAGGGAGCACCCAGTGTCCCTTCTGCCCTCGTTCTGGTCCGTCCTTCACCCACAAATGGAGAGTGTATTTTAGCATTAGATCAGTTCATGTCGCTCTCTCGCTTAAAACCCGCCCCTGGCTTCCACTGCCTGGCATGAGAATCACCACTGCCTGCCCCACGGGACTGGCCCTGCCACCTGCCCCATGCCCGCTCCCCTAGCTCATGGTCCCCCAGAGTCACTGGCCTCCACCATCCTCTCAGCCAAACCCCACCAGCCACCACTGCGTGCCACCCACCCACCCCGCCAGCCTCTCCATCACGTATTCCTCCTTCCCTTCTTTTGGGAAACTCTTTTCTTCTTGTTTGTTCATTTTATTTTCTGTGTCCCCAACTCGAATGGAGGCCACGCGGAACACTGTCTGTCTCATTCACTTCTGTGTCCCCGGAACCTAGAACCATGCCTGGCACACAGAACGTGCTTGATAGGTACTGAGACAGAGACATACAGAGAAGGAAAGAGGGAGAGAGACAGAGAAAGAGAGAGAAAATAAGAGAAGGGGAAGGAGAGATGGCGGAGAGGGAGGGAGAACCGAACACTGAATCCAGGGGTTCCTCTCCCACCCCTCATGTGCCCATGGTAACAAGGGAGTCCCCCTCTTCTGACCCCTTGTTGTCAAAAAGTCCATCAAGCAAGAACGCCCGAGCCCCAGGCCCCCTCTGAAATTCCCAAGAAGGAAGCACCCCAAGAAGGAAGGCGCGCAGGACGCTGCTCTGGAGCCATCGGGTTCCCGGTCTGCTCACCACACTCAAGGAGCCCCTTAACAGGAGCAGGAGGAGAAAAGACACCCAGCCTGGGGTTCCCCCCGGACAAGGCCATGCTGTGACCCAGGCTTGGTCCTGGCCCTGACCGTGGGAAGCCCACCCCACAGGCCCTCACCCAGGCAGGCCTGAGGCCCATGCACCGCTAAAGGCCTGGAGAGGGGGTCCCACCGCAGCCTCACCTGGGTCCCCTGGGGTCAGGGTAAGCTGGGACAAAGGGACCACCGGTTGCTATGGGAGAGGGAGAAGGCACAACTTTCCCGGTAGAATGGGCTCCTGCTGTGCTCTGAGCCCTGGGTCACTGTCCGCACTCTGGGGAGGGAGGAGAGGAGCCTGGAGCCCCAAGGGCGCGGCTGGCAATAAAG
This sequence comes from Homo sapiens, assembly GCF_000001405.40. Classification (NCBI taxonomy): domain Eukaryota; kingdom Metazoa; phylum Chordata; class Mammalia; order Primates; family Hominidae; genus Homo; species Homo sapiens. The sequence continues at coordinate 1,347,029 of NT_187383.1, read as the reverse complement.
GCAGATGCTCAAGTTGATGCCGTCCCACGCACTTGAGGCTGGGTCCAGGAGTGGCACTGACACGGCTGGGGAGCCCACTCCCGAAGTATGACCCGGGGATGTGCACAGCCACATTCCAAAGACACACGGGATGAGATCAGCCCAGGTGACCCTGGGACTTTGCCCTCTTCGGCAGGAGCCAGCCCTGTGCACCCTGTGTGCCTGTCCATCTGGAAGGCCCAGCATGAGAGGCCCGACCGTCCTCCTCACTGTGGCTCTGCCCACGCTCCTGGCTCCCAGGGCCGGGGCACCGGTACAAAGTCAGGGCTCCCGGAACAAGCTGCTCCTGGTGTCCTTCGACAGCTTCCGCTGGAACTACGAGCAGGACGTGGACACCCCCAACCTGGACGCCATGGCCCGAGACGGGGTGAAGGCACGCTACATGACCCCCGCCTTTGTCACCATGACCAGCCCCTGCCACTTCACCCTGGTCACCGGTGAGTACTAACCCAGGATGGGGCCTGGGGGTGGGAGGGCCTGAGAAAATAGGTGGCACAGAGCCCTGTCGTGCAGGAAAAAGGGGAGAGGTCCTTGCTCCATGCACAGGACACAGCCAAGGGGAACATTAGGAATACCTCACCGTTGGTAGCAACAGATCTGGGACAAAGAAAAATGACCAGGGGGGTCCTTAAACCCGTGGCCACAGGCAGGGCAGCAACCCCAAAAGGCTTCAGGAGGAGGGGAGTGTGGCAGGCTCCCAGCCGGCTCCCACGGCTCCCCTCCCCTGCCCGCCCGTCCAGCTGGCTGTGTCAGCCTCTCCCTCTCCCTTGCATCGTTTCCATCTCCCAGCCAAGACCTCCCTGACAGATCTGCCCAGCCTGTAGACAATACAGACAGGTTTTTAAAAAGCCAAATATGGGGCCAGGCGCAGTGGCCCACGCCTGTAATCCCAGCACTTTGAGAGGGTGAGGCGGGCAGATCACTGGAGGTCAGGAGTTCGAGACCAGCCTGGCCAACATGGCGAAACCCCGTCTCTATAAAAACACAAACATTAGCCAGGCATGCTGGCGCATGCCTGTAATCCCAGCTACACAGGAGAATTGCATGAACCCAGGAGGTGGAAGTTGCAGTGAGCTGACATCGCGCCACTGCACTCCAGCCTGGGTGACAAAGCAAGACTGCATATAAAATATATATGTCTATACATATATTTTTGCTCCCGCAGCCGCGGCTTTTTGCCGCCGCTTTCTGCCGCCGCCCCTTTTTGCCGCAGCTTTCTGCCGCCGCCGCCGCTTTCTGCCGCCGCCGCCTTTTGCCGCCGTCGCCGCCGCCCCGGCTTTTTGCCTCCATCCCCGCCGCCGCCGCTTTTGCCGCCGCCCCCGCCGCGGTTTTTTGCCCCCGCCGCCGCCGCGGTTTTTTGCCCCCGCCGCCGCGGCTTTTTGCGGCTTGTTGCCCCCGCCGCCGCTGTTTTTTGCCGGCGCGGCTTTTTGCCCCCGCCGCCGCGGCTTTTTGTGGCTTTTGCCCCCGCGGCTTTTTGCCCCCGCCGCCGCGGGTTTTTGCCGTCGCGGCTCTTTGCCCCCGACGCCGCGCCTTTTTGCCCCCGACGCCGCAGCTTTTTGCCCGCCGCGGCTCTGAGGGCGGGAGCGGCACACTCGGCTGCCAGCTCTACCGGCGTCCTGGCTCGGGCAGCGCTGAGGGGCGCTCCTGGTCCAGCTCTCCCGGCTCGGGGGTCCCTTGCCTACGCGCCGGCGCCCCGGGCTCCCCGCCTTGGCCGCTGCGGCCTGCATAGAGCGGCGCTCCGCGCGGCCGCGATGTGAGAGAAGAAGGAGGGCGGTGGCGGGGGTGATGCGCCGGCCGCGGTGGGAGGCGCAGGGGCGGCGGCCAGCCGGGCGCTGCAGCAGTGCGGGCAGCTCCAGAACCTCATCGGCAGCCTGCGCGGGCTGCGCACCAAGTGCGCTGTGTCCAACGACCTCACCCAGCAGGAGATACGGACCCTGGAGGTAAGGGGTGTGTGGACCCCGGCTGGGCTCGAGGAGCGGCCCGGACACCTCCCTCCGGGCCCTAGTTCACTTCTGGCGGAGTTGCATCCTTGAGCTCGAGTCGCCCGGTTGGAGGCTTCTCCCTCCTGCACTTGCTGATGCGGCAGCCGGAGGACCCGGGTCCAGCCCTCACCTTGGGCAGGATTTCTGGGGCGGGTGCGTGGTCGGAACTGGGATAGAGGCTCGAGGGGCCCATGGGTGGGGTGGGCTGCGCGCGGACATCCCCTTACCCCCCCCCCCCCCCGAATTTCCATCTGGTCCAGCCCTCTCATCTTGTAGGTGAGGAAACCGAAGGCCTGAGGGAGAACTGACTTGCCAGGAACCCCTGTTAAGGAGAATTAACAAAGAGTGGTTATTAAAGGAGAACTGAGTTGGGAGTCAGACCTGGAGGCCCACACGCTTGGTTAAGACATTATACCACCTTGAATCTGGCATGTTGACTGAGGGTGAGCCACTCCATCCTCGTCTGATTGTGGGGTCTTGACCTCAAGGGGTTTCTTGCAGGAAAAAGCAAATAGGCTTGCTTTCCTAGCTCTGTCCAGTACCTTAGGGACCCTGAGGACTGGAGAGATTCTTGGAGAGCCATCTGGTGTATGTCATGGGTGGGCCTTTTTTGAAGGTCAGTCTGCCCAGTGGGCTGGCTCAGCCCGAATGAACTGTCTTGAATCTTTGGAGTTGTCTGTGTACTTTTAAGGGCTTCTCATCCTTGCACCAAAAGATCCCCTGGAAATTAGGTGGGAAAACCTTAACTTTTGTGGGGCCTTGTGTTTGTCTTAAAATTCCTGCACATGGCCAGGTGGGGTGGCTCACACCTGTTATCTTGTCCTGGATCCCTTGAGTCAAGGAGTTTGAGAACAACCTGGACAATATAGTGAGACCCCGTCTCTACAAAAAATAAAATATTATCCAGGGGTGGTTGTGCGCATCTGTAGTTCCAGGTACTACTGTGGCTGAGGCGGGAGGAGCACTTGAGCCTGCACTGAGCTGTGATCTCACCAGTGTACTCCAGTCTGGGCCACAGAGCAAGACCTTGACGCAAAAAAAAAAAAAACCAACAAGAAAAATTCTTGAAGATTTTGCATTCTGTCTCACTATCCATTGGTTTTCATGTCTAGATAATGTCAGAAATTCTTTACAATTGCTTCCAGAAGGAGTAGCCTTTTGATCTAGTGCACAGGTGTCCAGTCTTTTGGCTTCTCAGGGCCACATTGGAAGAAGAATGCTCCTAGGCCGCACATAAAATACACTAATGCTAACGATAGCTGATGAGCTTAAAAAAAAAAAAAGGTTTGTGCATAATTTTCATGATACCCACCATCACAGATAGGTGGAAAAGTCCTTGTAGTCAAAGGGTTGGACACAGCTGATCTAGTGTCTTGTCGTCCATTTTGGCTTTCTCCCTGATTCCAGAATGCAGGTAGAGATGTAGAGACATGCTTTCAGGACAGCTATTGAGATAAAAAATTCGTTGTCATTTATTCCCAAGCACAGCTGTTTGTCATTTTCATTGAAAAAGTCTCCATTTAAACTGCTGTCACATATAAAATCTATTTATATAAGTCTGTATTTTTCTGTTGTCTTGGCCTTTGTGGGCAGTAGTGTGTTTTAACCGAGCAAACTGTCCTTCCAAATAATGAAGCTGAAGTCAGCCTACCTGCTTGCCATTTTTCTTCCCCTTCCATTTTTCTAACCTCAGGATAATTGTAAGAATGAATTAAGATTTGTGTTTAAGGCCGGGCACAGTGTCTCAGGCCTGTAATCTCAGCACTTTGGGAGGCAGAGACAGCTGTATCGCTTGAGCTCAGGAGTTGAAGACCAGCCTGGGCAACATACTGAGACTCTGTCTTGTATAATTAAATTAAAATTTAATAAAAGAAGAGGAAAAGACCTGTGTTTCAAATTTAAAAAAAGGGGGGAAAGTGTAATGCAAACTGTGGACTATGCCAGCTATGATTGGGAAAAATAATTTTTCCTACAGCATTATCTGTAGACTTGTATTAGCAGCATACTGGTCATAAGCATTTTGCTTTCCTCAAATATGATGAGGTAAGCTACTTTAAAGTGTGGTGGGGCTTTCTTCTGCATGGCTCCTGGAGGTGTTGAGTCCCAATTTAGCCAATTAATTTGGGTTTAGTTTTGATATGGATAAGGGAGACCAGCTTCGTTCATGGTGCACACACAGTTTTGCCAATAAGGAGAAAAAAAAGCCACCTGAATGTTCCTACTCATTAGATGCTATCTGGAGAGCTCCTACCCCACCCCCACCAAGGCCCGGGCCCTTAAAAAGACTCAATGCAGCCTTTCTGTATCTCATACTGTATTCTGCAAGATGCTCCTGTGAAAGAAAGTTGTGCTGCATCAGCTGTCTCCCTCCTGAAAATCCCTGCAGATGAGGATTTGTGTTTTAAAGGTTCTGAGAAGTCCTGCAACAACAGTTCTCAAACTTATTTGTCCAGGGGATCTTTTCTTCCACTGAACGTAGTTGGGGAGACATGGCCTTAAGCCTTGAGCAGAGAAAGAGACAAGAAACTGTTGCCTCACTTACAACCAAGTGTTGTGTTTATGTTTTAGGTTTTTATGAAACTGAGGTGCTCTTTGAGGTTCTAAATCAAATTGGGTGGTTGAAGAGAGGCTGGTATCCCTGTAGACTTAGCCAGCCATGAGAGGTTGCCTTTTGTTGAAGGAGGTGTTTTACAAGGAAATAGGGTGTCTCCTGGGCATCGCATTAGCACTTAAATACATGTATCACTGAAATGAAATGAAATGATGAAATGATGAAATGAAATTAAATGATGAAATGAAATGATGAAATGAAGAAATGAAATGGAATGAAATGAAATGAAATGAAGTGAAATGATGAAATGAAATGAAATGATGAAATGGTGAAATGAAGAAATGATATGAAATGATGGAATGAAATGATGAAGTGAAATGATGAAATGAGGAAATGAAATGATGAATTGAAATGATGAAATGAATGACGAGATGAAAAGATGAAATGAAATAATGAAATGAGGACATGAAAAGGTGAAATGAATTGATGAGATGAAATGAAATCATGAGATGAAATGATGAGATGAAATGAAATCATGAGATGAAATGATGAGATGAAATGAAATCGAGATGAAATGATGAAATGAGATGAAGTGAAATGATGAAATGATGAGATGAAGTGAAATGATGAAATGATGAGATGAAATGATGAAATGAAATAAGGAAATGATGAAATGATGAAATGATGAAATGAAATGGTGAAATGAAATGATGAAATGAAATGAAGTGAAATGAAATGAAATGATGAAAAGATCAAATGATGAAATGAAATTATATGAAATGATGAAATGAAATCAAATGATGAAATGAAGTGAAATGATTAAATGATGAAATAATGAAATGAAATGATGAAATGATGAATAGATGAAATGAAATGATGAAATGAAATGACGAGATGAAAAGATGAAATGAGATGAAATGAAATCATGAGATGAAATGATGAAATGATGAGATGAAGTGAAATGATGAAATGAAATGAAGTGACGAAATGCAAACGATGAGATGAAATGATGAAATGAAATAATGAAATGAAAGGATGAAATGATGAGATGAAATGATGAAAGGATGAAATGAAATGAAATGAGGAAATGAAATGATGAAATTATGAAGTGAAATGATGAAATGAAAAGATGAAGTGATGAAATGATGTTATGAAATGATGAAATGAAGTCAAATGATGAAATGATGAAATGGTGAAATGAAATGATGAAATAAATGAAATGAAATGAATTGATGAAATGATGAAATGAAATGCAATGAGATGAAAAGATGAAATGACGAGATGAAAAGATGAAATGATGAGATGAAATGAAATCATAAGATGAAATGAATAAATGAGATGAAGTGAAATGATGAAATGAAATGTGATGAAATGATGAAATGATGAAATGATGAGATGAAATGATGAAATGAAAAGATGAAATGATGAAATGAAATGAAATGAAATGATGAAATGAAATGATGAAATAGATGAACCAAAAATACTTATTCATTTTTTTTCTTGGCATCCTTCTAAGAGTATTTTAGTGAGGTTAATTTCTAAAAATAAATTGCTATTCAATGGCTATACAGTTGGCCTTTACACCACAGGGGTTTGAACTGTGCAGGTCCACTTAGCAAAACCAACAATTCTACATCTTTCTCCACACCCTGCCCAGGAAAAGGATGAGGATGAAGACCTGTCTGATCATCTACTTCCATTTAATAACTAGTAAATATATTTTCCTTATGATTTTCTTTTTCTTTTCTCTGGCATGTTTGTTAAGAATACAGTATATAAGACATATAACATATTAAATATGTGTTAATTGACTGCTTGTGTTATTTGTAAGGCTTACAGTAGGCTATTAGTAGTTAAGTTTTGGGGGAGTCAAAGTTATAGTGGATTTTCTACTGTGCAGTGGGGCCAGCGCCCCAACCTCCGTGTTGCTTAAGGGTCAACTGTACTTGTTATTTCCTTTCCTGTAAGAGAAAAATGATGAGAAGGTCTTTTCTCCAATAAGTGTATTCAAAATGTAGCAGATTTGAAATGTGTTGGCGCCACCATTTTGCATCTCACTTTGAAAACTTATTATTAAAAATCGTACTAAAGCCTACCTTACTTTTCCAACCTTAGAAAAAATGTTACAAAGAAAAGGGGTGAATCCATGCTAGTTTGCACTGAAATTTGAAATTATCTTTTAAAAATATATTTTTACTTTAATTACTTCCAAAATAGAGATCAGTTGCATACAAATGGCAGGTCACTCTAATCCACCCTATGACTGCACTTAGATTCATGAGGAATTGTGCCAACTAGAAAGGGCAGAGAAGAGGAATAGAGTGCTCTGCGTCTTGAAATATAAACATGCACATAGCCACATGCTTTGATTCTGTTGTCACTGTGTATTTACTGCTAGGAAGAGGGCATGTTTGTGTATTTTTATGCTAATTATTATCCAAGTTGTTAATGATTTAGGCTTTCAGAACCATATAAAGATTTTTTTCCTTTCAGATATAAACTATCTTGCATTGTTCTTCTGATCATATGAGGGATAAATTTGCCTAAACATTCTTCAGACCATAATATGATGTCCATATAAATGCCAGTAGCAAGAGTAGAATCAACCACAACTGCCTTTGTAATTATTTAAAGCATGTGTGCCTATAAGTAATTGGCATTTTATATAATCAAGAATCTTTGATATAATGATCTCTCAAGCATTTGAAACATGGCTCACATATATTAATTTTATATGCAAATATATATATAACATCACTGTATATGAAACTAAATTTTGGACTTTAGAACAGCTTCTTAGAATCTTGACTTAAATGTCCACAGTAATATTTGACTTAAAAAAATTTAGCACACTGTCACTATGATGAAAAAATTACTATAAAATTATTTAAAAAATTTTTCCACCCTAACATTTAGAATATTCTCACATTTGTGGTTAAAACCTATTGTGATTGTTCTTAGAATTTAGATAAAAAATGTTCCAGAAAGTTTGAAGAGAAGCACTTTAGTCGATTTTTATTTGTTCAAGCATGAAGAAATGGCATTTCATTGACATTTTAAAAACTATTCAGATTCCCTCTTTGAATTGAAGTGTTTCAAAGATATCTTATTTTAAAATACCAAAATAGGAATAGAATATGAAGGGCTGGTTATGAGTAATATGATACACTTTTTGAGAGGATGAGATTACAATAACAATACCTCCTCTCATAGAATAGCCAGCAAGTCTCCACTAAATAAGAGTGCCTTGATTTTATAGATGTTTAATCATGGATATTGAGTTAATGCGAACGATTTGTAGACACAGGAGTTTATTAAAGAATTATATAATATCTTTCAAGTGTTGAAATTAAGCCTGCATCCCCACAATTTTCAGAGGTGCTGATGCCTAATAAACTCAACCCCTTGCATGCCAAAATTGGCTTAAAGCCCACCCATTACCCAAGCTACACTTCAAGCATCAAGGTTCAAAAATGTAATTTTAAATATGCAAGAGTTTGAGGAATTCACTACTCACACTTTCTTGAACAGTCTATCCAAGTGCATCAAGCAAAATGTGAGTAAAGAAATTTTGACCAAAGGATTGATAGTAATGTTGAAAACATTTAATAGTAGATCTAAGATTAAAAGGTGAGAGTGAGGGTGAGAAGAGTGTATGAATGCTTTGTGTTCTGACAAAGAGAATGTAGCACCCATGTCCTACCTGCTTGGTTGCATTGCCAGTGCCCACGGTAGGCTATTTTATCCAGGTTTTTAGTTTTTTTTTTGTTTGTTTTCTTTTTTTTTTTTTTTCAGGATAGTTAATCCAAAACCAATAACTCCATAACTGGTAGAATTGGAAGGCTTTAATAGTGCTTAACATTTTGTACATAGCTTTATAACAGTTTTCTTTTTCTTTTTTTTCTGAGAGATTCTTTTCAATATACCCCATCATGGTTGAACTCAAAGTCATTGCTTATTTGAAATTTACAACTGCTGACGTTTTGTAACCTTCGCATTCCAGGTAATTGGTTTTTTGTGCATTTTCTGTATTTTTCTCCATCAGTCTACCTAGATATTTGTTAGATTTAATATTTTAATATTTTTCTGAAAAAGTGAGCTTTTGCGTTTTTAAATATATACTCAGTTGCTTTAATACTGCTTTTTCATGTACTGGTTCCTCCTTTTTTTTTTTTTTTTTTTTTTTGAGATGGAGTCTTGCTCTGTCGCCCAAGCTGGAGTGCAGTGGCGTGATCTCTACTCACTGCAACCTCCACCCGCCACGTTCAAGCAATTCTCCCACCTCAGCCTCCCGAGTAGCTGGGATTACAGGTGCATGCCACAATGCCAGGCTAATTTTTGTATATTTAGTAGAGAATGGGTTTCACCATGTTGGACCAGGCTGGTCTCGAACTCCTGACCTCAGGTGATCCACCTGCCTCGGCCTCCCAAAGTGCTGGGATTACAGGCGTGAACCATGGCACCTGGCTATTTCCTTCATTCTTTATGTTTATTTTACTGGTTTTATCTCTCTCTCTCTCACTGTTTCTCTCCTTCTCATATTCACTTTGCAGTTGTCAAATAGCCCAGGTGATGTTACAGATTTACTCCTTATAAAAGGAGGCATTACACATTACACATGCATCTTAGTGGCCTTACAAAAGTGTTTGGTTCATTTGTATTGACTATTCACCTTTAAAATATTTCAATATTCATTAAAATAGCTTCCAGCCAATATTATTAGACCTATGTTTCTAGCTTTCTTTTTTGTATTGATATCTACCTTCATTGCTGTTTGTTTAGGAAATATATTCTGTGTCACGTTATTTTCGTGAAAATTGTTTGAATTTGTGGTATGGTCTAGAAAATGTTAATTTTTGTAAGTATTCTGTATGAACATGAAAATAACATGAATTATAATATTCATGTTCCTTATATAACATTTGCCCTTTTTAAAATCCACTAGCTTCTTTTAAAACTTACTCTTTTAATTTTTTCTTTTATCTATTACTGAAAGATGTGTGTTTCAAAAGTCTATAATGATTTGGGGGCTTATCCATTTCTACTTACTTTCTGATATTTTTGCTTTATATAATTTGACTCTCTCTCTAAATACGTATATGTGTGAGTGTGTGGTGTGTGTGTATATATGTATGTATGTATCAGGCTAATGCACATTTAAGTCATCACATCGTCTTAATAACTTAAATCTTTTATCACACTGGTTAGACTAACTTATTTTAATAAATGTTTCTAACTTACATTCTATTTTGTCTACATAGCAAGTTTTTAAAAAATTATATTCATGTAGTATGTTTGTATGTATATCATATATACACAGTATCTGTATTGTTTGAACTTCAAAGTTTCTGTAAATTAATATATTAGTTACCTCTCTTGTAACTATGATAGAGATGGACTTTTTTAATTTTGCCAATCTTTGTATTTTAACAAAAACATTGTCTACTTAGGTTTAAGTTAATCTTTGATCATTTATACTTAATTTGTTTTATTAATTTGTTGTATATATATATTGTCTCATTTTCTCCTATTAGTTTCTGTCTTCTTGTTTTTAAATTATGACTTTTATTTTTATTGTTTTCATAGATAACAACAGAGAAATGCATAACGTCCAGTGAATTTATTAAAGTTCCAAAGTCGGTCACGTGCAGTGGCTCACGCCTGTAATCTCAACACTTCGGGAGGCCGAGGCATGTGGATCACGAGGTCAGGAGTTGGAGACTATCCTGACCAACGTGGTGAAACCCCGTCTGTACTAAAAATACAAAAATTAGCCAGGCATGGTGGCACGCGGCTGTAATCCCCGCTACTCAGGAGGCTGAGGCAGGAGAATTGCTTGAACCTGGGAGGCAGAGGTTGCAGTGAGCCGAGATGGCACCACTGCATTCCAGCCTGGGCGAAAGAATGAGTGAGACTCCTTCTCAAAAAAAAAAAAAAAAAAAAAAAAAAAAAAAAGAGTTGCAAAGTCATACTCACCTTTCTGCTCTTGTCAGACAATTAAGGGGTCTTTGAATACTTCAGCCCTAATAATTTGCTTCCTAACATACATATTGCAGTGCTTATCTAATTTTAAATATATTTTTGTTTCAACACCTAATTTTTTATTTAAATCTATCTGTATGTTTACAATATATTTTGCTCTGTGTTCATTCTTTGATTTCAGAACTTCAACCTTTCTGAAGCATGTTTTCAGTTTCTTTAGTGGAATTCTGCTGGAGGCGTTTTGTTTTTTGTCTCTAAATATGTTATTTAGCCATAGGTTGATGAATATTTTTCTTGGTTGAGAATTTCAGAATGGCATTATTAGTCTTAACAAATAATATTGTTTATTTTACCTTTCATTCTTTCTGATTTCAATATGATTAAAGGTAATTTGATTTTTCTAGTGCTAATTGAAATATTTTTCCCTTCCTGATTGTTTACTATTTCTCTAGGAGATACATAGGTGTAGGTTTATCTCCACTGTAGCTTGCTTAGCGTGCATGGAACTTTTGAATATGCAGATTAGTGTCTTACAAAAGTCTAGAGAACTTTCAGCCAAAATACCATCACATATTGTCCCTTCCCAGTTCCCTTCTTCTATGAGAACACTCACTAAACACATGCTACATTTTCTCACCGTATCTTCCATGTCTCTTAATGACTCTGTCCACATTTTGCATTTTTAAAAATTTTCTGTAATGCATTCTGAAATATTTATGAACTCTCACCATGGCCATGTCTAATCTGATGAGTTCATTTTTGAGTTTTTAATTTAAAATACTATATTTTTATGCAAACTACTTTTCAAATTTGCTACATCAATTTTTTAGTCTCCTAAAATATATTCTTTTTATTTTAAATTTTTTTAAAGCAAATGTGCTTTATAATCTAACAGTGATATTTCTACTAATGAACCTTTATGGATCTGTTTGTACTCTTTTTCTGCTTTCCTTTCAAATGTTGGAATATCATTTCCTTGTGTACTTAGATGCCTTTGAATGACAAATATTTATTTTTCTCCGAAAATTATTTTTGTGCACTTTTGAGTATTAGTAAGAAGAAAACTTGCCAAAGAGAATTTGAATTTTTTTGTGAGTCTACTAAAGGCATCACCATTCTGGGACCACATTATGTTAATTCTTGGTCTAAAGGTGTTTGGATGTATGTTCGGACTGCACATTTAAACAATTTTTTAATTAATTGCTGTAAATCATTAGTGATTGAGTTTCTTTAAATCTGTCCAATCTCAAGTCATTTTTATTTGCCATTTCCAGGGAATGTGAAATGGGATTAATTTACCTCTGATTCTTCTTTATACTGAGGATAGAAATTTTGGTCCTAGCTTTAGGGAGGAGCTCCTGTGTGATGCCCTATCTTGGGAAAAACTATGTATTTCTTTACTGTCCTATGTGATGTATGACAGTAGGAATCTGCACTCATTCATTTTGGTACATGTCCGTAGGGCAAAATCAGTTTCGGTGTTTAGGTATATTTTGTCTGCTCCCTGCAGTCCCATGGTTTTGAACTTATATTTTACTTTTTTTTTGTGAACATACCAATGCTTCAATTTTTTTCCAGTAATATAATCAACTATATTATGAGAAAGAGAAAAATTTTGAGAAAACACAAATTTCATGTTTTCCTACTCTAATTGGCTTTTACATAAAAATACAGGTAAAATTTATTTTTGCTTTTTTGCTATTTCTGTTTTGCTATTCTGTTTGTCTATGTCTTCTCCACATAGACACAATTAGGGAATTTTGTACACTCTTGTGCCAACTGCTTTGATAGTAACAAAATGTATTTCTCGAACTCCTAGGTATAAAACTCAAGTATCCGCAATTTAAATTCTTTTTCCCTCACTTCTATTATGTTTCCGGTCTCAATAGAAATCGATGCCAATCCAGAAATACAAGCATTATTCTAATACTTCTCACACATTACAGAGATAGATTAAATTTTCTAGATCTCCTTAAATACTATCATTTTTCACTACTTTTATCTTAACTGTTAAGTTCAACATTTTCTATAATATTAATATATTGTGAAAATTTCCTTACTTTCTTATTTGTCCCAGGTTAAATGTTTTGCAGTCTCTACCTCACCCTGTGACGCATAAACACTGTACATGCTGTACAAATAATACATAGTTCATGTGCTTAGAGATTGCACAATTTTTATTTGGTTGATAATAGCTAATGTTTTCTTCTTCATTTTCTATTTCCTGATTTTTCTTTATTTAGTATATACTACATTATCATAAAAATAAGAACGTTTTACAAACTAAAGCAAAAGCAACCCTAGGAATAAAATGCACAAATAAAATATGTAAACATACAATTAGATGTACCATGTACCCCTCTAATTTATTTAGACATTTAATTTTAGTACGATTTTAATTAAAGTCTGTGTATTACCTGTCATCGTCTTAGTATTTTTTATATAACAAATTTTGTAAATCAAAAAGTCTCAATGTCATTATAAACTATCTTGGCAGAGGTTGATCTCCAAGAATAATTCCTCTCCCAAATTATACCAATTAGAATTTCACTATACCATAATTCTTTTAATCAGTTTCAGAGGAATAATAAATTTCAAAATTGTTCAAGGTACTTGTTGTAGTTCAAGTACATTTTGACATGTGTAAAACTGTAGACAGACTGATATAAACATATTCTAATTGACTCAAAAATATAGATTTTAAAATGTTGTGTCAATATATACATGTTCTCCTTGTGAAATAATTGCTTTTTATTCTCTGGATAGAATACTTTAATCTTTAAACCTTCAATTCACTGTTAAAAACAAAATATTACATAAGGATATGCTTATAAAAATAATTCACAACTAGCTTTTCAATTCAGAAATATATGTGAAAAATCATCAAGCATCTAATGGATTTCAAGGAGAAATGGGTTAGTAATTTATTCCATATGTCTTGATTTTTCCTAGACACAAGGCTTCCTTTAAAATAATTGTAGGCATTTAAGAAACCATGTAAACTAAAAAGAAGAAATTGTGACACTGCCACTTAGGTTTTTTAAATCTTTGGACATGAATCAATATATTTTTTAATTTTATCTTAATTAGACATTGTGAGTTCACCATCTTCCTGTCAGTATAGCATCCAAGATGATTATCATAGATTACAAGTTCAACTATCAACTGTGTTCTGAGAGTTTAAAAAAATAAATGAATGTATTTGTTTTGGTATTCTTAAAGCAGGAGTGAGGACACAGTGAAAGTGAGACAAGGAAGAGAGAACAAAATAAAACAGGAAAGATAGAAAAGCCAATACCACACTTGTTAAGAGGCAAGTTCCTGTGTTAGATATCTGGGCTTAATTCTCTGGGAAGCTATGTGGAACATGCCTCAGAATTACATCACTGAATCCAGGGAGATTCTTCTTAGTTACCCTCACCTTTTCTTCCCACTTCATGCCCAGTAACAAGCTCCCGTGCTGCTAGAGAAAGTCCTCAGCTAGAAACAGGTGCAAATTCTGGAGATGAGACCTTGTAGAGTGTTAAGAATGATTTTCTTCCCAGCAGCTACAGGTGAGGAATAGGGGCTGGGCTATTAATACACCTGCTACAAATCAATATACCCCTTATGCTCCTTTTGGTGATCGACAATGTATTTTAAAATATTAGATGATCAAGAAGGGCTGCAGAAAGGAGGAAACAGAAACAAACAGCACACCTCTTGGTTTATTTTTATTCATTTCATCAGTGTCAAGGAAAATGTGTTGGGAGTTCCTGGCATAGAGAATGTCACAAAGACATGTTTTCAATAGTGGTGCTATCCCTAGGGCAGAGAAGACCCAGAGAAAGCCCAAGTGGCTGCTGGAACAAAGTCAGACACCGTGCCACCTGTCCACACTTCTTGGCTCTGCCATCATGCTGAAGATCGGTTGAAAGGACTCCCTTCCCTACCCCCAAAATTAAAAGAGCACAAACTGAGAAACTGAATGTAGGAGACAGCAGTGGATTATGCTGTTCTCAGGGGTCATCTCAGGTTTGGAAGCATTCTTTCAAACTAACCCATCTCAGGCCATCTGCAGAAAAGAAACGTGGTACCTAACTTTTTTTCTTGTCAGCATTTGGTAGGGGTGTTTTATTGACCAAATATGTTCCCACAACCTAGTTTTTTGTAACTAACTGAATATAGTAGATTTTTAAATTTTATCATCAAAATCTATAGACAATTTTTTATTAAAATAGACTCCACATCTATGTCCTGCTTTTCTTCTTCTTATTAATTACAGTGCTGTATAAAAGAACAAGACTTCAGAATCAAGAATATCTTGTCTCTTGGCATTGAATTTATACAAGGTGCTCTTTCTTTAATGCTGTCTCAAAGGACACATTTTTACTCATTAAAAAGGAAGATCGGAATCTAGTTGTATGCACTGCTCCAACATATTAATAATTAAAATTAGGAGGTAAATGTGGTCAAAGCTATAGAAAGACTTGAGATGTCATTTATATTGATTACTGTATAGCACTCTACAAACAGAAATTGTTAAATAATAGTTTATATAAATATTTTGTAGCATTTCAAATATTTTAGTGCCTGAAGTTTCTCCTCTTATATAGTTCAGATTATCAATTTGGAGACTTACTCCGCTAGTTAAAATGTTTTTAGTCTCGTTTGAGTATTATATAAAAGCAATTTTCAGTTAAATGTGTTCCGCTTACATAAAACATTACAAATTAGTGAGGATTTAATTACATTTTCATGTTCCTGTAATGTCTTTAGAAGATTTTCATATTATTACCTATCAATATATGTATGCTTTGTCAAAGAAAAGTCAAACATATATATCATTGAAATCGAAAATTTTTAAAAGTACTTATTAATTCTATTGAAAAACCACATCCATAGCAACAATTACAATATAGTGAACATGTAAATATATATCCTATGTCTATTTTATATATAAGCATATATGATTAAAAATATAGTTAATAATTTTTAAACCTAGTTTTATAAAGTAAAAATTAGTTAACTTCTGATGATTATTTGTTAATGAAGATATAATTATTTTGATTTGGGTGATTTTAAATAAAAATATTAAATTACGTGACAAAGTTTTTTATAAAATGTTTATGATTTTTACATTGGTTTTATCACTTTATTCCACTATTTTATTTTAAGATGACCTGCCTTGTTTAAAACAATCTTAATTAAATTAAATTCCATTTTGTAAAAAAATTAACAAATGATTTGCTCTATTATACATTGCGTTTATAAACTGAGTCAGTATCTCAAGATTTGATCCCCATTATCATCATCTGTGGCCCTATTTGTTTTATAAATGTATTGTCTTTTTCCATGCCTGTCACGTCTCTATTGCTCATTCATTTTCTCTTTGTCCCTTATAGGGAGTTGCATCTTAAAAAAGCACAATAACCTCCTCATTCTTTTTCACACAGAGAAATGTTTGTTAAGTAATTAAAGTGTAGATGATGATACAAAGAGCTTGATTAAATTAGATGTCAAAGTACCCTTGTGATTCACAATATGAATGGTATTTAATTTCTTTGAAATCAATAATTGCTGAGTGACATTAATTAATGCCAGTATTTCAGAAGTTGTTCTAGTTAGTGAAATGTATACAACATGCAAAAGTTTCAGAACTCTGAAGGGCAACATTATTCTATAATTAAGAATTCACATTAATTATTGGGGAGAAATTATTAAGAATTAATGACTGAGAAAATGATTTTATTTAGAAAATTATTTTGTGCATGAGCATTACTGCAAGTTTTGCAAGAAACATAAATTTAAAGAAACAATTATGTCCACAAGGTGAATTTAATAACATCTGATATTTTCCATGATTACAGTTTTATTTGGTAAATCTTTAAATGCACATCATCTAAAGATAATAAATGAATCTTGGAAATCTTGTAGGTAAGGGTAAATGTTAGGATGCAATTGGTAACCTAAATGTTACCAATTACATTTACAACACATACAATTACATTTTCACACACATGCACACACTCACTGATACACGTGTGTATATATATACATGAATTTACTAATTGGTTTTAACTAATTATTATAAGAGCCAGTAGGATTGATATATATTGTTGAACCTGAAAAATATTTATTATATACATGTTTAAAATACACAAAGAAATAAATAGTAATTAAACTAGGCATTTGAAACTCTACTAAAATATAAGCTGTGAACATTTTGTGATCATTACAAATTCTTACACTGAATAAATTATTTTTATACTATTAATATGTTGGATACATGTGTACATTTTTTACAATGTATTATTTTATTTTTGTCATAGAGTCATGTCATGCATAATAACATTTCAGTCAAAGATGGATTACATATACAAAAGTGGTCCCATGAGATTATAATATATATTTTTACATACTTTTCTATGTTTAAGTATGTTTAGATACATAAACTCTTACCACTGCGTTCTTATTGCCTGCAGTATTCTGTACAGTAATGTAGTACACAGGTTTGTAGCCTAGGAGAGAGAGGCTATACCATTTAACCTAGACGTGGTAGGCTGTACAATCTAGGTGTTTGTAATACTCTCTGTGATGTTTGCAAAATGATGAAATTGCCTATGGATGCATCTCTTAGAACGTATCCCTATCATTCAGTGATGTGTGACTCTACTAAAATGCTCAATGTAAGTTTCAATGCCCTCCATAAAATTGTTGTACTGTGAAATACAAATCTCTCACCCATGGCCTGAATATGTTTACAAACTAAGCAGATCATGGGAAGGAGAATGTGCTGGCATCGCTGGGATGATTTTTCTCACACTACATGAATAATATCTCCAGACTTTGCGAATATGAGCCACTTGCATAGAGTTAAAGTAGGCATCTCTTTGCTGGGAAATTTATCAAATGGCAGTATGAAGGGTTCTTAAAAGATACTTGTTTGTTTGTAGCAGGTAGGCCTACACTGGCTCATGGCAATGGTTGAGGTTGCTAAGATTTGGTGGAAGGAGGCAAAATGAAATGGCCACTTATATGGTATATGGATCACTTGTTTCTGTTGAGTTACAGATTCAGCTGACTCTTTCTCCCAATGTTAGTTATTCAGAGAAAGAAAACATGATAGTAATTTTGGGGTGACAAATACAATATTTGATGAAAGCAAATTTATTGAGGGTTAGACAAACTACAAGATACTTTAGGCTGCAAAGTCAACACAAGACTTCTGGCCCAAATTGTGCAGAGTTTGGGTCCAGCTGCAAAGTTCAAAAGAAGAGGCCACGTAAGACTATTCTCACTTCTGACACCAACTGCCAGTTCAGGGGTTTCCCCAGAACACCCTCAGTTTCAAGAATTTACTAGAAAGACTCACGGAACTCATTGAATGCTATTGTACTCATGGTTTATAATAGAGAAAGGGTAGAAATTAGGACCAATCAATGGAAGAGACATATCATATAAGGTGGAATCTAGGAGGATTTTGAATGTTAAGTTTCCATTGTCTTCAGGACATATTACCTGTCATTGTTGTACAGCAATAAACATGGCGTACTACCAACCTGGGGAGCTCACCTGATGCTAAAAAGATACTATTTAGTTAATGAAAAGGCAAATGAAAGGATGAGATAAGATGACCTTCCACATTAAGGCACTGGAAAAAATAGCAAACTAAACCTAAAGCAAGCAGAAGGAAGAAAATAAAAATTAGAGAAATTAATAATTTATAATAATATTTGTTAGTATAATTGATATTAATTCTTGACTTTTTTTAAAAAGAGAAATATTCACTTCCCAATTTATTCTGTGGGGCCAGTGTTACCTTGATACAAAAGTTAGTCCAAATAGCATAGAAAAATAAAACTACTATAAGTATAAATGCAAAATCCCTTAAAAAAATACTAACAAATAAAATCTAGCAACATATAAAAGAATTATACACTATGACAAAGTGAAATTTATACTAGTAATCCCAGGTTAGTTTAACAGCCCAAAATCCATGAAGGTAATACATCTTATCCATAGAATAAGAAACAAGAATTGCATGATCATCTCGATAGATTCAGAAAAGACATTTAACAAAATCTAAATGCTTTAATGATTAAAAATAAAAATAAAAACTCAATGAACCAGGAATAGAGAACTTTCTACACCAGATACATGGCACCTGTGAAAAGCCAACAGCAAACATTCAACTTAGTGGTGAAAGAAAGGATAATTTCCCGCTATGGTCGGAGATAAGAATAAGATATATACTTTGACCTCTTCTAGTCGACACTGTGCTAAAGATTTTATGCACGGCAAATCGGCCAGTAAAGAAATAAGAGTCACCCATATTGAACAGGAGGAAATAAAACTTTATTTGCAAATAACATTCTTGTATATAGAAAATTTTAAGGAATCCACTGAATGATAGAACTAGTAAATTATTTCAGCAATATTACAGCATACAAGATAAATATACAAAAATCAATTGCACACATCTACAATGAAAACCCCAAAATGAAATTAAGAAAACACTTCAATTTACAATAGCATCAAAAAAAGAAATAATAATTAATTTGGAAAGTGTGATACAATATTTTACTCTGAAATTTAAAAATTATTGTCTAAAGAAGATCTAAATAATTAGCAAATATCTTACAGCCATGAATTGGAAGACTTAATATTGTAGTACTTTACAATTTGAACTACAGATCTGATGAAATCCCTGCAAGTATCCCAACAGACTTCTGTCTAGAAACTGACAAGCTGATTCTAAAATACACATGGAATTGTAAGGGACTCAAAATAGCCAAAATAATCTTGAAAAAAGAAAACATGTTAGGATAATTCACACCCCCATTCTCCAAACTTTACTGCAAAGCATCAGTAATCAAGACAACACAATACCGATGAAGGAAAAATATATAGATTGATGATTCTACACATAAATGAGATCACACAACATTTGTCTTTCTTCGTCTGGCTTATTCCACTTAGAATAATGTTCTCTATGTGTTGTTGCAAATGTAAGAATTTCCTTGTTTTTAAAGGCTGAATAATTTCACTTTTATGTAGGTATAAGCCACATTTTATCTGTTCATTCATAGATGGATATGGACTTCTTTCCCAAGTCTAGGCTATTAGGAATAATCTCACAATGAACATATAGTTGACACACTCACTTTATTTTCTCTAGATGTATGCTCAGAAGTGGGTATACTCTATGTTCAATTCACTGAGTAATCTCCATGTCGTTTTTCATAATGGCTGTACTAATTTACATTTTTTTCCAAACCATACATGGATAACTTTGTACCACATATTCAGGTATTTGTTTAAGTCTTGAATCCATTTTTAGCTGATTTCTGTGTATCATGTGAGGTAAGGTTCATTTTTTTTCTTCTGCATATGGATGCCCAGTTTTCACACCACTTCTTGAAGAGACTGTCCTCTCTCTATTGTCTGTCCTTGGCAATTTGTCAAAGATCAGTTTATTGGGAAGGAATGGGTTGATTTCCAGGTTGTCTATAATGTTCCATTGGACTCTATGTCTGTTTACATGTCAGCATTATACTGTTTTGATTTATATTGATTTGATTTTGAAATTATAGAATATGATATATTCAGCTTTGTTAAATTGTGCCCAAAATTACTTTGGCTATTTAAAGGCCTTTGTATTTGATATAACTGGAGAAATTTTTAATATTTTTGTAAAAACATGCCATGGAGATTATTTATTTTATTGGCATATAATAGATATACATATTTTATGGGAACATGTAATATATTGATACATTTATAAATGTGTAAAGAGCAGATCAGGATTGGTATATCTGATTGGTATATCTATCACATTAAACATGTATATTCTCTTTATGCTAGGCACATTTGAACGACTCTTCTAGCTATTTTAATGTGTACATTAGATTATAGTTAACTATAGTCACCTTACTCATCTATGAAATATTTAGATTTTATTTCTTCTATATAACTATATATCTGTATTCAGTAATCAACCTCTCTTTATTCTCTTCTCCCTTGTATCTATCCAGGCTTCTGGTAAAAACCAATCTACTCTCTGTCTTCAGGAAATCCAATTTTTTAGTTTTGACATAAAAGTAAGAAGATGCAGTATTTGTCTTTCTGTGCTTGGTTTATTTAACTTAACATTAGGGCTTCCACTTCCATTCATATTGTTGCAAATGACAAGATATCAACATTGATGGCTGAATAATATTCTATTGCATACCTAGATCATATTTTTTTATCCATTTGTCCACCTGCAGACCCTGAGGTGCTTTCATATCTGGGCTATTGTGAATAGAGCTGCAAAGAACATGGAGTGCACATGCCTTTATGAGGTGGTGATTTTATCTTCTTTAGAACATACCCAGAATAGGATTTGCCACGTCATCAGGTATTTCTATTTTTCTTTTATTTCGGAGTCTTCATACTACTTTGCACAATAGTGGAAATACAAATGGAATAACCATTATAAAAAGCAGTTTCAGTTTTGAGGTATGATCCAAAACCAAATAATGTTTCCTCATGATTCTCATTGGGAGTCTCTAATGAATCTGGTGGAAATGTAGGAAGTTTTCTAACCTCGTTAAGAAAATTATGAGTTTGCACCTTTTTTCTTTTTGAGGCTGGAAATTGGCATGATTCAAGTTGCATACTCTTGGCAGGTTTCAGAATGGTACAGCAGAAATCATAATGAGAGGGCAAGAGAGAGAATGAGGGAAAGTCAGGCAAACAAAGAAAAAAAATAAATTTCACAAGAGGAGAAACTGCTGGATATCAGTGTTGGGTTTTGGTCACAGACACATCTGTACTGAGTGAGGAACCATGAAGTCAAGGGAGGAGTCTAGAACTTGTTCACCTGAAGCATCAGCATATTTCTCCGAGGCACCTAATTGCCACCACATCACAAGGGTGATGAATATTTGGATGCCATTAAACATGAGCTCCCAGGAAGTAATCATGTTTCCATGAAATTCAGTTAAAATGCCAAGGGTGTGTCCAGATCATTCATGCAAAAACACAAAATTTGCCTTTGCATTTATGGTTATCTAGAGACAAAGTGCATTGAGACTTCAGCAGGTTTCAGAGATCTGTTAAGTTTGGGGTTCCCATAGGAGAGCACCTTTTAGTAAAGGCTGGTCTATTTATTAAGTAGGTACAAATCCCCTCTATGGGAGTAGTGTTCCAATTGTGTGGAATTTTTAATTCCTTATTGAGTTGTAAAAAAAAAAATCCCAAGGATTGACTCCATGGAGTTTTACTTCTGTGATGATAAAAATATTTAATAAGATTCCTTCCAGTGTTTCAAGGAAAGTTTTTCTCTAATTTTTTTCCAATATATAAATTTTCCTGGCTAAAGGTTATAAGAGGCTGTTGTTAAAAAGACATACTGGAATGGCAACTTTAATCTGTTGGTGATAGGAGTGAGCATAATACATGAATCTCTTTGAGGGTTCTGCCTCATCCAAATACAGTATGGCAAAGGAGTATTGGGGGTAAAATCTCTAAATGTATTTTTTCCAGCAATCAAGTCATGAGGCAATAACAGATTCATCCTTAAGGCAGAGGACCATAATGCCACAGTGCTAGTAGGAGTACATGTGGCCAAGGGAGTTCAAGGGTTCCTTAATATTGTGACAATTTTGATATAAGTATACATTAGTAGAGACAGGGTTTCAACATGTTGGTCAGGCTGGTCTCAAACTCCTGACCACATGAACCGCCTGCCTCAGCCTCCCAAAGTGCTGAGATTACAGGCATGAGACACCATGTCCAGCTGGTCCATTTATTTTCTTCTGCATGTGCATACCCATAAACTTATGTGGAAGATTGTAGGAGGTTATAACAGTGTCGTACTTTAGTATCAGCCGTGTCTTACAGAGTCATTTTATAATAGTTCCTTTCATGGGTGTGCTTCACTCAGTTCATGCAAAACCTGGCAGGTCACAGGCTAAAAACACAAAATGCAGAAGCTTTTAATCAACTGAAAGGGCTGTAGCCTTTTGTCAAAGAATTATTTCAAGACACAGAGATCACAGATAGATGATAAATAAAATATATTCACATCCCCTTAAGGGTGGGAACTGAGGAAAGTTTACCTAAATATGTCCAAAGGGCCCTGTGGCTCAATTCTGTCTAGGTCCCAATGTAAGGATTCTCCCAGGATTTTGTGGCTAGCTTGTCACACCTCATCAATAATTAACCTCTGCTGATTCCTCAAGGTGTTTATTTAATTGGATAACCAATTTGTCTATAAATTGTAGAGTTGAAATAAAAAAAATCATTTGTAATAATCTGGCACAAATTATCTAAGCAAAGTCGATAACTAGATATTTTTCATTCATTTTTATTTAAAACCAGGGGCTAACCATTGATATTTTTAAATAACATCTGTGACTCTCTCAGCAGTTTTCTCTTCTGAGGATATAACCTGGTGTGGCAGTTTTCTTAGCTTCAGTGTTACTTACCTCTTTTTGCATTGAATTCCACCTTTATATTTGCCAGGAATCTGGGATAAAGGAGTGCTTCTAAGAACTCCCTACCTTGCCCATGTTGGGGGCTGTTCCAGAATATGTGAGATGCTCTATTGTTTACAAAGCATCCCAGAGCCATGCACTGCTCTAAAACATGTTTATTTCCTGGTTTGACAAATTGGAATTTCTAATAAATGCAATCACTTCTGCCATCTGGGCTGATTTTACATCAGGTAGAAGACTGTATTCTAAGGAAACACATTAGTAACAGCAATTTTAGTCAAAAACCTAGAGTTTTATTATTGAGGCATGATTCATAAAATTATATTAGGCTGAGGTTCTCAGTGGCGGTGTCTAAACCTCTTGGGTGTACAGGGTCTTCCCTACTAACATGAAGCATTTATGAGCACGGTCATAGTTTCCAGCCATGCTTCTCCCTGTCTCCCTATCACCACAAACTAACTATGACCTCACCTGCAACCTGGGTTAATTTCCAAATAAGTTATTTTTTAATCTTTATGCCTCTAGATGATTATGTGAGGCTATTTCAGTAGAAAGTTAAAAATAACATTTGAACTGACTAACCAACACAGAAAATCACTGATAAAATGCAAAGCCTGGACGTCAGAGGCTCCAGGCCGATAATGCAACAGTATGCAGGCAGTTTCTTCACCCAGTTCTGCACTGACACACCCAGCATGTCAGCTTCATGCCTCATTTGACTCCAATTATGTAGAGACATGGCAAGGACATTCTCAAGGGTCACACACAGATATGAAAATTGGTGGGAGCAGGGGATGAGACGACTCTGCAATTCTCCTCTGAAGGACCAAAACAGCCTGGACAGACCTGGGCGTGGTGGTTCACGCCTGTCGTCCCAGCACTTTGGGAGGCCGAGGGGGGCGGATCACCTGAGGACAGGAGTTTGACACCAGCCTGACCAACATAGAGAAACCCCGTCTCTACTAAAAATACAAAAATTACCCAGGCGTGGTGGCAGCGCCTGTAGTCCCAGCTACTCGGGAGGCTGAGGCAGGAAAATGGCGCGAACCCGGGAGGCGGAGTTTGCAGTGAGTGGAGATGGCGCCACTGCACTCCAGCCTGGGCGACAGAGCGAAACTCCCTCTCAAAAAAAAAAAAAAAAAAAAAAGAAAGAAAGAAAGAGAAAAAAAAAGAAATTACAAAAAATTAGCTGGACGTGGTGGTGGGCGACTGTGTTCCCAGCTACTTGGGAGGCTGAGGCAGGAGAATCGCTTGAACCCGGGAGGCGGTGGTAGAAGTGAGCCGAGATCGCGTCTTTGCACTGCAGCCCGGGTGACAGAGCAAGACTCCCGTCAAAAAAAAAAAAAAAAAAAAAAAAAAGAGACATGCAAAGGGCAATAGATCATACATAGATAGATAGATAGCTATATGAGTATATACATACACATATTGCTAGAAATCACTAATATTCAGGAAAATGCGAATTCACAATGAGGTGTCTTTTCACCCTTCATCTCTGCTAGAAAGGCTGTTGTCTGAAAGACAAGTAAATAAATAAATAAATATCAAAAGCTGGCCAGGATGCCTAGAAAGGAAAACTCCTATAGACCACTGGAGGAAATGTGAATTAGTACAGCCATCAAGGGAAAAAAAATGGAACTACCATATAATCCAGCAATCCAACTGCTGAGTATATATCTATTTAAATAATTAAAAGAAAAAACTAATATTGAAGAGATACATATACACCCATGTTTACTGCAGCACTAATCACAATAGCTAAGATATGAAATCAACGTATGCGTCCATCAACAGTTGAATGGATAAATAAAATGTGGTATATTTACACAATGGAATATTATTCAGATTTATCAGTGAAATTCTGTCACTTGAAGCAACATGCATGGAACTGGACACCATTTTGTTGAGTGAAACAAGCCAGACACAGACAAATAAATACGGCATTTCTCAGTGTTCTATGGAAATTTTTAAAAAGTTGATCTTCCAGAAGTAAATAGTAGAGTAGTGGTTATGAGAGGCTGGGAATGGGTGGAGACTGAGAGATAAGAAGAGGTTTGTTAACAATGCACAATTACAAGTAGACAGGAGGGATGTGCTGTAGTGTCCTACAGTGCAGTAGGGTGACTACAGTTAACAATATATTGTACATTTTCTGTTTACAAGTAACCAGAAGATAGAAGTTTGTATGCTACTAACAAGTTAATGTTAGTGTCTGAGCTGATTAATTTGCTCACTGTTCTGATTTTGGTCATACCTCACGGCACACATGTATTGAAATGTCACAATGTACTCCATAAGTATAAACAGTTATTATGTGCCAACTTTAAAAAATCCTTTAATTAAAAAGAATTATATTGGTGTACATTACAAATGATTCAACACAGAGACAGGAATAAATACCATTTTTCTTTGAAATAGTGAATTAACTAACAATGCAGTTACATTCATTTGCACCAAACTGTGTATTTGATCATGGTAAGCATAGACAGAATTATGCATAGAATAATATGTTTTAATTTTAGACTAGTACTTATTACTATAAATGTAAATAATTTTAAAACAGCTAAGTAAAAATAATAAAGTTGAGGAAATGTGTGTGTGGTGTATGATGTGTGAGCTTTTTCTTGTGCACCACTGTGTCCAGGGTGGATGTGTGGTGTGTGTCTGTGTCTGTTTGTGTTTACTCTGCTTGGGGTTCTCTGTGATTCTAGGATCTGGACTTCAGTGTCTTTCACAAAATGGGGAAAATTCTTAGCCATTATTTTTTCAATTACTTTCCCTGTATTTATAATTTCTCCTCAGATTTAAAATATAAATATACTATAATTTTGATATTAATGTTTAATTTCTTTCTTCACTTCCTTTTCTTTGCAATTTACTTTGTGAAATTTCTAGTGACATTTTAAGCACATGGTTTCATTTAAAAGCTGAGCCAGCTCTACTGAGGGGTGTGCCCAAAGCTTGATCAATGTTTATACTGCAGTGCTTTTGATTTCTTATGCATTTCCATTTGATTTCTTCTTAGTATTTTCATATTTCAGTTACCTATTTAGTCCTGCATTATGTCCACAGTTGCTTCAAGAGATTGTTGCATATGAATTAGAGTTACTTTACATATCTTGTTTAATTAGTTATAATATCTGTATCATTTACAAATCTCATGCTGATCTCTTTTATTATGACTTTGATATTTCTCATTAATTTATGTAATAATTGTGGATAGTCACACATGTTGGGAGGGACAGTTGGTATTGGTTTATTATTTCTTTCTTTTTTTTTTTTTTGAAATGGAGTCTTGCTCTGTCGCCGAGGCTGGAGTGCAGTGGTGCGATCTCAGCTCACTGCAAGCTCCGCATCCCAGGTTCACGCCATTCTCCTGCCGCAGCCTCCGGAGTAGCTGGGACTACAGGTGCCTGCCACCATGCCCAGCTAAGTTGTTGTATTTTTCGTAAAGACGGGGTTTCACCATGTTAGCCAAGATGGTCTCAATCTCCTGACCTCGTGATCCACCCGCCTCGGCCTCCCAGTGTGCTGGGATTACAGACGTGAGCCACTGCGCCCGGCCTATTATTTCATTTTATGCATTTTCTGCCTGTATTTGATCATACTTTACCTTTGCCAGGCCTTTATTGTGGAAGTGTCTGTGAATCTTCTCAAAGCTACATTTGACATTTACTTTTGCAGTGGACTTCATAGTTGAAGTCTGTTCTTCTGTGTCCACCAGAGACTTCAGATCCTCCAGTGATACCTTGTTTTTCTTTCCTGCTTGGCTTTGTCTCTTCACCTGTTCCCTCCTCCAGAGAATCATGTTCAGCTCCCTCAGGTGGATTAAAATGTTATTTAACTGAAAATTCTGAAATTGGTGGAAAGCAATAGAATAAAGGGAGATTATCTGACCTTCCCTGGGTTCATATTGTGAACATGAGTCTGGGTGTGACCTTTCCAATGTTTCTGAACTTCCTCCAAATGAGATGTTGGTCTGTGTGTTCTTGCTCTTTTCCCTGCTGTGGAGTCCTCTTGTTTTCCCCAGTTGTTCCCTCCCACAGCTCCAATGTTCTCTTTTGGTGTTATCACCTTCCAGATTTGCTGACTTGAACTGCAGATTAAGGCTGTGATTAAATAAGAAAGAGAGGGGAGGTAGTTCTCAATGGAACTTAGA
Source organism: Homo sapiens (assembly GCF_000001405.40). NCBI lineage: Eukaryota > Metazoa > Chordata > Mammalia > Primates > Hominidae > Homo > Homo sapiens. The sequence goes on along the minus strand of NT_187383.1, from coordinate 1,319,852 downwards.
AGAAGACCTCTTTTCCCATCTCAGTTCCTAAGAGGTTGCCCTGGTGCCTCTATGATACTGGTTTTAGTGGCTTTCCCTGCAGAGTAATTTCTTAATTCTCCAATGGGGATACAGAAGGTGGATCTGAATGCTTTTCAGAAGTGTGGGCACTTTTTCTCTCCTAGACAGACACATTGGGACTGAAAGATTTTTGTGACTGTCCCCATTCTGGGGAAAAGGCATTCAACAGGATAGGAAAGCTCTTCAGTATGTGGTCTCTTGGAAATTCACACTACAACACATTTACCACACTTGACTTCAAAGCAATCCAATATATAAGTGTGTTTTTATCTTATAACAGCCTACATTTTATGACATATGCTGCCTCAGTTCAACTCATACCCCAGCTTTGTTATTCTCAACAAAAACTTGCCTGTCCCTAGATATCACATTTGATGTTTACCTTAAAACTTCAAGTATCTAAAGTTTTATAAGAATAAATTGGCCGGTTGCAGTGGTTCACACCTGTAATCCCAAAGCTTTGGGAGGCCGAGGTGAGTGGATCACCTGAGGTTATGAGTTTGAGACCAGCCTGGCCAACATGGTAAAACCTTTCTCTACTAAAAATACAAAAATATTAGCCAAGCATGGTGGCAGGAACCTGTAATCCCAGCTACTAAGGAGGCTGAGACTGGAGAATCACTTGAACCCAGGAGGCAGAGTTTGCAAGTCGTGCCATTGTACTCCAGCCTGGGTGACAGAGTGAGACTCAGTCTCAAAAAAAATTGCAAAATTCCAGCTTCTTTATGTGTTATTGTTGATATTGTTGTTGAAAAAAATAAGTAAAATATATTACTCATCTATGTCCATTTCCAAGCTGTGCAGAAGATTTTTTAGTAAGACCCAGAGTAATAAAAGAAAGCAAATATTGTTAAGCTGTTCAACAGAAAAACAAATTATGTGTTCGGTGGAATACTATCCATCATTTATAATAAATTAATGCCTGATACACAGAACAACAAGGTAAAAAATCTAAGTATTTATGTTGAGTAAAATAAGCCAAATAAAAATATATACTCTGTTATTTCATTTTTATAAATTTTGATAAAAATGCATCTAAAGTAATATAATGAAGATCAGTACTTGCCTGGGGAAATGGTAGAAGAAGGGAAGGGGAGAGGAGGAGGAATATAGCAGAACAGGAGGAAATGTTGAGAAAAATTCACTAGTCCACTTTCTTGATAATGATGAGAGTTACATCATGTTTATTAATTGTACATTTTAAATGTGTGAAGTATATTACCTTTCAATTAAGCCTCATAAAATGTATTACAAGCAAACAAACAGAAACTTAGACAAGGAAGGAGTAAAACTTTGACAAGAAAGATAGAAAAAATAAGTTAAATGTCAGAAGTACCTGAAAATTAATGTGTCTGGACCCTAGTTCTCTCCATATTTTCAGGCGAGTGCTGGAGTGCAGCAAAACCACATGTGCTCCTTATTACGGAAAGCGGGTTCTAATAAAAACACTAGACACATCCAGCTTTGTCCTGGAGTTGGTTTAGGGAGCAATCAGGACCTGTGATGAGGAACACAGGGCGAGTTACTGGGGTTCACTCATCCCAGACATGAGCTCCTAGATGTACGCAGAGCCCCCTTCACATGTGGGTTTACTTCTGCATCCATAAATGAGAAAATATTGACTCTACAGAACATAGCTTACACGAATATTTAAAAATGAAATAGGGTGATCCTGGCAAAGTGTTTATCACAGCACAATTTCATAAGACAGCGTATTTTCCAAATACCATCATTCTCAGCAAACTTCTGCAGGGCACCATTGCCTTATCTGGGTACAGCCTACTCCTCAAGGGTCCCACCCTAGATCTTGTTATATAGTAGGAGACATGCAAATAGGGCCCTCCAGGGCAGGTGCAGGTGCTGCTAAGGGTTTTCAATTCTGTACTAACATCTGATGTCTCTAAATGCAAACCTTTTCTTCCTTTTTGTTTCGGTTTTTTTGTTTGTTTGTTGGTTTACAGTAGGACACATCCTCACCTCCACAGAACCCGCAGTGTCACTTTGGGGGCAGAAATAATTATTTCGTGGTCAACAGGATGAAAGTCCTGAGGATGCTCAGGGGAACCTGGAGAGTGTTTTCCAGTTAGACTCAGGGCAGAGACCTCCATGGGAATCTCTGATTAGAACAGGCTTTGAGTTCTGATAGGAGCTAAGAGAGAGGCTCACCCAGGGTCAGGGTCCTTAAAACCACATGGTTTTCACAGCTATCCCCCCTCGTCTTGTAAAACTGGGCACGTCTGACTCAGACTGATTCAGTTGACCCTCTTTCTGCTAATCCATTTTCCTTCCCTGTAGACTTGATTCTCACAATTCCCTTTCTTCTTCTCTGCCCTGAAAACTGAGTATGTGTTATCTGTAGTCAAAATCCCAGGGCTCAGGTCTGCAGGACCTGGGTAGTCTGAGGGGACTTTCTCACTCACCCTTGCCTGGACTCTCCTGCTGTCTTCTGTCAACGGAGATGTTTGGAAAACGAAACGGACCTTAATCACAAAGGGAATAATCCTAGTTTTCTCCAATGGGATATTGATGTAGAGCTGATCTTATGCTTTTCACACTGTCACAGAGTTTGGACTGTCACCTGTGACTTTGAGGAGAGCTGATGATGGACACTCCATCGTGCTGTGAGCTCTGGATAGTAGTAATTGTAGGGTCTGGCTAGGCAGCCTAAGATCAATACTGCTGGCCTTCAGGAAAGACAGGCTGGAATTCCTGGGAAGACCTGCATCTGCCGTACAGCTTGGAGTCCCATCGTCTTCTGTTATGCTCTGATTGAATCAGCCCCACCTCGATTATTTAGAACAATCTTCGTGACTTAGGAAAAGATAATGGCAGGCTCTACTAACGCCTGTATTATGCCATGGGAGCAACACCTAGGTTAGTGTGTGATTTAGTAGATGAGACAGTGGTCTAGTCAAGGTGACAAATAAAATTGATTGTTGCCATTATGATATTTTATTTTGGCAATATTATGATATTTGGCAATATAATGATGTTCATATTATAAATATTTCACTACATTATTTGTGTCAGAGGCTTTGGAACCAGAACAACTTCATCTTGAATAAAGGCTAAGAAAAATAAGACTGAGACCTGCTGGGCTACATTACCAGTAAGCTAAGGCGTTCTTAGTCACAGGATGAGAAAGGAGGTCTGCACAACATCCAGGTCATAAAGACCTTGCTGATGAAGTTTACAGTAAAGATGCGGCCAAAGCCCACCAAAACCAAGACAGTGACAAAAGTGACCGCTGTTTGTCCTCACTGCTAATTTTATGCTAATTATAATAATATGCTAAAAGACACTCCCCCCAGCGCCATGACAGTTTACAAATGCCATGGCAACATCAGGAAGTTTCCCTAGTTGGTCTAAAAGGGAGAAATACTCAGCTTTGGTAACTTCTGGGGGATTCATGAATAATCCATCCCTTGTTTAACATATAATCAAGAAATAACCATGAAAATGGACAACCAGCAGCCCATATTGCTGCTGTGCCTGTGGAGTAGCCATTCTTTATTCTTTTACTTTCCTAATAAACTCGCTTTCATTTTACTCTGTGGATTTGTCCCAAATTGGGATCCCTTTCCAGTAACATTTGTGTTATTATTCATTTTCTAAGCAGAAAACTCCAAGACGGTATGAAGTTTCCCTGAATTTTTATAAGAAGTACATCCACCCCTTTGAGAGAAAATGCACAGAGAGTAGAATGAGGCTGGGAAGCTGATCGTATATGATGGAAGCATGTCCCTAAGTGAAAGAGAGAGGGAGGGTGGATTGGGTGGAAGGTTCCTATATTTCTGTGCTGTGCAAGGAATCTGCAAAATATAATTGAGTCTTGTGCAAGTCAGTGCTACCTCTCAGAGGAAACCCATGACTCCCAGAAATGGCTCTGCTTATGAATCATTACAAATGTAATTGCCAATGCGGAAAGTGGTGTCTGGTGAGAGGTATTGGGTACGTGAAGTCATGAATGACTTTATGCAACACACTTGGTGACAATTGAGTTTGTGCTAACTTACTTCAAGTTAAATCTAGTTCTTTAAAATACTCTAGGACTTTCCTCATCTCTTCTCTTGTACCTGCTCTAACTATGTAATATATCTGCTGCCCCTTTGCCTTCTTCCATGATTGTAAGCTTTCTGAGGTCCTCACCAAGAGCAGATGCTGGCATCATGCTTCCTGCATAGCATGACCATTTGGAGTTTGATGGCCTGAGGGTGAGAAGAGACAAACCGGGTTATTAGAAGACATGTATCAAAACCAAACAAGGTGGCGAGGACAGCTTGAAAACAAATTCCAAGGCTGCTGACATGCCCAGATAACTGTGGCTGTAGTTATGCCTGCTAAGATTTGGGTGCATGGGGCTTGGCTTTTGTAGCTCCCATGGACTTATTTTCTCAAACAAAGAAACCTCTGGATTAGGGGCACCCTATTTATTCCAGTCACCTGGCATGATTTGCAGGATAATTGCTCAGAACTAAAATGTTGATGCAGATGTCTATATTCCCCCTCCCTTTGTTTCTTCTGAGCTGCAGCCAGAGATCATTGGTTGGTTCACAGGAATAAGCAGAGTTAGTCTAAAATGGAGGCAAATACTTAAAACAATTGAAGAGATTAGAATTTAAAGACAAGTGTATGATATGTTTTGAAACATAATTTTTCTCTCTCCAGTTCTGATTTTTGTCAGAATGTAATCATTATACGTCTGAATTGTTTGCAAAATAAACTTTGCTCTCATGGTTGGCCTGATAATTAGCATAAAGTTCAGAAAGAATAATTAATAATAATTCTGTAGGAAAAGCGTGCAAGCACTAGGAGCTTCACAGTCTAACAGTATGAGCACATGCATCCTCCAGCAACTTACTCAATATTTCCAAGTCAGCCTGCTCCTATCTTGAATACCATCCAGTAATATCTGCCTCAGGTACACTAATATATGGTTCTCTCTGCAGGCTCCTCTCTCCTCAGATTTCAGGGGTTTTTTTCCTCTATGATATCAACTCAGATATGTTGAATGTTTTTTCTTTATTTTCAGTTTTGTACGTTTGTTGTTAATGGGGTCAGGATAGTATCTTTTTTTTTTTGAGACGGAGTCTCACTCTGTCACCCAGGCTGGAGTGCAGTGGCGCAATCTCGGCTCACTGCAAGCCCCGCCTCCTGGGTTCACGCCATTCTCCCGCCTCAGTCTCCTGAGTAGCTGGGACTACAGGCGACTGCCACCACGTCCGGCGAATTTTTTGTATTTTTAGTGGAGATGGGGTTTCACCATTCACAGGATGGTCTCGATCTCGAGGTCAGGATAGTATCACAGTTTACTCATTTTTTGCATTCCCTTGCCGAGTAGCTGCTTTTCTCTATAAAATCCATTAACTGAGATAACAAATCACCTTTTGTTACTGGTGAACAATTAGTTTGGCATATATTTATGTACTGGAATATAATGCAGCTTGAAATCAAGGCATGCCTCACTCATAAAAAAGCGTGGCTAAATTCTCAAGTTATTGTGCAGAGTGAAAGAAGCTAAGGAATTAAGAGTAAATTTTATATAATTCATATGTAGAAACTTTAGAAGATGCCACTATTAAAAATTAACATGAATAACATTTAAATTTTTCTGAGAATATGGTTTTGTGAATAATGAGGATGTGAGTTAAATTTGAGAGGAATAAGAAAAGATTTAGGGATTAATTATTCAAGACGATTGAAGTGCTGAGTGAATGGTTGCAAACATAGGTCTACATTTTTCAAATCATTCACTATAAATTTGAATTAACTATTTATTTATTATACTTGAATAAATCAATAACATAAATAAATGAATATTTTTGTTAAAATGGAGCAATAAAAAGACTGATATTGGCAGAAGAAACATGACTGACTTCTGAAAATACACACACATGAACCTTGGTTCTCTCTGCATATTTGGGTAAATTACAGAAAGTTGTCATAACAGATAGGGAATCCTGCAGACTTCACTAGGCATGGGCCACACTGCCCTGGAGTTGTCTCAGGGGAGCTGCCTCCTCCAGTGTTTAGAGCACAGGCCCAGATAATAGGACTAAATTTGTTTAGATGTATAAACTTAGATGCACTGCACAACTGCTGTATTCTCTATGTAAATTATATTCTGTAAAATATAACATTGAAAGCTGCATTAAATATATTGTGTAAATATGTAAAAATAAAATCAGATTATGAGAGCTAAATGTTAATCAAGGCACAATCACATAATATAAAATTATATTTTCCTGAATGATGGAATTACTACCAATCTCCCCCAAGACACTTCATCTGCACGGAGCCTGGCCCTCTCTTCAGATGTCCCACCCCAGAGCTTGCTATATAGTGGGGGACATGGAAATAGGGGCCTCCCTCTGCTGATGAAAACCAGCCCAGCCCTGACCCTGCAGCTCTGGGAGAGGAGCCCCAGCACTGGGATTCCGAGGCTTTCCATTCGGTGATCAGCACTGAACACAGAGGACTCACCATGGAGTTTGAGCTCAGCTGGGTTTTCCTTGTTGCTATTTTACAAGGTGATTCATGGAGAACTAAAGAGATTGAGTGTGAGTGAACATGAGTGAGAGAAACACTGGATATGTGTGGGAGTTTCTGACCAGTGTCTCTGTGTTTGCAGGTGTCCACTGTGAGGTGCAGCTGGTAGAGTCTGGGAGAGGCTTGGCCCAGCCTGGGGGGTACCTAAAACTCTCCGGTGCAGCCTCTGGATTCACCGTCGGTAGCTGGTACATGAGCTGGATCCACCAGGCTCCAGGGAAGGGTCTGGAGTGGGTCTCATACATTAGTAGTAGTGGTTGTAGCACAAACTACGCAGACTCTGTGAAGGGCAGATTCACCATCTCCACAGACAACTCAAAGAACACGCTCTACCTGCAAATGAACAGCCTGAGAGTGGAGGACACGGCCGTGTATTACTGTGCAAGAGACACAGTGAGGGGAGGTCATTGTGCGCCCAGACACAAATCTCCCTGCAGGAACACAGGGTGGAATCAGCTGCAGGGGGCGCTCAGGAGCCACTAATCAGAGTCAGCCCCGGAGGCAGGTGCAGATGGAGGCTGATTTCCTGTCAGGATGTGGGACTTTCTCTACTTCTTAGTTTCGCCAGGGAACCTCTCTAAGTTTAGAATTCTTTGCCTAACAATGTCTTCGCTAAGTATTTGAAGGAGATTATTTTAATATGAAGAGCTATTTTCACATGCACAAAATGCAGATTGATGCTTACAGGGATGAAAAGTCCATCAATGATAGACTGGATTAAGAAAATGTGGCACATATACACCATGGAATACTATGCAGTCATAAAAATTGATGAGTTCGTGTCCTTTGTAGGGACATGGATAAAGCTGGAAACCATCATTCTCAGCAAACTATCACAAGGACAAAAAACCAAACACCGCATGTTCTCACTCACAGGTAGGAATTGAACAATGAGAACACATGGACACAGGAAGGGGAACACACACCAGGGCCTGTTGTGGGGTGTGGGGAGAGGGGAGGGATAGCGTTAGGAGATATACCTAATGTAAATGATGAGTTAATGGGTGCAGCACACCAACATGGCACATGTATACATATGTAACAAACCTGCACATTGTGCACATGTACACTAGAACTTAAAGTATAATAAAATATATATATATTATATATATATATATATATATATATAAAGTCCTCAAACATGGTCACCACGATCAGAGCCCTGAGTAAGCTCAGGGTTTCCTGATGAGTCTTCTCCAATCAGACCCAGGACAGGGACCTCAGTGAGCCTCCATGACTGGAACAGTCTTTACAGATCCTGATCACAGACGATAGAGGCTGGGCCAGGGTCAGTGTCATGTAGAACCTCACAGGTTTCACGTCTGATCCTTCTTCTGACACTAAATATGCAAATCAGCATCAACACTGATCTGGTGCTTCTTTTGTTCCTAATCCATTTACTTCCTTTTTCAGTCGTTGTTCTCATTTTTCCGTTTGCTTTTCCTGCTTTCTGGAAAAGGAAGATGTTTCCCTGTGGTCAAAATTCCAGGCCTCAAGCCCTTTCCTGGCGCTCAGGTGGGTCTCAGGCTGTGGCTGCTGCAGTCACGCGGGAGAGGCTGGTGGGACTTTCTTCACTCCTCGTCACTCAGGACCCTCCACTGTGTTGCATGGAGACTTATCTGGAAATGCAAGTTGCCGGTGGGAACTGAAGGGGCCAAGCTTGTTTGGTTAATGTGGGATGTGGATGTGGAGCTAATCCTGTTCTCAGAAACCTTCACAGAGTAACTTTCTTCACTAGCGGTGTGAGGAAGAGGGTGTGAAAGTTGTCAGAATCAAAATAGAACAACTTGAGTTATAAACTTTACAGGTGAAGCTGGAGAAGGTCATGAACAGAGGGTTCTCATGCACACATCCTTGATAACAAGAAGTACCATAAAAATACTCTGCACAGCCGGGTGTGGTGGCTCACACCTGTAATCCCAGCACTTTGGGAGGCCAAGGTGGGCAGATCACCTGAGGTCAGGAGTTGGAGACCAGTCTGGCCAAGACGGTGAAACCCCGTCTCTACTAAAAAATACAAAAAACAAAAAATAGCCTGGCATGGTGGTGTATGCCTGTAGTCCCAGCTACTTGGGAGGCTGAGGCAGGAGAGTCGCTTGAACCCCGGAGGCAGAGGTTGCAGTGAGCCAAGATTGTGCCACTGCAGTCCAGCCTGAGTGACAGAGTGACACTCTCACACACATGCACGCACACACACACACACAAATTATCTGCACAACTACAACCTTGAACAAAGGCTAAGGCTACCACAACAATAAGAGAATTAATACTGTGGGGATATCTGCCCTGCCACTCCCTGTCCAACCTTAAACTTATTCTACCCTTGTTATTGATTCTTCTACCCCCGGATAGTTGTCTCAAAACAGCTCATGTAAGCCTCCTCATTTATCCTTTAAAACACTTGTCTTCCTCTATCTACCTAAATGTGCCCATGCATATTCCCATTACAATGCTCATTTTCAACTAAATATTATTTGATTTTGGAGAATCTCTTTCTCTCTGATATTCAGGTGTGACAAGGTGCAGAGGGACATGCCACTTTCCTGTGAGATGTAGGGGATGACAATTTTGGGGGATGGCTGGAAACCTCCAATATCCTCAGGGCTGGCCATCAGTAAGTGCAGGCTGGAAGTCTCAGAAAGAGCTGAAGCTGCTTAATCACCCTGGAGTTTTACCTTCTCCAGATCTGCTCTGTTGGATTCAGGGCTAAGCTGGTTATCCATGATAATCTACCTAACATAGAGTCAACTGGTTACAGTTTTAATAATGTCTATTGAAAAATTCACACCACCACCCGGATTAGTGTTTTGTCAAATCAATACAAATTATTGTCCAGCCAAGTACACCATATGACAGATCATTAGCCATGGAGGAAAACATTTAACCTGAGTTCTAGGTTCTTATACTGTTAAAGGTGTAAAACCAATTATTTTAAAATCAGGCTATTTTTATTTTTGCTATTGAGTTATGGAAGTTTTATTTATATATTGGATATAAACACTTTTTCAGATACATGGTATATTATCCAATTCTGTAAGTTGGAATTATTTCGTTGCTTTGCAGAATCTTTTGTAAAATCTGGTCCCACTTGTTCAATTCTGCTTTTTTTGTACGTGCTTTGAATGTAAAATCCAGAAAAAGATTGCTAATTTTTTCAGGGGTGGGAGTTTTATAATTACACATATTACATTTAAATATTTAATGCATTTAGAGTTAATTTTTGTGTTTATTCTATCCTAAAATTCTTAATTCTTTGCATGTGAAAATCCAGTTTTCATAACATGCTCTTTGGAAGACACTATAATTTAGACATTGTATATCACTGGTTCTCATGCTGAAAATCAGCTGGCCATCAATATGTGGGTTTATATCTAAGCTCTCTGTATGCATTTATGCCAATACCATTCTGATTTATTACTCTATGTTTATAATAAATTTTCAGGCCTGGAAGTGTAATACCTCAAGCTTTATTCTTGCCTTGTTTCAGATATTAGACCAAAATATTCTAACCTTTTACTATTGAGTATAACAATAGCTGTGACTTTTCTTAATGGCTTTTATTATGTACAAGTTGTTTTGCTGTCTTCCTACTTTGTTCAGAGTTTTTATAATGAAACCCTGAATTTTTTCAAATGTTTTTTCTATGTCTGTTGAAATGCTATTGAGATATTTTTTCTTTAGTTTTTTAATGTGGTGTACCAAATTGATTGATTTGAGGAGACTGAATCATCTGTGCAACTCAGAATAAATTTGAGTTGATCATGGTGTATGGTTTTTAAAAAAACTTTAGAACTTAGTTTACTAAATTTGGAGTGGTTAATTTTTGTCTACCAATGATATTGATCTATAATTTTATTTTATTGTGGTGCCTTTGTCTATTAATGGTAATATTACTGGTAATAGTGTAATGGTAGCCTCAGAAATAGTTTGGAAGGTTGACTTTTCACAAATTTTTGAAAGAGAGAATGGTTAGCATTACTTCTTTAAATGTTAATGCTCATTTTATGATGTAACATATAACCTATCATGGAGAATGTTCAATCTGTGCTCGAGAAGAACGTGTATTACATGGCTCTTGGTTCGAAGGTTCTATAACTGTCTTTCAGGTGAATTTGTCCAATAGTGTTGTTCAAATTCAGAGGCTTAAGAATTTTCTTTCTGGATTTGCTAAACATTATTGTAAGTGAGGTATTAAGGTCTTCTCTTATGTTTATATTGTTTTCTATTTCTCTCTTTATATCTCTTAAAGTTTGCTTAATGCAGTTGTATTTGAATTTGTACACATGTGTGAAAAATAATAATTGCTAAGTGAGTTTCATGGTACAGTCACATTATAAGTAATCATATTTTCCAAGTGCTACTGTTGCCAATGAACTCCTCCAGGTGTCTCACATCTGCTCTGGGCTCTGCCCTCTCCTCAGGCATCCCACATCACAGCTTGCTACAGAAGAGAAGGCAGGAAAACAGGGCCCTCTCTCTCCGAGTGAAAATAAGCACAGACCTGACCCTGCAGCTCTGAGAGAAGACCCACAGCCCTGGGATTCCCAGGGGTTTCCATCTGGTAATCAGGACTGAACACAGAAGACTCAGTATGGGAGAAATACACGAAATATTTGTTCTCAGACATGAGACACCCACAGAGGGCCCCCTGTGTCCTTCCCTGAGAACTGATCAGCTCTTGCATCTGAAGAAATGACCAAAGACCAGGAGAGAACCATACAGAAGCATCGGAGGGACAGCACCTGGGGCTCTCATGGGGTCAGGAATAGCGTCTGTTCCCAATAGATGGACTAAGTAAAAAGTATCATAATTCTCAAGGGTTTAACATAGCACAGAAGAAAAAGTTACCCTATACCAACTGTTGATCTTGTGAGCCCAGGAACTCTGAGACAGATCTCAGTTAATTTAGAAAGTTTTCTTTGCCAGGGTTGAGGACACACCTGTGACACAGCCTCAGGAAGTCCTGATGACATGTGCCCCAGGTGGTTGGGCACAGCTGGATTTGCACATTTCAGGGAGACATGAGACATCAATCAATATAAGTAAGAAGGACATTAGTTCCATCCAGAAAGGCTGAGACAACTCAAAACAAGTCCTCCCCACTCAGGGCTTCCAGGTCACAGGTAGGTGACAGACAGATGGTTGCATTCTTTTCAGTTTCTGATAAGTGTTTGCAAAGGAGGCCATGAGAATATGCATCTATCTCTGTGACCAGAGGGACAACTTTTAATAGACTGGAAGGCAGATTTGCCCTGAGTGGTTCCCAGCTTGACGGGGCCCAAGATATTTTCCTTTCACAATCTGGTAACTTCAAACAAAACTTCAAAGCCACAACAAAATGAAACAACAACAAAAAGAATAAGACATGGGTACTTATTAAGAGTAGAAAAATATTCAATCCCCAAGGAAAATATTGGCAGTATCTACCTCCACGTGACGAAGGAGTAAGCAATGTGAGCCACAGAAAGGAGCACTATTAACCCACAGAGTGACCGAGAATAACATGGGTGATGCGAGGGCATTGAACACACATCATTGTATTTTGTAGATTCAGAAAGCAACAGAAAAGATTGACAGTGGTAAAAGAGACAGAGCCCTGCTTCCCTCTCCCTTTTCCCTTCCCGATGAGCCCTCACAGCCATGACCCTCAGCCTCATCCTGCAGTGCAGCAGCTGCCATCCTGTCCAGGCCCGCCCCCTGCCCCGCCCTGGGACTGTTACCTTATTCTCTCCCGGAGTCCAGGTGCCCCAGCGTGTGGTGTGGGAGCCTGGGGAGGCCCTTTGTTCTCTGTCAGGGTCTCCCTGGGAGGGACGCAGCCACCGCAGCTGGTTGGGGCCTGGCTTTGCCGAGGACAGTCCTTTCCTTTCCCATTGTCTTTGGATGACTATCCCTGGGCTGGGACATGAGGCAGGCAGAGGCGCGGGTCACCCTTAGGGCCCCCCTCTTGCTGCTGGGGCTCTGGGTGCTCCTGACTCCAGTCCGGTGTTCTCAAGGCCATCCCTCGTGGCACTACGCATCCTCCAAGGTGGTGATTCCCAGGAAGGAGACGCACCACGGCAAAGACCTTCAGTTTCTGGGCTGGCTGTCCTACAGCCTGCATTTTGGGGGTCAAAGACACATCATTCACATGCGGAGGAAACACCTTCTTTGGCCCAGACATCTGCTGGTGACAACTCAGGATGACCAAGGAGCCTTGCAGATGGATGACCCCTACATCCCTCCAGACTGCTACTATCTCAGCTACCTGGAGGAGGTTCCTCTGTCCATGGTCACCGTGGACATGTGCTGTGGGGGCCTCAGAGGCATCATGAAGCTGGACGACCTTGCCTATGAAATCAAACCCCTCCAGGATTCCCGCAGGCTTGAACATGTTTCTCAGATAGTGGCCGAGCCCAACGCAACGGGGCCCACATTTAGAGATGGTGACAATGAGGAGACAAACCCCCTGTTCTCTGAAGCAAATGACAGCATGAATCCCAGGATATCTAATTGGCTGTATAGTTCTCATAGAGGCAATATAAAAGGCCACGTTCAATGTTCCAATTCATATTGTCGTGTAGATGACAATATTACAACTTGTTCCAAGGAGGTGGTCCAGATGTTCAGTCTCAGTGACAGCATTGTTCAAAATATTGATCTGCGGTACTATATTTATCTTTTGACCATATATAATAATTGTGACCCAGCCCCTGTGAATGACTATCGAGTTCAGAGTGCAATGTTTACCTATTTTAGAACAACCTTTTTTGATACTTTTCGTGTTCATTCACCCACACTACTTATTAAAGAGGCACCACATGAATGTAACTATGAACCACAAAGGTATAGCTTCTGTACACATTTAGGCCTATTACACATTGGTACTCTAGGCAGACATTATTTATTAGTAGCCGTCATAACAACCCAGACACTGATGAGAAGTACTGGTGAGAAGTACTGGTGATGATAACTACTGCACATGTCAGAAAAGGGCCTTCTGCATTATGCAGCAATATCCTGGGATGACAGATGCGTTCAGTAACTGTTCTTATGGACATGCACAAAATTGTTTTGTACATTCAGCCCGGTGTGTTTTCGAAACACTTGCTCCTGTGTATAATGAAACCATGACAATGGTTCGCTGTGGAAACCTCATAGCGGATGGGAGGGAGGAATGTGACTGTGGCTCCTTCAAGTAGTGTTATGCCAGTTATTGCTGCCGAAGTGACTGTCGCTTAACACCGGGGAGCATCTGTCATATAGGAGAGTGCTGTACAAACTGCAGCTACTCCCCACCAGGGACTCTCTGCAGACCTATCCAAAATATATGTGACCTTCCAGAGTACTGTCACGGGACCACCGTGACATGCCCCGCAAACTTTTATATGCAAGATGGAACCCCGTGCACTGAAGAAGGCTACTGCTATCATGGGAACTGCACTGACCGCAATGTGCTCTGCAAGGTAATCTTTGGTGTCAGTGCTGAGGAGGCTCCTGAGGTCTGCTATGACATAAATCTTGAAAGTTACCGATTTGGACATTGTACTTGACGACAAACAGCTCTCAACAACCAGGCTTGTGCAGGAATAGATAAGTTTTGTGGAAGACTGCAGTGTACCAGTGTGACCCATCTTCCCCGGCTGCAGGAACATGTTTCATTCCATCACTCAGTGACAGGAGGATTTCAGTGTTTTGGACTGGATGACCACCGTGCAACAGACACAACTGATGTTGGGTGTGTGATAGATGGCACTCCTTGTGTTCATGGAAACTTCTGTAATAACACCAGGTGCAATGCGACTATCACTTCACTGGGCTACGACTGTCGCCCTGAGAAGTGCAGTCATAGAGGGGTGTGCAACAACAGAAGGAACTGCCATTGCCATATAGGCTGGGATCCTCCACTGTGCCTAAGAAGAGGTGCTGGTGGGAGTGTCGACAGCGGGCCACCTCCAAAAATAACACGTTCGGTCAAACAAAGCCAACAATCAGTGATGTATCTGAGAGTGGTCTTTGGTCGTATTTACACCTTCATAATTGCACTGCTCTTTGGGATGGCCACAAATGTGTGAACTATCAGGACCACCACTGTTAAGGGATGGACAGTTACTAACCCTGAATAAGACTAATTCAGCCTCCTGATCCCTGTAAAGATACAGAGACTATAACAGCAAAATCTATGGAACAGCATCAAAGGAAGGGATGGCAAAGCTCAAGTCCACATTTCTTGAAGTCCACAGGAGGCACAGGGTCCTGTCTCACATCATGGGGGAAACGGGAGGTACTGGCTTCTGTCCAGGTTCTTGTAGGTCACTGATGCTCGCTCTGAAATAAATCTTCAAAAACACATTTTGGTGCCTTCCACATTTTCTTAGACTCCCCTGGGATCCCAAACTTGGCCAGAACCTCTGGCCTGGAGAGACCTGAGTGAGCATCTGGCTCTTGATCTGAGGTTGCTGGTCCCAGAATTAATGGAAGTTGCCACCAGCTCCTTACAGGGCACATTCATGACATTTCTCTAGAAGAGAACTCCAGAGCAATGAGCTTCCTCATTCCCCAGGTAGTCTGTCCTTCTCTAAACCCGAAGTCAGTTTAGGGTGATCCAGGGCTACTCCCTGTTCCCTGTCTGTTCCTCACGGGGGTGCTGTGGGCTTTGCAGTGAGAGGAACTTGGGTTCAAATACCCCACCAAGCAAATCCCCCTACCTGGGGCCAAGCTTCCCGTATGTGGGAAAATGAATCCCTGAAGTTGATTGCTGCATGCAATGAAATTCAACTAGAAAAATAGGTAGATGTGCGGGGCAAGCTCTCTGGCATTTAGTGTGAGCTCCGTGAGTGGCAGCTGCCCCCTTCCTTCCTGCCCCCACAATTCCTTGAACTGAAATGGGAAGGAAAGCTGAGTAAGTCGTGATGAGGAAGAGAAACCAGGCTTGTAGCAGCACAGGCTGGTCCAGGTGTAAAACAGGGCTAGGTGTGTCGCTGAGTTATTGTAAAGGAAAATGGAAGTTAAATGTATAAATAACCGAATGAGATAACATTTTATTTTAAATTAAAATTCACAATAATATTGACTTTTAAAATGCAGTGTAGGTATGTCACAGAGAATTTCAAAGGCAAAGCCCACCAACGGAAGAAATCACCCTTCTCATACCATCCACAGAAAACCGCTCATATTCTAGGGTAGTACTGAGATCTAGCATTTTTCTGAATACATCTGTGGTTCTAGATGTTCTGCTTCCATAGATATTGTTTAGAATTCCCACCCCTTTCTCCAAACACAGCTTGATATCCTTTCTCTGAACCTGCTTAGAAATTTCCTCCATTCAGCTGTCATAAAGATGTGAGCAATCCATTCCTGTGCCTCTCTCAGTGTATTCTATTATTTTGTGGGTGAACGCTAATGGACAGTGAGTGTGAGGTCAGTGAATACAGCCCTCCACCTGTGTGTCCTTCGGGTGTGAGGGGTTTTGCTGATAGAGCAGCAGGCCCCGTCCCACCCTTTATGCATCTCTGCCCCCCACCTCGTGCTCCAGCTGACCTCTCCCCTGTGGCATGGGGGGTTCCCTGGGGGAATGACCTCCCCTCTCTCCAGGGCCCACCCACTCAGTGCCCATGCAAGACCACCGTGCTTGGCACAGCCCCACCTTGTGTCAGGGCCTGTGTCTCCTGCCCCACCCCCTAAACAGATGGGAACCGCTGAGACACTGCTCAGGGCAGGGGGCGGAGGTATGTGCAGAAGGAAGGCAAATGTGCACTCTGTTGGAGAAATATTATAGGTAGTTTGAGCAAAAAATCTAATGCCATGTGAACTTTTAGAATGATACATATTTTAACAAAGATTGCGACCAATAGAGTTCATATTGAAGTCAGGTAAACACTATTTAGAGCAACAACAATATCAAAAACACAAGCCAACAGTTCACCAAGAGAAACCACCATTAACCCCATGGAAATGGTCTTTCAAGAACATCAGCACTTAAATCCTCCAAATCTGCCTGCCTCAGCACCTGTTGTCTTGAACTGTCCTTCTGTGTGTTCTAATCACTCCTAAACATGGGGCCTGCACTGTGGGAGATCCAAGCTGTGCCAGGTGGAGGGAGCAGGACAACTGTTACCAGGTTGTTTGTGTGGATGCCGAGGCCACCCGAGCAGGTGTAAACTCCCACCTGTGGGCCAGAGAAGAGAGCACAGGAGACATGTCCTGGGCATAGGGTGAGGGAGAGCTGTGGGGGCTCTGGGTTCTGAGGAGGGTTCTGGCCTGGCAGGGACAAGACCAACCAGCACGTGAGGCCAGGCTGGAGTCTGGACCTCTGAGGCTGCAAGGGTCATGGGCTGCTTGGCCCAAGGGGCTGTCCTGGTTCTCTAAGGAGTAATTTCAAACATTCCTTCTTCCTCCCATCCCTCTCCTTCTCTCTTTCTGGGGTGGGTCCACTCCCAGAGCCTGCAACTCCCAAATCCTCTTTGATGGGTCCTCGGCTTCACTCTGCATCCGTCCTGAGCATCGATCTTCCAATTCCATCCTCTTCTCCTCTGCTGTGTCTAAGCTGCTGTGAAGCCACCTGCTGTAATTTACTGTTTTATATTTAATATTGTAGCATACATCTGTTCTGTTTCCTTCATCATAAATGCTTCATTTCATGCTCAGCATCTGAGAACACAAGGCCTTGTCAGCTGTCACCTCCTTCCATTCTCTGTTTCCTTCCTCCTATCCCCATGTTTGCTCATCATGTCCAGTCTCCTGCCATCCTGAACGCTTCTGATGGAAGGTCCGAGATGTCTCATGAGCATTGTGAAAATTCTTTGTAATGTGACATTGTTCCAGGCAGGAATTCTCCCTCACCCACCCCGGAAGTCAAGTATAGGCAGATTGCCATGCTCAATCAAAGGCTGAGCTAACTTAACAGTGGCTTTGGTTTTAAGGTTTGTCCAATCCCCAGGGCACAGGATTTCAGGAAGTTCAGGTGACAGTCTGGGTGTTACCCTTCAGGAGGTTGTAAAGTCCATTTCACCTAGTCTATACCACAGACTATGGAAACTATATATATATATATATATATATATATATATATATATAGTGCTGTCCCTCTAGAGAACCCTAATATGTATATATAATATATATAACATGCCCTGTCATTAAGATCAATGGGAAACTACAACAGTATATATATATATATATATATATATATAATATATAAAATATATATATAATATAGATAATATATACTATATATAATAGTATATATACTATATATAATATATTATTTATGTATTATATACATTATATTATATTATATATGTATTATATACATTATATTATAATATTATATATGTATTATATAATATATTAATACCTTGCTAATCGTAGGTTATGGAAAGATTGCGTTTCTGTTTTAAGGCTCTGTTAGAAATTACTGGCGCACACACTATATTGTAAATTCTTATCTCTGTGTACTGTACTTCTACATACAAATGTTATGTTAAAGAATTACTTCATCCCCATGTCACCATCTCACCTCATAATCAAATGACCCTAAATCCCTCACTAACCTACCCCCACCCTCACTAAAACTTAATAATAAATGCTGGTACATCCAGTGCATTGTTGGCACTGTGGGACCAGTAGGTGGTGACCCCCCTGGACCCAGCTTTCATTGTCTTGTGTGTGTCTATTATTTCTCAACCTGCCAATCCGCCTGGGAACAAAGAGAGAGCCCCATTGCATTGTGGGCTGCTGGCCAGATCCCGCAATACATAATTTCCTCATTTGCAAAGTTACTTAGGTCAGCAATTTCATTTTCAACTTTCTTCAGTAAAGTCATTTCAATTACACTGTATAATTTCATTTATTTGAAATTCAGTAAAAGCCCAAACTATAGCCAAGTAAACAGATAGAGGATATTCCAGGAATTTAGAGAAGTGGGTATAAAATAAGCAAAAAATATACTGTTTAAGAAGAGTAAAACTGTATTTAGTCATATGCCATGGTTGAGATATGACACAATTAATTTGTCTAAGATCATAATTTTGTGATAAAAATACAAAACCAAATATATACAATTTAAAAAAAATATTTAGCAGTTCATTAAACCTTGGATTAAATGCAGACTGTATAAAATTATCTAACAACATATTTGTGAGTGTGGGGATGTCAGGAGATGCATGAAACTAAGAATGAAATAATTTTCCTCATTTTCATATAAGATGCTTCCATTCACTAAAGATCTTTTATTTTAAAAAATCAATTTTCTACATTAGCCAGGTTTTTTATTAATGACAAGCAAATAACCCAGAAGATTATTTTCTTTCCTTGGTTGAGAAAGATTTTCCCCAAACTTCAGCTCAGTTCAGGCATATGCTGTCCCTGAATGAGCATTTACCCTCAGATGGGTACACACATCTGTCAACATATGGACCCTTCTGTCAGACAAACACACCTTTACTCATGTGGATTCTTCCCTCAGACAAACACACATGTCCTCACATGAACTCTTTCCTCAGACTACCACATATGTCCTTACATTTACTCTTTCCTCAGAAAAAAGACATTTTCTAATGTGGACTCCTGTCTCAAACAATCAGATATGTCTCCATGAGAACTCTTCACTCAGATACGTACATGCATTTCCACATTTTTTCCTTACACAAGTACATATATCTAATGTTGAACTGTTTGCTGCAAAATGATCTCAAGATAATGAAAATTATAAACCCCAACCCTGAAATGCATTTTTTGCATTGTAATTATAATTTTGCATTGTAATTTAACTTTGCCTTATTGTCAAGAACAGTGGTTTGCAGCTCCAAAAGCACTGATTACTGACAGATGTCCATTTTCTCTGGAAATGTATTCCTCATGTTCTTACTGGACTTATTTGTTGATAATGTTTGCAACTATGAAGATTCCTCAGCAGTGCCCACATTAGAGAATAAGAAAGAGTAATGGGCAGATTAACCCTGTGCATCCAGACCCGGGCATACTTTGACCTTGGCCTCCCTAAAATGCAGACCAGAGGATGGATGAGCAATGCTGAGTTGTGCACACATGACCACAAAAAGACGTGGAAATGTGTCTCCTCCCCTCCTCATGAAAGGCAGCTCATCCCCGTTCTTTCAGGCCTGGTGAGGAGCCACCCCATGTATGTTCCCTTCCTCAGTGTCCACACCATGAGGTCTGGATCTGGGATTCCCTTCTCATCACCCTCAATATTATGGTCCCTTGTGAATCAGGTCCAGCTGTGGCTGCTCCTCATGGGCTCTTCTCAGTTGGCTTCCTCTGTGTTTGCAGAAGTCCTGAGTGAAGTTCACTGGTGGAGTCAGAGGGAAAATGGTTTGCCCAGGGTTTCTCTGAGACTCTCCTGCAAAGCCTCTGGATTCACCTTTACTGACTAAAGCATGAGCTTGGTCCAGCAGATTTCATGACAGGGATTGGTGTGGGTGGCAACAGTGAGTGAACAAGTGGGAGTTCTCAGGGTTACTCTCCATGAGTATAAGTAAATTAACAGTCCCAAACAACACCCTTTCAAGTGCAGTCTACCTTAAAATGACCAATCTGAAAGCCAAGGACAAGGCTGTATATTACAGTGAGGGACACAGGAGAGGGAACATCCGTGTGAGCCCAGACACAAAAATCTCTGCAGGGAGAGAGGAGTGAACTGCATGGTAGATGCTGCTCACAACCACCAGGGGGCGCTCAGGACACGAGGGGGCGGTCAGGACAACAAGGGCGGGCTCAGGACAACAAAGGCAAACTCGGGAGCGCAGGAGATGCTCAGAACAGCCGGGAGCATTGAGAACCAGCAGGAGGTGCTCAGGACACCAGGGGGTGCTCCAGACACCAGGGGGTGTTCAGGACACCAGGATGCGCTCAGGAAACAAGGAGGCGCTCCGGACACCAGGGTCCCTCAGAACCACCAGGGGGCGCTGAGGACACCAGGGGGCATTCAGGATCACCAAGGAATGCCCAGGACCATTAGGGGGCGCTCAGGACACCAAACGGTGCTCAGAAACACCAGGTGGCCCTGAGGACACAAAGGGGCACTCAGAACCACCAGGGGACGCTCAGGACACTGGGGGTGCTCAGTTCACGAGGGTTCTCTTAGGAAGCAGCTCCACATCAGGAGGCTGGGAGGCTGTGGTTTCCTTTTAAACTTTGGTGATTCTTGACCTGGTCAAGCAAAAGGCTTTCCCAGGATCTCTCACCATTTCTTCCTTTTAACTCCATGGATTCTTTTACCTGCAAAACATTAACTTAGAACAGGGATTTAATTCAACTTCTAATGTTGCATATTTTCTGAATAACACTAGCAATGATCTCTCAGTACAATTTTTAAAATAGATTCTTTATATATTATATTCATTTGAAATAATACTATCATTAAAAGAGTAAAATTTAAAAAACCACACCTGTAATCCCAGCACTTTGGGAGGCTGAGGCAGGCAGATCACTTGAGCTCAGGAATTTTACAACAGCCTGGCAACATAGTGAGATCCTTTCTATTAAAAAAAAAATAGCTGGGTGTAGTGCTACCTGTGGTCCCAACTACTTGGAAGGTTGAGGCTTGAGGGTCTCCTGAGCCTGGGAGGTTGAGGCTGCAGTGAGCTGTGATTGTGCCACTGCACTCCAGCCTGGGTGACAAAGTGAGACCCAGTCTTAAAAAATGCGAATCCTCAATACAAACTCTGTTTCCCCGAATAAAAGAGTTTTGTGTTCATGTGCTGTAAGAGTCAAACAATCGCATAGGTTTTCTTACTTTAACTCAGCATATGCATGGTGTTTTGTTTCTTTTTGTTTTATCTACTGTTCGTGGAAATTAAACAGCACTTTAAAGACTCTTGTTCTCCACTTTGGTTGGCTTCTAATGTCCTGTTTTGCAGACTGTTTCTTCACCTTCCTTTCTTCTTTGAAAGCCTTTTATCTTCCTAAGTCTCCAGGGAGGAAACAGAAAGTCCCTTTACTTTCTGTCTTCCATGTGTGGTGAATCACTTCTCTTCTCTTCATAATCATTGAAGCCAACCAAGTTTAGGAGGATGACCATTCTTAGAATATACTCATCTACCTGCAGATTATCTGCCCTCCTCACCCTTTTCTAGGGTCCTGCAGACATCACCCCCATCCAATCCCCTCCTTTCCCTAAGTACCACAGAGTGGGCTCCACAGCTACTGCTGCCCTCTGTGTGCTCAGTCCTGGGGCTCACTAGTGCTTTGATGATGAAGCCCAAATCCCCATGTGTTTGCACACTCTCTGACCACCCTCTAGGAAGCTGCCAATGTGAGTGACTCCTGGAAAGCATGAGCTGGGTTCAGTTTCATATTACTGGATGTTCTCTATTATAAAGGATATTGGCAAATAAGGACTAGAGTTTGTATTAAATATTCATGCCATAAAATGTTTTTTCACAACTTTTCAAATAAAAAAAATTTATCCTGCCTAGTTTAAAACCATAATGTTAATTCAACAAATAATGTAATACAATTTAAAAAGTGAAGTTTGTCTTATTATTCTATTCATTAATAACAGACTGATATTTAAAATTAAATACCATTATACATTTAAATAACATATATGCCAATAATTGCATTTACATTCAGTTTTGCCAAAACACGAATTGAAATATGTTTGTATTTTAATATTGGAATAGGCAGACAGACACATAGAAAAATATTATTTTGTACTACAACCTCAAACTGCAAACACAATTTAAATGCAATTAAATAATTAAATAATATGAAACAAATGGGTGTGTTGGTGTGATGTTTAAATATACATGCATTTTTGCATGGGCACATGTATGTGTCTTTGCTGGGCTGTTGTGTATGTATGTGTGTTTGTATGACCATGAACTTTTCAAATACATCATTAAATTACATATTTATATTAATCTTGGCCAGGCATGGTGGCTGAGGCCTGTAATCCTGGCACTTTGGGAGGTGGAGGCAGGCAGATCACCTGAGGTCAAGAGTTCAAGACTGGCATGGCCAACATGGTAAAACCCCATCTCTACTAAAAATACAAAAAGTAGCTGGGTGTTGTGGCACGTGTCTTTATTCCCAGGTACTCAGCAGTTAAGGCAGGAGAATCGCTTGATCCTGGGAGGCAGAGGTGAAGTGAGCTGAGATTATGCCACTGCACTCCAGCTTGGGTGACAGAGTCACACTCCATCTTAGAAATAAATACATAGTTACATTAATCTAAATGTATCATGTTAAAATATTAGAAGAAAACTCTGTATTAGTCAGTTTTCACACTGTTATGAAGTAATATCCAAGACTGAGTAAGTTATTTAGAAAAGAGGCTTAATCGATTCAAAATTATGCATTGCTGGGGAGGCCTCTGGAAACTTTTAATTATGGCAGAAGGGAAAAGGGAAGCGAGGCATCTTCTTCACAAGGCAGCAGGATGGAAAATTGCAAGCTGGGGAAATGCCAAATGCTTATACAACCATCACATGTTGTGAGACACACTCATTATCACACGAACAGCCTGGGGGAACCTACTCCTGCAATTAAATTACCTCCATCGGGTCCCACTATTCGTATGTGAGATTATGGGGATGATAATTCAAGATGAGATTTTGGGTGGGGACACAGAGAAACCATATCATTCTTCTCCTGGCCCCTTCCAAATCTCATGTCCTCACATCTCAAAACACAATCATGCCTTTTCAACAGTCCCTTAAAGTCTTTTTTTTTCTTTTTTTTGTTTTTTGTTGTTGAGACGGAGTCTTGTTCTGTCAACAATCTGGAGTGGAGCAGTCCCCTAAAGTCTTAACTCAATCCAGCACTGACTCAAAAGTCCAAGTCCAAAATCTCATCAGAGACAAGGTAAGTCCCTTCCACCTATGAGCCTGTAAAATCAAAAGCAAGTTAGTTACTTCCTAGATACAATATAAGTATAGATATTGAGGAAAAACACCCATTCCAAATGGGAGAAATTGGCTGAAATGAGGAGCTACAGGCCCATGCAAGATCAAAATCCAATAGGGCAGTCATTAAACCTTAAAGTTCCAAAATAATCTCATTTGACTCCACGTCTCACTTCCAGGTCAGGCTGATGGAAGAGGTGGACTCTAATGGTTTCTGACAGTTCTGCCACCATGGCTTTGCAAAGTACAGCCCCATTCCCAGCTGCTTTCATGGACTGGTGTTGAGTGTTTTCAGCTTTTCCAGGCTCAGAGTGGAAGCTGTGAGTTGATCTCCCATTCTGGTTTCTGGAGGACAGTGGCCCTCTTCTCTCAGCTCCACTAGGCAGAGGCCCAGTGAGGACTCTGTATGGTGGCTTCAACCCCACATTTCTCTTCAGCACTACCCTAACAGAGGTTTTATATGATGGCTACATCACCCCCCAACCAGCAAACTTCTGCCTGGACATGAAGACATTTCCATACATTTTTCTGAAATCTAGGTGGAGGTTCCCAAATCTCTATTCTTAACTTCTGTGCAAACATGACAGGGAAGCTGCCAAGGTTTGGGATTTGCACCATCTGAAGCAGTGGCCTGAGCTGTGCCTTGGCCCCCTTAAGCTACAGCTGGAGCTGAAGTAGCTGGGACTCAAGGCACCATTTCCCAAAACTGCACAGAGCAGGAAAGCCCTGGACCAGGCACATGAAACCATTATTTTCCTTTTGGGGCTCTTGGCCTGTGATTGGAGGTACTGTCGTGAAGACCTCTGACATGTTCTGAAGACATTTTTCCCCACTTTCTTGGTGATTGGCACTTGGTTTCTTGTTACTTATGCAAATTTTTGCAGCTTGCTTGAGTTTTTACCCAGAAAATTGGTTTTTCTTTTCTATGGCATCGTCAGCTGAAAATGTTCCATACTTTTATGCTCTTGTTTGTCCTGAACGCTTTGCTGGTTAGAAATTTCTTCTGCCAGATACTCTAAACCACCTCTCTCAAGTTCAAAGTTCCACAGATCTCTAGGGCAGAGACAAAATGCTCCCAGTCTTCATGCTAAAGCATAGCAGAAGTCACCTTTGCTCCAATTCCCCAAAAGTTCCTAATCTCCATCTGGGACCCCCTCATCCTGGATTTTATTGTCCATATTACTATCAGCATTTTGTTCAAGGTCATTCAACAAGTCTCTAGGAAATTACAAACTTTTCAATATCTTCCTGTCTTCTTCTGAGCCCTGCCAACTGTTCCAGCCTCTATCTCTTACCTAGTTCCAATGTTGCTTCCATATTTTCAGGTATCTTTATAGCAGTGCCTTACTCTCGGTGGTACCAAAAGAGTGCATTTTTTTCTTCTCATACTGCTATGAAGAAATACTCAAGACTGGGTAACTTACAAAGAAAAGAGGTTTAACTGACTCACAGTTCTACATGGAAGGCATAGAAACAGAGATTCAAAATAACCTTATATGTAAATAAATAAAACTCCTCAATTAAAAATATACTGTTCACATAGATTTTTTTAAGTCCCAACTCTCTGCTGTTTACAAAAGAGTGACATCATCTGAAAATCTACACAAGGACTAAAAGTGAATGGGGGAAAAAAGATATGCTACAAAAATAGAAACCAATAATGAGCACTTACATCAGACAAAAGAAATTTCAAGTCAAATGCTATAAAGAGAGACCAAAATGGACATTATATAACAAAAAAATGATCAATGGAGCAAGAATAGATAACAATTGTAAATATATATATAATATGTACCCACACCTGAGAACTCAAATATATAAGGCAAATATGTTACATAGTAAGGGACAGATTCTAACTTTATACAATTATACTTGGATAATTTAACACATTATTCAGCATTGGATAGATTATCTAGCCAATAATTAACAGATAAGCATTGGATTTAAACTGCACTATATTCCAAATGGACCTGACATTTACAGAACATTGAGCCAAACAACTTCAGAGCACATATTCTTTTCTTCAGCACATGCAATATTCTTCAGGATTGACCATATGTTAATACAGTACATGTGTCAAAATTTTTATATAAAATGATGCCAACTGTTTATCTGATTAAAGATGAAATGAAACTAAACATCAGTAATTGGAGGAAATTCTCTTTTTTTTTTTTTTTTGAGATGAACTCTTGCTCTATTGCCCAGGCTGGAGTGCAGTGGCACAAACTCAGCTCACTGCAACTTCTTCCTTCCAAGTTCAAATGATTTTCGTGCCTCAGCCTCCCAAGTAGCTGAAATTACAGGTACTTGCCAGCATGCCCAGCTGATTTTTGTGCTCTTAGTAGCGACAGGGTTTCACCAAGTTGGCCAGGCTGGTCTTGACCTCCGGACCTAAAGTCATCCACCAGCCTTGGCCTCCAAAAGTGCTGGGATTACAGGCATGAGCCACTGCCCAGCCTAGAGAAAATTTCAAAACTATATAAACACAAAAATTAAACAAAACACTCTTACATGGCCAATGGGTGAAAGAAGACATTAAGAAGAAAATATAAAAATGTATGAAACAAATACAATAGAAGCGAAACATACCAAATCTTATGGCACTTATCCAAACCAGTATTATGAGGCAAATTTATAGCAATAAATGCCCACATCAAAGAAGCAGAAATATTTTAAATAACCAACATAACAACGCATCTCAGAGAACTTTAAGAACAAGAAAAGGCTAAACTCAAAATTATTTTAAAAAACAACAAAGAACAGATTAGACATAAACAGAATTAAGACTAAAAATACCAGAAAATATTAAAATAACAAAAAAAGATAAGCAAAGTTGAAAGCCATTAGTAGCTGGCTAACAAAAAAAGAATATATATATATATATATATAGAGAGAGAGAGAGAGAGAGAGAGAGAGAGAGAGAGAGAGACAGAGAGAGAGAGAGAGAGAAAGAGAGAGAGAGCCATGACCCAAATAAATAAAATAGAAGCAGAAGATGCCTCAACTGATATACCAGAACTAAAATAAATTATGAAGCACTATAATAAACATGTCTATGTGAAAAATTTGAAAACCTAGAGGAATTAGATAAATTCATGGACACATACTACCTAACAAGATTAAAAAAGAAGGAGTAGAAAGCCTGAACAAACCCATAAAAAGCAATCAGATGGACTCCGGTAAAAGATCTATATCCTGTTGAACATAAATTTAAAAATCTAAAAATACTAGCACACCAAATCAAACAGCATTTCAAATAATAATAATCATAATACACCATGACCAAGTGGGATTCAACCCAGGGATTCAATTACCCTTCAACATACACAAGTCAAAAAACATGTTATATCACATCTATAGAATGAAGGATAAAAACTATATTTCTATATTAATAGATGCAGAAGATGAAAATTCAACATCTCTTCATGGAAAACAACTCTCAATTGTGTACAGAAATAAAGTACAACACAATAAAGGCCACATGACAAGTCCACAGCTAACATCATACTTAAGAGAAAGTAATTTTTTTCTTTTGAAAACTGGAAAAGACAAGGATGAGAACTCTTAGCACTTATTCAACACAGTACTGAAAGTACGCAAGGAACAAGGACATCCTCCCACGGGAATGCAAGAAAACAAAACAGACATGGACACCCATGGAGAGAACTCATTAGACCTGGTGAAGAATAGATAAAAATCTCTTCCAAAGCCTCCAGTGTTCCCAGCTAAATATGAATTGTGGTGATAGACTGAAAATAAGGAGGGGAAGGGAGACATGACTCAAGAGAGGAAAAACCCTAAGAGAGCAGAAAGCAGATCTACACAGAACAATCACAGGACAGATGCCAGAGTGGGGCTGAAACAGGAGCTCATTCTATTGGGTACCTAGTGGAGACCCTTTGACATTTCTTGTGAGGTAATTCTAGTGGTGATGAATTTCTTCAGTTTTTCTTTGCCTGGGAAAGTATTTCTCTATCTTCCATTTCATTAGAAGTGTTTTATCAATTTTATGTTCTTGGGTGGCTGTATTTTTCCCCCAGAAATTTAAATACAGTTATGCTCTGCATAACAAAGTTTCTGCCACTAACAGATGACACAAACAATGGTGGTTCCACAATAATATGCTTCCCTATTTATCTATACCTTTTTATGTTTAGATACACAAATACTACTGTGTTACCATGGCCTACAGTATTTACCATAGTTGTTTCGGGATCACTGGGGTGTTGCTTTTTCTGGCCAGAACCCTCTGTGGCCAGCGGCGACTTTGCCCAAGTTCGTGTCCTACATCTGGAAAGAATGAGGTATGCAGCCATGTGGTGGGTGAGCAAGGCAAAGACTAGCTTCATGAAGCATTCGAGCATCTCAGAGGAGACCCCCAGTGAGTAGCTCCTCTCTGTAGGCAGGTTGACTGGTTGAGTGTTCAGCTCTAAGCAGAGAAGGTAGCTCCTCCCTGCAGCTGGTCGTCCTGTTGTCTTCCCAGTTCTCAGCAGAGAGGGTAGCTCCTCTCTGCAGCTGGTCATCCTGTCGTCTTCCCAGTTCTCAGGAGAAATGGTAGCTCCTCTCTGCAGCTGGTCATCCTGTCGTCTTCCCAGTTCTCAGGAGAGAGGGTAGCTCCTCCCTGCAGCTGGTCTTCCTGTCGTCTCTCCATCTTCTGTCCTGCTCTGGCTGAGCCCAGGGGTTTTTATGGACCTCCGAGGGAAGGAAGTGCGTGCCCATTGGTCCATGGGTGGTCATGGGTGGGCCGTAGACAGCACCACAAGTCCCCACTGTGGTCTGAGTATCTGGGAGCCCGGGCCCAGCCTTCAGGCCCTTCCTGGGGACCCTCCCCCTCTGCACAGGAATCTTCCTGCCTCCTTTTGCAGTTCATGGTCCCTGGGGCTCCGCCCAGACTTTGCTCCAAGATCAGAGCAGGCGCCAAAAGCAGGAAGAAGCCAAGAAGTGGGAGCAGGCACTTCGGAGCATGCAAGAGCAGAGGGCTTTTCCTGGGGACCCCAAGAGTGCAGGGATGCCTGAGGCTGCAGCCCGCGGTTTGCGGGGCAGGGCTTCTGCCGGCTTCATGGAGCGAGAGGCCCGTGTCTTCAGCCGCGGTTTGGGTGGCTGCAGCCACGCCCGGGGAAGGCAGGGCTCCTTCCTGTTCCTTGACCTCCAAGAGCACAGAGTCCGAGCCCACTGCCCTGATTAGAGCAGCTGGAGCTGCCTGAGAGATCAGAGCTGCTGCCTGCTCCTGGCTCCCACCGGCTCCGTGGAACATCAGCCCTCGCTGCCCCTCCTTGCGCTGCCCTTCGCAGCCTGATCCTCTCTGGGCCCTGACCGGTGTCCAGGCAGGGGCGACATCTCCACAAGCTCCCCGCATTGCCCTGGTGCTCAGGGAGGTCCGGGCAGAGCTGATCACGACCCCGGCCGGTAGTCGGGAATGGCGGCCTCCGTGGTCACCCTGACATGCGGCCGAACCCTCGAGACGCGGCCTGAGCAGCCTGCACAGAACCTCCCAAGGCCCAGGAACCCCGCACCCTTGGCGGGGTGGGTACAGCGGCTGCTCCACTGCCCGGGTTTTCAAGGCGGTGCCACTTCCACTTCCCTCCCTGGAACCCCGAAGTTTGACATGGGGGCTCCTTTCTGCCTTGCTCTTCAGCTCCCCTTCCCCCGGAGTAGAGCCCCCCGTTTCCCCGGGTGATCCCTTCCACAGCTGCAGTGTTCTTCATCGGTGTCATCACCTTCCAGATCTGCTGCCCTGCTCTGCAGACTAAGGCTGTGATTCCATAAGAGAGGGGAGCTGCTTCCCAGTAGAACCTTGGTGGGGAGCTCTGTTCCCATCTCAATTCCTGAGGGGTTAAACCAGTGCATTTAGGATACTGGTTTTGGTGGTTTGCCCCTGTTGAGTAATTTCTTAGTTCTGTAGTGGGTGTAAGAGACTTGGCTCTGGAAGCATTTCAGGTGTGGGCTCTGATACACCCCAGACAGACACTTTGGGAAGGGAAGATTTTTGTGACTATTCTCGTTATAAGGGAAAGACATTCAAAAGAATAGAAAAACTCTTCAGTATGTGGTTCCTGAGAATTTCTCACTAAAAACATGCTTATCACACTCGACTCAAAACAGTTCAATGTATATCAGTGTATTTTATCTTGTACTAGCCTATATTGCATTTGGTGAACTCTGCCTCAGTTCAGCTCACACCCTAACTTTGATTCTCCCTACAAGAACTTGTCTCTCTCTAGATTTCAGGCTTGTTGATTGTCTTAAAATTTCAATGATCTGAAGTATTAAAGACAATTTGCAAAAGTCCATTTTCTCTGATTAATTGTTATTGTTGATTTTATTCTTGTTGTAAAAAAAGAAATTCTCATCTATATACATTTCAAATCTGAATAACAAAATTTTTATTAACACCAAAAATAATAAAAGAATCCAAATATTTTTCAGCTGCCTAATAGAAAAACAAATTATGGTAACTTTGTTTACTGGAATGCTACCCATCATTCATAATAAAGGAATTACTGATATACACAATAAGAAGATTAAATTATCAAGTATTTAAATAGAGTAAAATAAGCCAAACAGATAAGAGTATATATGATTCTATTTTTAAAAATTCTGGAAAATGAAAACTGATCTAAAGTAATATAAAGAAGATTAGTAGTTGCCTGGGAATGTGTTGGCAGAAGGGAAGGAGAAAGGATAAGGAAATAGAAATAGGAAGTAGAAGGACAGAAAAGAAGTTGAGGGAATTTCACTTGTCCACCTTCTTTATAATGGTAATAGTTATGTCACGATTGTCAATTTTACACTTTAAATATGTAAAGTTTATAATCTGTCAATCAAATCTTATAAAATTTATTATCAGGAAACAAGTTGAAAATTAGACAATGTAGGAGTGACAGAAAGATAGATACAAGTATGTTAAATGTCAGAAATACCTGAAAGTTACCTACCTGAACCCTAGTTCTCTCCATAGTTTAAGGTAAACAGGAGAGTGCAGCAAAATCACCCATATTCTGATTAGGCAGTGACTTCTGCAAACCACACTAGGCATGGCCAGCTCTGTCCTGGAGTTGGCTAAGGGAGGAGTCAGGGCCAGTGGTGAGAAGTGCAGGCCCAGACACCAGCACTCACCCATCCCAGACATGAGCTCTTAGATACACAGAGAGCCCATCCATGTGTGGGTTTACTTTTACATCTGTAAATAGATAACATTGACTCCTACAGAACATAATTTACACACATAGGTAAATCTGAAATAAGGTGATCAGTGCAAAGATTTTATCACAGCACAGTTTCATAATAAGCACAATTACTCAAATCCCATTGTTGTCACCCATCTTCCTCAGGACACTTTCATCTGCCCTGGGTCCTGCTCTCTCTTCAGGTGTCTCACCGCAGAGCTTGCTATATAGTAGGAGATATGCAAATAGGGCCCTCACTCTGCTGAAGAAAACCAGCCCAGCCCTGACCCTGCACCTCTGGGAGAAGAGCCCTAGCCCTGGGATTCCCAGGTGTTTCTACTTGCTGATCAGGACTGCACACAGAGAACTCACCATGGAGTTTGGGCTGAGCTAGGTTTTCCTTGTTGCTATTTTAAAAGGTGACTGATGGAAAACTAGAGACATGGAGTGTGAATGGACATGAGTGAGATAAGCACTCTGGCAGTTTCTGACCAGGGTGTCTCCGTGTTTGCAGGTGTCCAGTGTGAGGTGCAGCTGGAGGAGTCTGGGGGAGGCTTAGTACAGCCTGGAGGGTCCCTGAGACTCTCCTGTGCAGCCTCTGGATTCACCTTCAGTAGCTACTGGATGCACTGGGTCCGCCAATCTCCAGGGAAGGGGCTGGTGTGAGTCTCACGTATTAATAGTGATGGGAGTAGCACAAGCTACGCAGACTCCTTGAAGGGCCAATTCACCATCTCCAGAGACAATGCTAAGAACACGCTGTATCTGCAAATGAACAGTCTGAGAGCTGAGGACATGGCTGTGTATTACTGTACTAGAGACACAGTGAGGGGAAGTCAATGTGAGCCCAGACAAAAACCTCGCTGCAGGGGCATCTGAGACCACGAGGGGGTGTCCTGGGCCCTATGAACTGGGCTGCTCTCCGTGGCAGGGGCTGGTGGTGCTAAAGGCTGATTTTCTCTCAGCATCTGGGGCTGATTCATCAAGTTTCCTCAGAGAACCTTTCAGATTTACAATTCTGTACTTACGTTTAATGTCTCTGAATGTGACACTTTCCTTCCCTGGTGTGTCTTTGTTTTTGTGACAGGAGGACACATTCTCACCTCCACAGAAGCCTGAGTGTCACTTTGGGGACAGAAGTGTCCCTGCCCTGGTCACCAGAATCAGAGTCCTGAGGAAGCCCAGGGGAACCTGGGAAGTGTTTTTCAGTCAGACTCAGGGCAGGCGTCTCTGTGGGAATCTCTGATTGGAACAGGCTTTGGGATTCAGATTGGGACCAAGAGGGAGGCTCGCCCAGGGCCTGGGTCCTTAGAATCCTGACAGTTTTCACAGTAACCCCATCGTCCTTTAAAACTGAACATCTGACTCAGAACTGATCCATTTGGTCCTTTCTCTGCTAATCCATTTTCCTTTTCTCTAGGCTTCAGTCTTACACTTCCCTTTTCTCCTTTATTCTGAAAATGGAGGGTGTGCTTCCTGTGGTCTAAACCACAGGTCTCAGATGCATTACCTGGAACTCAGGTGTTGCTGTGGCTGTGGCTCCTAAGGACCTGGCAGGCTGAGGGATCTTTCTCATTTCCTGGTGCCTGGATGCCCCTGCTGTCTTCTATGCACAGATGCATTTGGGAAATGCAAGTGGACACTCATAGTCGTTTCCTCAAATGGGATACTGATATAGAGCTGATCTTCTGCTTCTCACCCTGTCACAGAGCCACCACCGTCTCTTGTGGACTTTTGGGAGAGCTGAGGATGGACACTTGATTGGGCTGTGAGCTCTGAACGATGGCAATTGTGAGATCTGGCTAGGCACAGCCAGAGCCAATGGAGCTGGCCATCCGGAAAGACAGGATGGAATTCCTGGGAAGTCCTACAGCTGCTGTCCACCATAGAGTTCCATTGTCTTCTCCTCTGCTAGGATTAAATCAGACCGACCAAGTTCATCTAGGACAATCTTCCTGACCTAGAGAAGTGATGACAGGCTTTAATAATACCTGTATTATACATCAGAGCAACACCTAGATTAGTGTTTGATTGAATAACTGAGACTATGTCCCAGTCAAGATGACACACAAAATCAATTATTACCATGATTAACATTTTACATTGATTAATATTTTAACACTAATATTAATCAATGCAATATTGATTTAATATTAATTAATATTTTATATTTGACAATAGAATCAGACTTTGTTATAAATAATTTTGCAAAAATATGAGTATTATCATTGGTCTTCTGAGCAGAAATCTCCAGTAGCCGATTAAGTGTGCATGCATTGGTCGAAGGAGGGCATCCACTCTTTTGAGGGAAAATGCATGGAGGGTAAATGAGCCTGGGGAAGCTGATGGCATATGATGGAAGCCTGTCCCTGAGTGAAGGAGAGAGGGAGACAGGATTGGTTGGAACTTTCTTACATTTCTGTGCTGTGCAAAGAAAGTCCAGATTATCATTGAGTCTCCTGCAAGACAAAGTTGCCCCTCAGGAAACCCCCATCACTCCCAGCAATGACTCTGACCCAGATGAGTGCAAGGCTCACTCTATTCCTGAGAATGGAGCACAGGATATGGGATTTAGCATGAGCCACGTCATGGACGTCAGAGAGCAGCAGCTGGGTGCATGATCCAAGTGTACGGTTCTGCCTGTAGGTGGAGGGAGGAAGGTGCATTCCCAGAGCTAACACACTGTGGATTTTTATACAGAATACATGTTTTCACCTGATTTATTGGAAGGCATATGAAAAAATGGGCAGTCCACAAACAATTGTAATTTCCAGATTTACCACAATTGCATTATTTCTTCATTCTGCACGATGTCCGGGAACAGAGTTGCATTTTTCATGAGTATTGTTTCATGGATTGAGAACATGAATTTCACACCTGCACTTTTAGCCATGTGCAGAGACCTTGAGTAGAGCATGTCTGGACCTCATCTACACTATCTCTCATGCCCCAAGGGAAAGAGTGGAGACTTGACTGACAGCAAACTTTGGGGAATTAATGAACGTTAATATTTTCTTATAGACTAATAAACATATTGGGCTAGAAGATCTACTCAATGGGAAAAGTAAGGTTTTAGTTATCCCTGTTGAAAGTTTTTTTTTTTTTCATTTATTTTGCTGCATTTGAAAAGCTGGTGATCTTAACATTGCCTATATTTTTAATAATCTTAAGATTTTTTAGTTTTTATGTTTTGTTAGGGATCAGGCAATGGAAGATGCATATTTATAGATGAAACTTACAATATAAGGTAAATATTGACTTACTAATAGTTATGCGAGAATATTTATTTGATCCCAATTTTATATAGTTGAGTGTGTGAAGTTGCAGGTCAAGATAACTTGGAGTTTCAACACCAAGTTTTATTCATGTGTTCATTCATGAACAGGATGCCTCCAATGTGGAGAAATTTACAATGAATAAGCATGAATAGGACCTGGCCAGTGAGCTTTCAGTCTAGCAAGGAATGTAGAACAGGAACATAGCAACTCTAATCCAATGTAGAGAGAGAGACAATTTTAAATCCAATTGAAAAATAAATAGCTGTGTTAGACTGAGGCCATCAAATAAAGCTTCATGCAATAAGTAGCAATAGGTCTTCAAAGATGACAGTTTAGCAAAAGGCACAAAGATGAAAAGTGCAGAGCATTAAGTAGTGTATGGTTTAGTGTGCTGGAAATAACAGGTTGGACAAGAGTTGTGACTAGGATAAACAGCAAAAAGGATTTATGAGAGCCTGATGGCCACTAGTGACTGGGTAAGATGTGTACACTTTCTGTGCAGGAAAAGGGACAAAGCTTTTGAGCAGCAGAGAAACATGATCAGAGGGATGCATGAGGAAGGTCCTGAAAACCCTAATGAGTAATCTTGGTTAAACCATTTCACTATAACTCAAGTTTTGCATGTATATACTATAATAGAAACAACATTTGTGCTCTTCCCATATGTAGAGAGGTCAAAAGAAAATCTGTTCATATAATCTTCCAAGCCAGTCACAAAGACTAAGACAAAACACTTACATAAATAAAATTCATAAGATGAATTTTAAAAGATGAAAGATAGTCAATACATTTTATTTTATAACTTGGAAATTTAAACTCCTGAAAATATACCTTAATTTAAAATACGGAGGAAAGGAACAAAATCAATGTGCAAAAATCACAAGCATTCTTATACACCAATAACAGACGAACAGAGAGCCAAATCATGAGTGAACTCCCATTCACAATTGCTTCAAAGAGAATAAAATACCTAGGAATCCAACTTACAAGGGACGTGAAGGACCTCTTCAAAGAGAACTACAAACCACTGCTCAATGAAATAAAAGAGGACACAAACAAATGGAAGAACATTCCATGCTCATGGGGAGGAAGAATCAATATCGTGAAAATGGCCATACTGCCCAAGGTAATTTATAGATTCAATGCCAACCCCATCAAGCTACCAATGACTTTCTTCACAGAATTGGAAAAAACTATTTTAAAGTTCATATGGAACAAAAAAGGGCCCGCATTGCCAAGTCACTCCTAAGCCAAAAGAACAAAGCTGGAGGCATCACGCTACCTGACTTCAAGCTGTGCTACAAGACTACAGTAACCAAAACAGCATGGTACTGGTACCAAAACAGAGATATAGACCAATGGAACAGAACAGAGCCCTCAGAAATAATGCCGCATATCTACAACCATCTGATCTTTGACAAATCTGACAAATACAAGAAATGGGGAAATGATTCCGTATTTAATAAATGGTGCTGGAAAAACTATTATAATTGATAAAAAAATTCTGTAAATTTGCAGAATACAACACCTACATACAAAAATTGGTGGCATTGCTAAATGCAAACAGCAAAAAATCAATAAAGCATTTTGTTTATAATAGCTAAAAATTATATTTCATATTACCAAATAAGTGAAAGATTTCTAAAAGAAAACCAAAAATGATTGATAATAAAATATAAAGCAAACACACACAAATTGAAAATATATCTGAAATATTCCATGTTCATGGTTCAGAAAAATTAATAGTTATTTTTTTCTTTCTTTTTTTATAATAATTTAAGTTCTAGGGTCCATGTGCACAACGTGTAGGTTTGTTACATATGTATACATGTGCTATGTTGGTGTGCTGCACCCATTAACATTACATTAGGTGTATCACCTAATGCTATCCCTCCCAGCTCCCACGACCCCATGACAGGCCCCGGTGTGTGTGTGATGTTCCCCACCCTTAGTCCAAATGTTCTCATTGTTCAATTCCCACCTATGAGTGAGAACATGCGGTGTTTGGTTTTCTGTCCTTGTGATAGTTTGCTCAGAATGATGGTTTCCATTTTCATCCATGTCCCTACAGAGGACATGAACTCATCCTTTTTAATGGCTGCATAGTATTCCATGGTGTATATGTGCCACATTTTCTTAATCCAGTCTATCACTGATGGACATTTGGGTTGGCTCCAAGTCTTTGCTATTGTCAATAGTGACACAATAAACATAAGTGTGCATGTGTCTTTATAGCAGCATGATTTATAATCCTTTGAGTATATACCAAGTAATGGGATTGCTGGGTCAAATGGTATTTCTAGTTCTAGATCCTTGAGGATCACCAAACTGTCTTCCACAATGGTTGAACTAGTTTACAGTCCCACCAACAGTGTAAAAGTGTTCCTATTTCTCCACGTCCTCACCAGCGCCTGTTGTTCCCTGACTTTTTAATGATTGCCGTTCCAACTGGTGTGAGATGGTATCTCATTGTGGTTTTGATTTGCATTTCTCTGATGGCCAGTGATGATGAGCCTTTTTTCATGTGTCTGTTGGCTGCATAAATGTCTTCTTTTGAGAAGTGTCTGTTCATATCCTTCGCCCAATTTGTGATGGGGTTGTTTGTTTTTTTCTTGTAAATTTGTTTGAGTTCATTGTAGATTCTGGGTATTAGCCCTTTGTCAGATGAGTAGATTGCAAAAATTTTCTCCCATTCTGTTGGTTGCCTGTTCACTCTGATGGTAGTTTCTTTTGCTGTGCAGAAGCTCTGTAGTTTAATTAGATCCCATTGGTCAATTTTGGCTTTTGTTGCCATTGCTTTTGGTGTTTTAGACATGAAGTCCCTGCCCATGCCTATGTTCTGAATGGTATTGCCTAGGTTTTCTTCTAGGGTTTTTACAGTTTTAGATCTAACATTTAAGTCTTTAATCCATCTTGAATTAAGTTTTGTGTAAGGTGTAAGGAAGGGCTCCAGTTTCAGCTTTCCACAAATGGCTAGCCAGTCTTCCCAGTACCATTTATAAATAGGTAATCCTTTCCCCATTTCTTGTTTTTGTCAGGTTTGTCAAAGATCAGATGGTAGTAGATGTATGGTATTTTCTGAGGGCTCTGTTCTGTTCCATTGGCCTATACCTCTGTTTTGGTGCCAGTACCATCCTGTTTTGGTTACTATAGGCTTGTAGTATAGTTTGAAGTCAGGTATTGTGATGCCTCCATCTTTGTACTTTTGGCTTAGGATTGACTTGGCAATGTGGGCCCTTTTTTGGTTCCATATGAACTTTAAAGTAGTTTTTTCCAATTCTGTGAAGAAAGTCATTGGTAGCTTGATGGGGATGGCATTGAATCTGTAAATTACCTTGGGCAGTATGGCCATTTTCACGATATTGATTCTTCCTATTCATGAGCATGGAATGTTCTTCCATTTGTTTGTATCCTCTTTTATTTCGTTGAGCAGTGGTTTGCAGTTATCCTTGAAGAGATCCTTCACATCCTTTGTAAGTTGGATTCCTAGGTATTTTATTCTCTTTGAAGCAATTGTGAATGGGAGTTCACTCATGATTTGGCTCTCTGTTTGTCTGTTATTGGTGTATAAGAATGCTTGTGATTTTTGCACACTGATTTTGTATCCTGAGACTTTGCTGAAGTTGCTTATTAGCTTAAGGAGATTTTGGGCTGAGATGATGGGGATTTCTAAATATACAATCATGTCATCTGCAAAGAGGGACAATTTGACTTCCTCTTTTCCTAATTGAATACACTTTATTTCTTTCTTCTGCCTGATTGCCGTGGCCAGAACATCCGACACTATGTTGAATAGGAGTGGTGAGAGAAGTCATCCCTGTCTTGTGCCAGTTTTCAAAGGGAATGCTTCCAGTTTTTGCCCATTCAGTATGATATTGGCTGTGGGTTTGTCCTAAATAGCTTTTATCATTTTGAGATACATACCATCTATACCTAATTTATTGAGAGTTTTTAGCATGAAAGGTTGTTGAATTTTGTCAATGGCCTTTTCTGCATCTGTTGAGATAATCATGTGGTTTTTGTCTTTGGTTCTGTTTATATGCTGGATTACGTTTATTGATTTGTGTATGTTGAATCAGCCTTGCATCCCAGGGATGAAGCCCACTTGATCATGGTGGATAAGCTTTTTGATGTGCTGCTGGATTCGGTTTACCAGTATTTTATTGAGGATTGTTGAATCTATGTTCATCAGAGATATTGGTCTAAAATTCTCTTTTTTTGTTCTGTCTCTGTCAGGCTTTGGTATCAGGATGATGCTGGCCTCATAAAATGAGTTAGGGAGGATTCCCTCTTTTTCTATGGATTGGAATAGTTTCAAAAGGAATGGTACCAGCTCCTCCTTATACCTCTGGTAGAATTCCGCTGTGAATCTGTCTGGTCCTGGACTTTTTTTGGTTGGAGTCTATTAATTATTGCCTCAATTTCAGGGCCTGTTATTGGTCTATTCAGGGATTCAACTTCTTCCTGGTTTAGTCTTGGGAGGGTGTATGCGTCCAGGAATTTATCCATTCCTTCTAGATTTTCTAGTTTATTTGCATAGAGGTGTTTATAGTATTCTCTGAGGGTAGTTTGTATTTCTGTGGGATCGGTGGTGATATCCCCTTTACCATTTTTTATTGCATCTATTTGATTTTTCTCTCTTTTCTTCTTTATTAGTCTTGCTAGTGGTCTATCAATTTTGTAGATCTTTTCAAAAAACCAGCTCCTGGATTCATTGATTTTTTGAAGGGTTTTTTGTGTCTCTGTCTCTTTCAGTTCTGCTCTGATCTTAGTTATTTCTTGCCTTCTGCTAGCTTTTGAATATGTTTGCTCTTGCTTCTCTAGTTCTTTTAATTGTGATGTTAGGGTGTCAATTTTAGATCTTTCCTGCTTTCTCTTGTGGGCATTTAGTGCTATAAATTTCCCTCTACACACTGCTTAAATGTGTCCCAGAGATTCTGGTATGTTGTGTCTTTGTCCTCATTGGTTTCAAAGAACATCTTTATTTCTGGCTTCATTTCATTATGTACCCAGTAGTCAGTCATTCAGGAGCAGGTTGTTCAGTTTCCATGTCGTTCTTTCCTTCCTTCCTTCTTTCCTTTCTTCCTTCTTTCCTTCCTTCCTTCCCTCCTTCTTTACTTCCTTCCTTCCTTCCTTCTTTCCTTCCTTATTTTTTTCCTTCCTTCCTTCCTTCTTTCCTTCTTTCTTTTTTGACAGAGTTTCAGTCTTGTCACCCAGGCTGGAGTGCAGAGGCACAATCTCAGCTCACTGCAACCTCCACCTCCTGGGTTCAAGTGATTCTCCTGCCTCAGCTTTGCGAGTAGCTGGGAATACAGCCACCTGCCATCATGCCCGGCTAATTTTTGTATTTTTAGTAGAGACAGGGTTTCGTCATGTTGGCCAAGCCCGTCTCGAAGTCCTAACCTCAAGCGATCCACCCAGCTCGGCCTCCCAAAGTGCTGGGATTACAGGTGTGAGCCACTGCACCCGGCCTTTTTTTTTTTTTATTTTTTGATAAAAGTCATCTTAACTGAGGTGAGATGGTACCTTCTACCATTCTGTAGGCTGTTTGTGAACCATGTTGATTATTTCTTTTTTCTGTGCAGAAGATCTTTAGTTCAGCTAAATCCCATTTGTCTATTTTTGTTTTCATTGCATTTGCTTTTGCAGTCTTAGTCATATTTTATTTGCCTAGGGCAATGTCCCGAGAATTTTCCTTACATTTTCTTCAAGTATTTTTATAGTTTCAGTTTATACTTATAAATATTGAATCTATATTCAGTTAATGTTTGCCTCTGGTGAGATAGAAGTCTGGTTTTATTCTTCTACGTAAGGCTGTCTAATTCTCCCAGCACCACTTATTGAATAGAGGGTTGTTTCTCCAGTGAATATTTTTGTCAGTGTTGTCAAAGAAAAGTTGGTTGTAGATATTTGGCTTTATTTCTGGGCTCTCTATTCTCTTACATTAATTTTTTTTTAGATAGGATTTTTCTGTCATTGTCCAGCCTGCAGAGTAATGGCACGATCTCGGCTCACTGCAACCTCTGCCTCCTGTGTTCAAGTGATTCTCCACATCTTTGGCACTGCCCTAGTAGAGGCTGTCCGTGGTGGCTCCACTCCTGCATCAGGCTTCTTCCTGGGCACATAGTTCTCTATATACATCTTCTGATATCTAGATAGAAGCTGCCCAGCCTCCTTCACTCTTCCATTCTGTATATCTGCCATAATCCAGTTGTCCCAACACCATTTACTGAATACAGAGATTTTTCCTCATTGCTTGTTTTTGTCAGCCTTATCAAATATAAGATGGTTGTATATGTGCAGCTTTATTTATTTCTGTTTTCTATTTTGTCCCATTTTTCCTGCATGTCTTCTCATGTACCAGTACCAAGCTGTTTTTGTTACTGTGACTTTATGGTGTAGTTTAAAGTCGGGTATCATGATGCCTCTGGCATTGCTCTTTCTGCTTAGGATTGCTTTGGCTATTCAGGCTGTTTTTGGTTCCATGCAAATTTAGAATATATAAAATTTTTCTAATTCTGTGAAGAATGATGGTGATAGTTTTATGTAAATTGTATTGAATCTGTAAATTGCTTTGGACAGTATGACAATTTTTACAATACTGATTCTTCCAACCATGAGCATGAAATGTTTTCCCATTTGTTTGTGTCATTTGTGATTTCTTTCTGCTGTGTTTTGTAGTTCTCCTTGTAGAGATCTTTCACCTTGTTTGTTACCTGTATTTCCAGGCATTTCATATTTTGTGTGTGTGAATATTGTAAGTGTGATAGGATTGTGTTCTTGATTTCAGTCTCAGCTTGGACGTAGTTGGGGTATAGAAATGCTAGATTTTTGTACATTGATTTTGTATCCCAACACTTTACCAAAGTTGTTTATCTATTCTAGAATTATTTTGGCAGGGTCTTTAGAATTTTGTA
This sequence comes from Homo sapiens, assembly GCF_000001405.40. Taxonomy (NCBI): domain Eukaryota; kingdom Metazoa; phylum Chordata; class Mammalia; order Primates; family Hominidae; genus Homo; species Homo sapiens. Next base: position 1,279,041 of record NT_187383.1, on the reverse strand, counting down.
GGTATAGAATTATATCATCAGTTTGGAGAGATACATTGACTTCTTATTTTTCTATTTGGATTCTGTATTAGTCCATTCGCACACTATAAAGAAACACCTGAGACTGTGTGATTTATAAAGATTTTTAATTGTTTCATGGTTCTTCAGGCTGTACAGGAAGCATGCCTGGGGAGGCCTCAGGATCCTGACAATCAGTACAGAAAGGGAAGCATCATGTCCTACATGGCTGGAGCAGGAGGAAGAGAGACAAGGGAGGTGCCACATACTTTGAAACCAGATCTCCTGAGGGCTCTATCATGGGATCAGCACAAGAGAGAGAGAGACTCATCCCCATGATCTAATCGCCTTTCACCAGGCCCCACCCTCAACACTGGGAATTACAATTTGACATTTAATTTGAGTGGGGACACAAATTCAAACCATATCAGCTGCCTTTTATTTTGATATTGCTCGGTTGCGCTGACTAGGATTTCTAGTACTATGTTCAATAGCAGTGGTGAGAGGGCATCTTGGTCTTCTTTCACTTCTAAAGGGTTTTGAGCTTTTGCTCACTCAGTATAATGTTGACTGTGGGTTGGTCATAGATGGCTCTTATTATTTCGAGGTATATTTTTTTGATGCCTAGTCTGTTAAGGGTTTTTATTATGAGTGGATGTTGGATCCTATCAAAAGCTTTCTCAGCATCTATTGAGATAATCATACAGTTTTTGTTATTATTCTGCTTACATGGTGAATCACAGTTACTGAATTGTCGATGTTGAATGAACCTCGCCTTCCAGGGGTAAAGCCTACTTGATCATGATGTATTACATTTTAAAGTGCTTCTGGATTCTATTTGCTAGTATTTTGTTGAGAACTTTTAGGTCCATATTCACCAGGAATATTCATCTGATGTTTTCTTTTTTAATTATGCATCTTCCTGATTTTGTATCCCAAGAACACACAGTGAAGGATGGACAGTCTCCTCAATATATGATGTAAAAACTGGACATCCATATGCAAAAGAAATAAAATTAGACCTTCTCTAACACCATATTCAAAAATAAACTAAAATTGAACATAACCTGAAGCCACAAACTCATAGACCACATGGAAAAAAACTTCCTGTCATTGATTCAGAAATGATTTCTTTGAATTTAATAGAAAAAAGCACAGGAAAAAAACTATGTGCAATTATATATCTGACATAAGTTCTATCCAAAAGTATAAATAACTCATGCAACTCAATAGCAAATAACAAATGATCTGATAAAAAGGGCAAAAACTGGATAGGTTTTTCTTCAGAAAACACACACATGGAAAACAGAGCCTAAAAGGGTTCTCAACATTACTAATTATCAGAGGAATTCAAATCAAAATCATGATGAGATATCACCTCCCACCACTTAAAATGGCTGTTATCAGCAAGACATATAACACATATTGGCAAGAATGTGCTGAAAAGGGAATCCTTTTAGGGTGTGGTAGGATTGATTACTCAATAAATTGAAAAATAAAGCTATCATATCATCTGGTGATCCCACTTCTTGTTATTTATTCAAAGAAGTAAAATTACTATGTTAAACACATGCTGATTGTAAGATTATTTATAATAGTGTAGATTTGTAAAAGAATTTAATGACCATAGATTGATGAATGTATAAAGAAAATGTGTATACATAAAACTGAATTTTATTCAGCTTTGAAAAGAAGGAAATTCTGACATTTGCAACAACATGGATGGGCCTGGAGGATATGATGCTAAGTGGAATAAGCCAGATGCAGAAAGACAAATGCTGCATGATCTCATTTACATGTGGGATCTAAAATACCCAAGCTCTTGAAAGCAGAGAGTAAAATAATGGGTCCCAGGATGCGGGAGGAGAGGGAAATTGGGTGATGTTTAAAGTGTACAGAATTTCAGGTGTGCAGGTTGAATGAGTTCTGGAGATCTAATGTACAGCAATGTTCCTGTATTTAATACTGTGTTATAAAAGTGATTTTTGCTGAAAGGGTAGATCTTAGATATTCTCCCCTCACACACACACACACTCCATTTAAAAAAAATGTATGTGAGATGATAGATACACAAATTACCTTGATCATGATGAGCATTTTACAATGTGTATCTGATATGGTTTGCAACTTGTCCTGGCCTGAATCTCGTGTTGTATTATAACCCTCAATCCTGAAGCTGGGACCCAGTGGGAGAGGCTTGGGTCAGGGGGTGGGTCTTTCATGAATGGTTTAGCACCGACTCTTGGTGCTGTTCTCATAATATTGTGTGAGTTATCATAAGATCTGTTTGTCTAACTGTGTAGACCTCCCTCTCTTCCTGTGGCCCCTGCTCTGGCCATGTGACGTGTCTACTACTATTTGTCTTCTGCTATGGTTCTAACTTTCCTGAGTATCACCAGAAGGAGAAGCCACTACACTTCCTGTACAGTCTGCAGAAAAATGAGCCAATTAAGCATCTATTTTTTTGTTTCAAATTACTCAGTCTCAGGCATTTCTTTATAGCAGTGTGAGACTGGACTAACACAATATCAAAACATGAAGTGGTGCACCTTAAACATATACATTTAAAAATATTTCAGTTGTACCTCAGTAAAACTGAAAAAAATAAAGTTACTTTTATAATAAATAAATACCATGCTCATGGATAGGAAGAATCAATATTGTTAAAATGGCCATACTGCCCAAAGCAATTTATACAGTCAATGCTATTCCCATCAAGCTACCATTGACTTTCTTCACAGAGCTAGAAAAAACTACCTTAAACTTCATATGAAACTAAAAACAGCCCGTATAGCCAAGACAGTCCTAAGCAAAAAGAACAAAGCTGAAGGCATTATGCTACATGACTTCAAATTATACTATAAGGCTACAGTAACAAAAACAGCATGATACTGGTACCAAATCAGTTATATAGACCAATGGAACAGAACAGAGGCCTCAGAAATAACACCACACATCTACAACCATCTGATCTTCAACAAACCTGACAAAAACAAGCGATGGGGAAATGATCCCTATTTAATAAATGGTGCTGGGAAAACTGGGTAGCCATATGGAGAAAACTGAAACTGGATCCTTTCCTTACACCTTATACAAAAATTAACTCTAGATGCATTAAAGACTTAAATGTAAAACCTAAAACCACAAAAACCCTAGAAGAAAACATAGGCAGTATCATTCAGGACATAGGCATGGGCAAAGGCTTCATGACTAAAACACCAAAAGCAATTACAACAAAAGCCAAAATTGACAAGCAGGATCTAATTAAACTAAAGAGCTTCTGCTCAGCAAAAGAAACTATCATCAGAATGAACAGGCAACCTACAGAATGGGAGAAAATTTTTGCAATCTATCCATCTGACAAAGTTCTAATATCCAGAATCTACAAGGAACTTGAACAAATTTACAAGAAAAAAAACCAAACAACCCCATCAAAAAGTGGGTGAAGGACATGAACAGACACTTCTCAGAAAAAGACATTTATGCAGCTAACAAACATATGAAAAAAAAAGCTCATTATCACTGGTCATTAGGGAAATGCAAATCAAAATCACAATGAGACACCATCTCATGCCAGTTAGAATGTTGATCATTAAAAAGTCTGGAAACAACAGATGCTGGTGAGAATGTGGAGAAATAGGAACACTTTTACACTGTTGGGGGGAGTGTAAATCAGTTCAACCATTGTGGAAGACAGTGTGGAAATTCCTCAAGGATCTAGAACGAGAAATACCATTTGACCCAGCAGTCCTATTACCGGGTATATACCCAAAGGGTTATAAATCATTCTACTATAAAGACACATGCACATGTATGTTTATTGCAGCACTATTTACAATAGCAAAGATGTGGAACCAACTCAAATGTCCATCAATGATAGACTGGATGAAAAAATGTGGCATATGTACACCATGAACTACTATGCAGCCATAAAAAAGAATGATTTCAGGTCCTTTGCAGGGACATGGATGAAGCTGGAAGCCATCATCCTCAGCAAACTAACACAGGAACAGAAAACCAAACGCCACATGTTCTCACTCATAAGTGGGAGTTGAACAATGAGAACACATGGACACAAGGAGGGGAACATGACACACTGGGATGTGTCGGGGAGAAAAAGCATTAGGAAAGGGGAGGGAGAGCATTAGGACAAATACCTAATGCACGAGGTGCTTCAAACCTAGATGACAGATTGATAGGTGCAGCAAACCACCACGGCACATGTGTACTTATGTAAGAAACCTACATGTTCAGCACATGTATCCCAGAACTTAAAGTAAAATTTAAAATAGAAATAAATAGTAATCAAAAATAAAAAAGAAATACATACTTCATATTTTCTTAACAAAAATGAAACAATATAGGAAAACCTACACTAATATATTTGAAACAGCTTTGCCTATAATATTCATAAAATGGAAACAAATTTAAAGTACATCAACAGGAAAATAAATCAAAATATTCTCATTTATTTACTTAATGCACTGACTCAGATATAAAATCTTTCTCCTTCCTCTCTCTCTCTCCATAAGTACATGAAAACTTTGAGGTTTCATATCAGAGTCAGTCTACGAATCGAATAAATGACAATATGTTGATCTAATTTTATACATTAAATAGTATGAATTAATCTCAAAAATATCAAAGCCCCTTTTGAAAAAAAGGTCTATAATGTTTGATTCCATTTATATAAAGTTCAAAACAGAAAATAAATGGATCTGTAGTGTCAGAAATCAAAACGTTTCCCCTTGCAGGAGTTGACCGCAAGAACAGGGAAAACCCGCGATGTGGGGATGGACTTGCTCTTCAGCTACCTTAGGTATTGAGAACAAGGGTATTCACATTTGCCAGAAACTCTCTAGTGATACATTTCAGATCTATGCATATTTTATTATATGTAAATTTTATCTCATAAAAACAAAAAATAAACTGTAGAATAGTTTAAAATTCAGTAAATAATAAAATTAATATTAAAACCCTATCCAAAATATGAACATTATTATATGAATTAATAAAATGCATTCAAGTATATGTACTAAAATTAAATCCCAGAAATCAAAAAGACAAAGGTAACATCTTAAACTTAATAATTGATATGCATGCATTTCATAGAGAAGAAAAAAAGTCAAGACATGAGGAACATATATTCCTTTTTTCCAATCAAATGTAATTAAATTATTTATACAATATTTTAACCTGTGTCATTAGTATAAATTACTAATATTTTGTGTGATATTACAACTGATAACAACTTTTAAAGAAAAAAAAAGATGCTTGAGAGCACGCGAACTAAATTGAATGTATTCTCAAAGTTGGTCCAACTATTACACTTCAAAGTTCTAATAATACCCTGGTTTGAGTGGGACTTTGAAAAAATTAATTTTAAGAGATAAATTTAAAAAATAAACTGATAATCTGTAATAAAGAGAAATCAGCATTCCATATCAGAGAAAAATGAAAATTTGCAATACATGTAAAATCCTGAGAAGAAACCTTGAAGCACGGAAAGGGTCTCATGTATAGTAGGTTGTAATACGTCTATCGTTAAAATTATCACCTTTATGTTGTTTTGAAAAATTAAAGCTAAGCATAATGAAATTAATGTTTTTGTGCTCATCTGGTATAACAGCATGTTGAGAAAATGGAAGAGCCCTGTAACCCTGAGGAGGTGGCTTAATCCAAGGAGAGGCATCAGATTTAAAAATATATAATTAAAATTTCATTGAAAATGGAGAAATTTTGGTTGTATACATTTATGGGGCACAAAGCTATGTTATGGTTTGTGAATGCAATATGGAATAATTGAATCGAGTTAATTCACATATATATTACCTCAATTCGTCAAATCCTTATCTTTTTTGTGACAAGAACATTTGTAATTTTTTCTTGACTATTTTAAAATGACAAATACACTATGTTAAAGCTTAGAAATAGACATCCATTTATGTAAACTATAGAGAACTGTTGAAATCAATTATAGATTACTCTAATTTATATTTAGCTCATCATTAAGTTTAATTCTTTAGAAAATATTTTAGAATTATTTTGTTATAATGTTAAATATAAATGACTACACATGTATGTATAGGCTTGTGTATTTACACATATGTCTGCAGATGTAAATTAATGTCCCCATAGGTATGTAGTTGCTGGTATGGACAGACATTAATAAAACTAGGCCGGGCGTGGTGGCTCATGCCTGTAATCCCAGCACTTTGGGAGGCCGAGGTGTGCAGATCACGAAGTCAGGAAATCGAGACCACACTGGCCAACATGGTGAAACCCCGTCGATACTAAAAATACAAAAATTAGCCAGGCATGATGGCGCGCACCTGTAATCCCAGCTTCTCGGGAGGCTGAGGCAGGAGAATTGCTTGAACCTGGGAGGTGGAAGACGTTGCAGTGAGCTGAGATCGTGCCACTGCACTCTCCAGCCTGGCGACAGAGCAAGACTCCGTCTCAAAAAATATTTATAATATGAGCATGATTATATTGACAAATATAAAATAAAATATCATAATGGCAACAATCAATTTTACCTGTCACCTTGACTAGACCGTAGTCTCATCTATTCAATCACACAGTAGCCTAGGTGTTGCTCCCATGGCATAATACAGGTGTTAGTGGAGCCTGCCATTATTTTTTCCTAAGTCACGAAGAGTGTTCTAGATAATCTAGTTGGGACTGATTCAAAGACAGCATAACAGAAGACGATGGGGCTCCGTGGTGGACGGCAGATGCAGATCTTCCCAGGAATTCCAGCCTGTCTTTCCCGAAGGCCAGTAGTATTGACCTTAAACTGCCTAGCCAGATTCTACAATTATTTTTACCCAGAGCTCACAGCACAATGGAGTGCCCATCCCCAGCTCTTCTCAAAGTCACAGGTGAGAGTCCAAACTCAGATAGTGTGAGAAGCACAAGATCAGCTCTACATCAATATCCCATTGGAGAAAACTAGTATTATTCCCTTCATGGCTAATGTCCACTACATTTTCCAAATGCCTCCATGCACAGAAGACAACAGGAGTGTCCAGACAATGGTGAGTGAGAAAGTCCCCTCAGCCTACCCAGGTCCTGCAGACCCAAGCCCTGGAATTTTGACTACAGAAAACACATCTTCTGTTTTCAGCGAAGAGAAGAAGAAAGGGAACTGTGAGAATCAAGTCTACAGAGATGGAAAATGGATCAGCAGAAAGAGGGTCAGCTGAATCAGTCTGAGTCAGATGGGCACAGTTTTACAAGTTGAGAGGGGATAGCTGTGAAAACCATCAGGTTTTAAGGACCCTGACCCTGGGTGAGCCTCTCTCTTGGCTCCCATCAGAGCTCAAGGCCTGTTCTAATCAGAGATTCCCATGGAGGTCTCTGCTCTGAGTCTAATTGGAAAACACTCTCCAGGTTTCCCTGAGATTCCTCAGGACTCTCATCCTGACCATGAAAGGATTATTTCTGCCCCCAAAGTGACACGCTGGCTTCTGTGGAGGTGAGGGTGTTTCCTCTTGTTACAAAAACAAAGGAACAAAAAAAAAAAAACCGTTTTCCATTTAGAGACATCAAATGTTAGTATAGAATTGTAAATCTGGAGAAGTTCCCTGGGGAAATTTGACGATGAGGCTGCCCCAGGCCATGGCAGAAAGCCAGCCCTCAGCAGCACCTGCACCTGCCCTGGAGACAGCCCCGTGCACAGTGTCCTGGCGCCCCCTAGTCGTCTCTGGGACCCCTTCAGGGAGGTTTGTGCCTGGGCTCTCACTGACTTCCCCTCACTCTGTGTTTCACACAGTAATACACAGCCGTGTCCTCGGCTCTCAGGCTGTTCATTTGCAGATACAGTGAGTTCTTGGCGTTGTCCCTGGAGATGGTGAATCGGCCCTTCACAGAGTCTGCGTAGTTTGTGTAACCACTATTACCACTAATGTATGAAACCCACTCCAGTCCCTTCCCTGGAGCCTGGCGAACCCAGCTCGTGTAGTGGTTACTGAAGGTGAATCCAGAGGCTGCACAGGAGAGTCTCAGGGACCCCCCAGGCTGTACCAAGCCTCCTCCAGACTCCACCAGCTGCACCTCACACTGGGCACTTGCAAACACAGAGACAACCTGGTCAGAAACTGCCACATATATTCACTGCTTATCTCACTCACGTCCTCTCAATGTCTCTAGTTCGCCATAAATCACCTTTTATAATAGCAACAAGGAAAACCCAGTTCAGCCCGAACTCCATGGTGAGTCCTCTGTGTTCAGTGCTGATCACCAGATGGAAATTCCTGGGAATTCTGGGGCTGGGGCTCTTCTCCCAGAGCTGCAGGGTCAGGGCTGGGCTGGTTTTTATCAGCAGACGGAGGGCCCTATTTGCATGTCTCCTACTATATAGCAAGCTCTGTGGTGGGACAGCTGAGGAGAGGGCAGTGCTCAGAGAAGATGAGAGCATCCCAGAAAACATTGGAGGTAATCCTATCTCTCAGGAAAATATAACTTCAGATTATGTGATTGTGCCTTGATGATCAATTAGCAGTCATCATCTTATTTAATGTTTACACATTTGCAGAATATATTCAGTGCAAGTGTCAATGTTACATTTGTAGAGAAGATGAATTACATACATAACAGAGCAGTTGTGCAATGTGTCCAATATCACACATCTGGCCAGAGTTAGCCCTATTACCTGTGTCTGTGCCTCTAAACACTGGAGGAGACTGCTCCCCTGAGACAGCTCCAGGGCGATGTGGGACATGCCTAGTGAGGTTTTCAGGATGTCCCACCTGTCATAACAACTTTATGTGACTTTGCTTTTTCTAGTGTTTACCTGAAATATGCAATCAGTGTTCACATGTGTGTATTTTCAGGAGTCCGTGATTATTCAAGTGTCAATATTCATCTCTTTCTTCCTCTTCCTCAGCCAATATACTCATTTTTTGTTACTGCTTTATTCAAAAATTCAATCCATAGTGAATTCAAATTTATAGTGTACAATTTGGAAAATGTTGGTATATGTGTGCAGCCTTTGAATCAGCACTTCAATCATGCTATTAGCAATTAAATTAACCTCTAATTTTTTTCTCTCACTTCCCTGTAATTTTATTTCACCATCTTGTTACTCTCACCACACTTTTCTCAGAAAAATTCAGATCTTCTCCATGTTAATTTAGAATAGTTGCATTTTCTACAATTTATACAAATGAAATCACAGGAGATTTACTGTGAATTCTTTAGCTTCCTACACTCAGCACAATTATTTGATAATGTCCTCACATTCTTATGTGACTGAGGCATGCCTTGATTTCAATTGTTCATTGTATTTCAGTATATGAATATTTCTCAAATTGTTTAACAATGCACCAAATAGTGGATATTTGATATTTTGTCTTCGTTTCTGAATTTTATTTAGAAAGCAAATACTAAGCATGGGAATGTAAAAAAATTGAGAAAATGATCTTCTTCTGACCTCATTAATAAGAAACTTGAACAACTACGAAAAATGAACGCTTCAACATATCTGAGTTGATGTCACAGAGAAAAAAACCCTGAAATCTGAGAAATAGGGGCCTGCAGAGAGAACTAGGGTCCATTTATTAGAGTACCTGGAGCAGGTGCCACTCGTTGTATAGTATTGAAGATAGGAAAAAGCTAACCTGGAAATGTTTCATGAGTTGTTGAGGATGTATGTGCTAAGGGTGTGAGAGTGTGAAACTCCCGGCACTTGCAGGCTTTTCCTACAGAATTGGGGAAATCCCCAGACAAGTCACCCACCTGCTGTCCTGTGGTGTTGACTGGGGAGGAAGAATAGCAGCTGTGTTCAATGCTGAATCCCCCTTCACGATATGTGGGAGACATTTATTAAATCTTGTGTCCTTCAGGCACTGGTAGAATCAACTAGAACACAAGGAAACAGAGGACACCAAGGAAACTCTACCCAGAATCACCTCCCATCTCTTTCCTGAGGAATGAAGTCCTGAGTCTGTGGGGTAAGGACAGTGGGTCAGAAGCTGAGGACACTGACGAAAAACCACTGTGGCTGGGAAGAGACACTCTGACTTGGAGAAGGGAAGGAACAGGAACACTTGGAAGACCATGCTTCAGAGCCACTCTCACCACCCATAGCTAAGAAGGAGGCTCGGTCCGAAGGTTGGAGAACATCCCCCTGTGTCCAAGCCCCTTCACCCCACAAACAATCACCAAGTAAAAGTGTCAGCAGGATGCACCTGCCACAGATGAAAGAGACAGGCTCTCTCTGGGGAGAGAAATGGGAAGAGCCAAACCGGGACACAAAAGTGGGTATCACTGGAGGAACCTGAACTTTTTGTGAACAGGAGAAGCTGACTTCAACTCTGATAGCCGTGGCAACCATACACTTGAAATCCAACCCTGACTAGATTCATAGAAATGTGGTTAATATAGGCCCAGCAGAATGTAATGTGTGATCGTCTCCATGAATAAAATAATAAACACAAGAAAATAAATTACAAGTGAAATGCAAACTGGAATTCTACATGCATTACATTTTCATTAAAAGTGAAAGGCAAATAAAATTCTGTCATTAAAAAAAGATCTTGAGACAATTTATTGTCAGCACATTCATGCTTCAGTGCACATTTTAACAAACTTTCTCTGCTAGTAGCCATGTGATATACATTCAAAACATAAATCTATACGAAGAAATTAAGACTACAAAATGAGAAAATCAAGATGAAGTGCAGTTTTTATCTTTGTAATTGCTATATTATATAACTGTAAAAGGAATAAAAAATTACATATTTTATAGCATATGTAAGTGCAAACTGGGAATAAACAAGAAAGAGTGGTGAGAAGGAGGAATTCAAAGCACACAGTTACACTGTCTCTGTTCTTCATATCAAGGCCATCACAGTATCTGCATTAGAATCTAATTATATACAATTCTTATAGAATCTAATTATATACACTTCTTATACAATCTAATTATATACAATTCTTATTGTAAACCTTATGGTAAACAATATAATATTTATAAAAGTGAATTAGATTATATGTTAATAGAGAAATAAACGTCATTGTGAAGTGCTAATTTAAACAAGATAACAGAAAAATAATATTAGTTTAAAAATAGAACTTACTATAGTTGATTTAAAAAAAACAAGCCCCAACTAGAAGCTATGTATTAGAAAATTACAGTACATATTCACAAATGTAAAAACTAAAGATGAGAAAACATGGATTATGAAAATGTTAACCAAAATAAATCTATAGTAGCTGTGTAAAGTTAAGAAAAAATAGACATCAAAAAAGACTTTTAGGACTTAACAGGGATATTACATAGGATAAAGTTACCAGTTTTTTAAAAGATGCCAAAAATACTTAACAAGTATAGAATAGATGAAGAATGCACCATTCTTTGTGATTTACAAAACAAACATGATAAAAGAAGTAAAGATGTCAGTGAGACCGTGCACGTAACGGTGCATGTAAAAACTTCCCCTTGAATTTCTCCCTGTTGCCACCCACACCAACCCCAGGCCTGGAGTCTGCTGGCCCAAGCTGATGCTGCAATCTGTGAAGGTGAATCCAGAGTCTTTGCAGGAGGGGCTCAGTGAACCGCTGGGCTGTACAATTTTTCCCCCTCAGACTCCACCAGTGAACTTCACATAGGACTTCTGCAAACACAGAGAGAATGGACTGAGAACAGCCGCATGTGGAGCAGCCCCAGCTGGACCTGATTCACAAGGGCCACTAATACTGAGGGTGATGAGAAGGGAAGCCCAGATCAGTGCAGATCCCACAGTGTGGACACTGAGGAAGGGCACACACATGGGATGGCTCCTCACCAGGGCCTGAAGGAACAGGGGATGAGCTGCCTTTCATGAGGAGGGGAGGGGACATATTTCCATGTCTTTCTTTTTGTGGTCATGGGTGCGCCACTCGGCATTGCTCATCTGTCCTCTGTGTCTCCATTTCAGGGAGGGCAGGGTCAAAGGATTCCCGGGTCTGGAGGCACAGGGTTAATCTGCCAATTACTCTTTCTTATTCTCCAGTGTGGACGCTATTCAGGTATCTTCATAGTAGAAAACATTATCATCAAATACATCCAGTAAGAACATAAAAATACATTTCCAGAGAAAACAGACATCTCTCCGTAATCAGTACACTTAGAGCTGGAAACCACTGTTCCTGACCATGTGGCAAAGTTGAGTTACAATGAAAATAATGCAGATCTACACCTTGTTAGGGAGGGGGTTTATAATTATCATTATCTTGAGATCACTTTTCGCAACATATTTCAACATCAGATACATGGACTTGTGTCAGGAAACAGTCAATGTGGACATATGTGTACTTATCTGAGTGAAGAGTTCACATGGGGACGTGTTTGCTTGTCTGAGACAAGAGTAAACGTGAGGAAATGTCTGTTTTCTGAGGAAAGAGTAAATGTAAGGACATATGTGGTAGTCTGAGGAAAGAGTCCATGTGGGGACATGTGTGTTTGTCTGATGGAAGAATCCACATGAGTAAAGGTGTGTTTGTCTGACAGAAGAGCCCACATGTTGACAGGTGTGTGTACCCATTTGAGGGTAAATGAGCATTCAGGGGCAGGGTATGCCTGAACTCAGCTGACGTTTGGGAAAAATCTTTCTCAATCTAGGAAAGAAAAGGAATCCTCTGGGTTACTTGCTTATCAGGAAGAGAAAACCTGGGTCAAGTAGAAAATTGATTTTTTTCAAAAAAATATCTTTAGTAAATGGAAACATCTTATACGTAAATGAGGAAAATTACTTCCTCCTTTGTTGCATGCATCTCATAATATCCCCACACTCCCAAATATGTTATTAGATAATTTTGTACAGTCTGCATTTTATCCAGGGGTTAATGAATTCCTAAATATATTTTTAATTGTGTATATTTAGGTTTATATTGTCCATCACAAAATTATGAGCTGGGACAAATTAATTGTGTCTTGTCTCAACCATTGCATATCACTAAAATAGTCTTAACTCTTCTTAAACAAGGCCTGTTTTACTTATTTCACACCCACTCTCTAAATTCCTGGAATATCCTCTCTGTTTACCTGAGTATAGTTTTGACTTTTACAGAATTTCAAATAAATGAAACTATACAGTGCAATTGAAATGACTTCACTGAAGAAAGTGGAAAATGAGGTTCCTGAAGTAAGCAACTTTGAAAATGAGGTGGTTCTCTAAGTTTAAATTGTAAAGAAATCACACATAAGCACTCTATCTAGTAGATAAACATGTTTCCTACAAGGGTACAGCATTACATTTCTGAAACCGCTATGCATGTGTCCTGAAATCGTGCAACTAAGTAATCAAATGGCATATGGTTGGATGGGATTCCTCACTTTGTAGTGGATGGTTATGGACAGTCAAGAAAGGAAGGTTAGAAAGGTCCATGTGGCAGCATAGTTGGGTGGAGAGACCAGTGTGTGCTCATTTTTAATGTAATCAAGTTACAGAAGATTAGATACATAATTTCAATGGGTCCATAAACATGATTCATATAAACATGCTCATTTACTAGAACAGAAGGTTGAGAGGTCCCAGAAGTACTTATACCACATTAACAACACACATACCCATTATCACAATATTTTATTTTAACACTATTCTTTAAAATCAGAAACAAGCAATCTTTATATAAATGGCTAATTCTATGTATGAAAAAGGTGATAAAGAAACAAGCTTAGAATCTATTTTAATATCAGGAAACAGGGAAGTGTTCAAAAACAAAAGGATCAGCTTTGCTGTAAGGATGCAGGATCCAAACTAAATGAGCTCCCAGCACCTAATAAAGCTGTGGAGATTTGAACAAGAAAATGAATAATGTAGCATGGATCTTCTTCAGAGTATGAAACAGACATCCATAAACCAATATGGATGTTAATAGATGATTAAACAAAGAAACGATGGGAAGAAGAACACGTCTTCTTATAGAAGTATTCCAAATATCTCAGGCAGATATTCCTCCAATCAATAGGTGAAGGCTAAACACTCATGAGTTGATTGTGTCCTGAGATTAGAGACATGGAATAAATAATCAGTATTAGTGTATTTTATAATGAGACTTCAGATATAATGCCAAATACATGATCTATGAATGAATAATTTTTTATGTTTTTTGTCTAAATTTGTGCACACACACACACACACACACACATATTTTTTGAAATACCCACTGATAAGAGAGAAAAAGGCAACCACAGACTGGGAGAAAATACTTCCAAGTCATATATTTGTTAAATCAATTCTTTCAATTTGTTAAATGACTTTTATAATCAATATGCAAGTAAACTTACAACTAATGAAAAGAAAACAATGGAGATAAAAATGAACCAAATATCAGGAAAGGCATCTCAGCAAAAATTATATAAAAATTGTTTAATATAAATTTTTTTATTTGGGACATGTGCATTTAAATAAATATTAGATGCCATTACTCACCTATCAGCATGGCTAAAACTCACAATACTCATGATGATAAATGGTAACATGAATGTGGAAAAACAAGAAATGTCATGCATTGATGGTGGGAATTCAAAACGTTACATGCACAAAATGAGATTTTTTGGCATTTTTTAAATAGAGATAAAAGTAGAGTTAAAATGTGAACTTGTGCTTGTGTTCCGAAGTATTTACAACGTTGATTCAGAAATTGATGTTTACAAAGATTGATTCAGAGGAAGTTCTGTATCAGATTTGTTAATGTGATTCATTCTACAATCCCTGAAATTTGCTTGCAGAATAAATGTTGTATGAAAAATATCTCAAATAACTAAAATCCTGTCCACTCAAGCCCTTGTCCAGGGGCCCATCGCACCAAGTGCAAGTAGCAGTAGGTGAAGGTGTATCCAGAAGCCTGGCAGGAGACCTTCACTGAGGCCCCAGGCTTCTTCACCTCAGCCCCAGACTGCACCAGCTGCACCAGGAAGTGGGCACCTGTGGGGAGGACACAGGATGGATGAAAGCCCCCTTGACTGGACTCAATCCCCTCCTCATTACTGGGACCTGGGAACCCCTTACCTGTGGCTGCTGCCACCAAGAAGAGGATCTTGCAGGTCCAGCCCATGGTGAGATGTGCTCTCAGGGGATTCTCTCAGGGCACAGAACATATTTACCTCAGTGGATATCAGTATATTTGCATATTCATAAGACAAAGCCTTTCTTAACTCAAAGCCCAATCCGTGATAAGAAAGGGAAGATAAATGACACATCAGCCTTACAAGAGTGAGATGAAGATGGTCGAAGTCCTAATCCTGCTTGAGGAAATGCATGCCCTGCTCCATTTACAAACATTTGTGGACAGACATCCTTTCACTGAAGAATAAGCCCATATAGAACAGGCTCCTCACTGTAAGCCTATATTTGATTAGCATAGAGACCACCTGGATCATTTTTGGAACCATCACTCTCCATCACACTGAGCAGGTGCCTTGGTCTTTTCCTGGACCCATCAGGCACCAGCACAGCTCATTGCTGACTCTGAGAAAGTGACGCTTATGTCCCACATGAGTGTCCAGGAGGGACCTCTGAGATCTACTGGGTGCTCCTGAGACACTGTCTCCAGCACCTGACTCATGTCCTGATCCCCCAGGATCTTCAATTCTATTGAACACTGTTGGTTTACAGATTTGCCCTGTGATGCATAATTAGAGCTGATTTTCTCATCTCACAGAAATGGGAATCAGAAGAAGATAAAGCAGGAGTTTGGAGTCCATTATGAACTCTCTACTCCCAAAGTAATTGTCAAGGAATTTGTGTTTAGAACAATTTTGGGTTATTTTTGAACTCCATTTATTAGTATTTTGTCAAGTATTTACATACTTTCAGTTCATATCCACAGACCCTCACCTTTCCATATTGATTTCTGACTCACTTGGTCTGTGCACCTGCCACACTCTCAGATCCACTACTGCCCTGTCACTCACACAATGTAAGCAACATTACTTAACACTGAAATCTGAATTTCTTATTCATAGGAATGAAGTTTCTTCAACTAATCTGTACCCATAGAATTAGTAAAAACATGCCCATCCTTCATATTCTCACTACTAAGATATTATAGTTCTAGAAACCCACTTCAAAAAATAGTTCTCAGTGCCTTAAGTTATATGAATGGTTTTGATGTGATAGAATACCTAAAGCACGTCAGCGACTTTTTGAACAGTTATTTTAGATTGTTTTTTCCTGACAAAGGAAAACCCAGGCCCTGAGAGGAAACTTCCTCCCCAGCTGTGCACCTGCTCCAGGGCTGGAACCTGTGCTTGGTGGCTCCCAAGTGCCCCCTTTCACCCAGGCTCTTGCCTTGCAATGAGGTTTCTGTCGGGGCTCACAGATATTTTCCTTCAGAGTCTCTAGCCCAGCATGAAGTGGCTGTGTCCTGGTTTAGAATTCTCTGCCAGTGACACCATATGCTGCCGACACCATGTCTTTTAACAATTGATTAGCCTCACTAAACCTACTGAGGGATACCCACAGAAAAGATTCTATGACTCAGAAGGGAGTCCCTTTTCTGAAGCTTCACATTTCCTGAATCAGTGGACACCTAATGAATACAAAAACTTGTAGGATTTGGGGAATGCCTAGTTTCTTCGTTGGGCTCCTGCAGTTGAATGTTGCATCTGAGAATATCTGCAGGTACAGATACATTCAGAATAAAGACACCTTTGTATATGCTATTCCAATAACACATATTCTCCTTTCTTACTATTTTCTAGCCTATAAAAGCGCCTCATACACAGACACTAGGCCTAGGTTTATGGCTTTTTTCTCTTAGCGATCTAAGGCAAACAGAATACAAGTGGAGACTTGGGAAGTGCATGAATATTTTTTCTCAGCTAGGAACCCTGAAAATGCCCCATGATAAAAGAATCTGAGGTCAATGGATTTGCCAAGACCTTTTCTTCAAAAAATTTATGTCAGAGGCTTCAGATTTTCCTACTGTCCTTGTCTTTTTCTCTGCCATTGTCTTTCAGTTTCCCTATGTTCTCCTCCTCAGATAGAGTCTGTGCACTGCCACACTTTCATCTTTAACCCAGATTATACTGGTGAGAAAACAAAGTGTGCATCCTGGAAGTATTATATGTTCTTACAATTGATTCTTAATAATTCAATCATCCTTTTTTTCTCTGGGCTGTGACCTATATTCAGAGTCTCCAGAAATGAAACTGATGCTTTCCCTTTTCTGGCTGTAATATTATAGGATTATTTCAGTATCGGCTAATTTTATCCACTTTCATGATAAAGGAAGGCTGCTGGGAGGGTCTGTAATGGAGATGGACTACCTTACCCAATACAGATAAGGTTCTAGATATGTCTTTCCCCTGGATGGTCTATCTGGAGAAATGTACGTGTGTATTTCTCAGAGATTAGGTCTTTGGATGATTTATCCAGGAAAGGATCTATGTCGATTTTCACTCGAAGAACCTGGAGGTTCCTGGAGCAAATAAGCACAAGAGTGTGAGGTGTGCGGCCTCTAAGATCTCTCACCCTCACACTAGTTCAGACATGCCCTTTATGTTTACATAGTTCAGATTTACATATAACATACCACACAGCCAGGCTCATCTAAATTGCCACATGCTCATTTAAACTCATCGGAGCAGCAGCTGAGTGTAATCATCACATTGAACTCAGAGAAACCTGGGTCCAATACACTGTTTATTGTAGCTCAGAGAAGCATCACTGAGTCCCTTGAGTGGACATTTCTTCCCTGAAAGAGCTTCACTACCAAGTATACTAAAGAGTTGCTATGGAGCCACTGTGGGGTTGGATTTCTTTCTGTCAGCCTGTCATGCAGGGTGTTTTGAGTGATGCAGACCTTTATACTTAGATGCTAATCATTCCCAGTATTGTTGAAATGGCTGGCCACCCCCAGTCCTGTTTCTCCCCTCCACTCACCTGAATGTCTCCAAAAACCCCATGAACCTAAGGATTCTCTTTTCCATGGATGACTCTGAGGATTCTCAATCTGGTCAGTGCCACAGTCAGAGGCAGCTAATGCAGGATTCTCAGTCCGCTAATAAGTTGAGCCCATAATATAGGATACATATCCAAGAGTGGCCAATTCATGTCAGTGCCAATCCACATTTAATTCAAGGGGCATGATTTTCAGTGCATTGAAGTTTAAAAGCTTCATCATTCTTAATAGAGGCACAAACTGAATGGTTTGCTGAAGAAGTGAGTTCATGGTTAGAAGAAAGCTGACTGCACCCAGGCAGAGTCTCTTTAAGTAAAACGCCTGAAATGTGATGTCCTGAAACCTTGTGAAAATTCATTTCCTTGAGTAAAAAAACAGGAAAGCTATTCTCAAATCATTGGGAGAAAACTTATCAGAAATTTTATGAACACACCAGTCGAATTCCAGTAAGTCAATCCTTGGGTTTATGTTTCACAACTCAAGAAGCAATAAAGAAATCTACATAATTGGAAGGCTGCTCCAACAGAGAGAATTTTGAACTATTTAATTAATAGACCAGTATCCATTCCTATGGAATCTGCAACTTAAACAGATCTCTGCAACCTGGAAAAATTTTCTCACTTATTTTTCTCTAGACATCCATAAATGCAAAAACACATTTTGTGTGTATATGCATGAGTGATCTATAGAAATACTTTGCATATTAATGAAAGTTTGGAAAAATGATAACTTCATCACTTATTGTGAACTCATACTTCACTGGTTTCCAAAATTCTCCACCTGTGTCATGGGGCAATGGGTGCCTCTGAGAATATGCTGATTTTCAGACTGAACATGTTCTCCACTCCTCACTTGAATTCATGGTTTCTCACTCACACTGATGTCTCTGTGAATGAAAACCCAACACTGATATCCAGCAGATTTTCCTCTTACAAGATTCATATTCTCTCTATCTCTTTCTTTCTCTGCATGTCTCTAACTCCCTATTTTTCTGTGCCATTACTATTTATTACTGAATCATCCTGAATCCTGCCAACAGACTCCATCTCACATTCTGCAAATATTCTGCCTTAAAGATAATTAGGGGCAAACTCATCCTTGCCCAAGGTGGGAAAACTTTCTGGACTTCCACTAGGTTTATTAGAGCCTCATATGAGAACCATGATCAAACACTATGTGTTTTTGGATTATACCTCAAATCTAAAACTGTTCTTCATAGTGGCTATGACATTCTACATTCCCATCATTACCATTATGCAAAACAGTGTGGTGGCTTCTAAATAAATTAAAACAGACATACCATATGACCAGCGATCCAGCTTATGGAAATATACCCAAATGGGATGAAATTACCACCTTGTGAAGATACCTGCTCTCCTGTGATTATTGTAGCATTATTCACAACAGCCAAGATATGGAAACTAAGTGTCTGTCGATGGACAAATGGATAAAGACAATGTGGTATGTGTATACAATATAACATGATTCTGCCTTATAAAATAAAGAGATGCTGCCATTTTCCACAAGATGAATGGATTCCCACCACCACTAGCAATGCATTTTACCCATTTCAGCCCCTCCCTGGGAGCCGGCAGATCCAGGCCCAGTAGTAAGGACTGGTTGTGATGGAGTGGCCAGAAACAGTGCAGGTGATGCAGAGGGGCAGTGCAGGCTCTTCAGGTCCAGGGCTGACTCCTGCAGCTGCTCCTGGGACAGGGCATGTGAGTACATGGGGAATCAGTCCCTGTCAGTCACATGTACCTACACTCACCCCATAGACCCACATCTGAGACACTCACCCTGGGGGAGCCGTCACCAGGCACAGGAGAAGACAGACATAATGCCATCTTCTTCGTGAACACAACTCTGCATTCCCCAGATACCTTAGCCCTGCCTGAGGGGAGAGCTGTTAGCTTCCACAGTCCAAAAGCATTTTATACCCTGGAGCCTAAAGGATAGTTTGGATGTGGCAAGGCCTTGTACTTATACGAGAGAAGGACATAGGTCTGACTCCCTGTGGGTTTGAATATGTTTTATTGTTGTCTGTCTGTTTTCAGGTTGACATGAAGCACTTCCTTGCCAAAAACTACAGTCATGACATTTAATAAAATTTGCTTTATTCCTATTTTCCCACCTGTGACATTTGACCTTCTGTATCGAGTGAGCAATGTGCATACCTTACAGGAGAAATTACAAAATAATTCTCTAAGTCATCAGTATCACACGAATGCTACCCTGTCCTTACTGCCAAATATCTTCTGGAAAAATTTAAGTAAAAATAAATGACAAGTTGCATTCTTAAATTGAAAGTAGCATAACATTCAGAAACTCATGAAATCCTTTTGCCAAAGGTACTCCCACTAGAACTTAACAGCCCATGGTCTGCTTCCTCAAGGGCAAAGACAATATCACCCTATGACTTGATTCATCAAAAGCCCATGTATTTTCCATTTTACCTTCAGCATTATACTCTGATTTATCACATGCCAATACAGCGAAGTATTTTAGGGGATCGATGTGCTATGCAGAAATATTCAACAGGATGTTAAAAATGTCCTAAATAGCTTCTTTACTGCCATCAACTTGTAAATTATTTATTTTCCAAGAGACATCGGAGAAAAACAGTCACAAACATTGTAAAAGGGGCTAATTACAATTAACAACAAATGCAGCAGTGACTCCAGGATGTCAATCCATAGGTTTATTAGTGAAAATGAGGTGGGTTACATAAATTGTTTTGAGAGTATTTTCCTTGCTTGTAGAGTCAATACCAAGGTTGGCATCAATATAGGGTTAAACAGTGATTTGCTGGGAAGATGTCCTTGTAGATGTGATTTTTATAAGGTCATGGTGGCTTCTATCAAAGGTTGTGGTTAAGCAGAATCCATTCATGGTCGTTCTTGTTATCAGGAGTATGTGCATGGGAAACCTCCTTCATGGTCATTCCTAGTTCCTTTTGTCAGGGTTTTAACACAAGTGGATCTATTTTGATTCTGACAACTTTCACACCCTCTTTCTAACACTACTGGTGAGGAAGGTGACTCACTCTGTGGTACTTTGCACAGCACAGGATAAATTTCACATCCACATCCCATTTTGACCACACAAGCTCATCCTCTTCACTACTGTTGGCCACTTGCATTCCCAGGTGAGTCTCCACATGACACACTGGAGGGTGCTGAGCAATGGGAGAGAGAAAAGTCCTATCAGCCTCTCCCACATGGCTGCAGGAGCCACAGCCTGAGCCCCACCTCAGCTGCAGGGAATGGGCTTGAGACCTCGAGCTTTGGCAGCAAGAACCACATCCCCACTTTACAGGAAGCACGAACAGCACAAGGAAGAGCAAGAACAACAACAACAAATAAAAAGAAATAGAGTGGGCTAAGAGCAAAAGGGGCCCCAGATCAGTGCTGATACTAAGTTGCATACTTTAGTGTCAGGAGAAGGGTCAGGAATGAAAACTGTGAGGTTCTACACGACACTGACCCTGGCCCAGACTCTATTGGCTGTGATCACAATTCCTAAAGACCGTCCTAGTCAGGGAATCTCACTGAGGTTTCTGTCCTGAGTCTGACTGGAGAAGACTCACCAGGTATCCCTGAGTTTCCTCAATACTCTGATCCTGGTGACAATGGTTGAGGGCTTTTCATCTCTGTAAGCATCAATCTGTGTTTTGTGCATAGGAGAATAGGTTTTCATATTAAAATAATCATTTTAAAAATATGTAGAGATGACATTGGTAAGCACAGAATTCTGAACTTAGAGAGATTCCCTAGAGAAACTCTAAAAAGATGAAGTCCCACATCCTGACAGGAAACCAGCCTCCATCTGCAACTTGCCTCTGGCGATGACTCTGATCAGTGGGTCCTGTGTGCCCCCCGCAGCTGATTTCCCCCAAGCATTCTGCAGAGAGGTTTGTGTCTGGGCTCACACTGACTTCCCCTCACTGTGTCTCTTGCACAGTAATACACAGCCATGTCCTCGGCTCTCAGGCTGTTCATTTGAAGATACAAGGAGTTCTTGGCATTGTCTCTGGAGATGGTGAATCGGCCCTTCACGGAGTCTGCATAGTATGTGCCACCACCAGTACCAATAGCTGATACCCACTCCAGACCTTTTCCTGGAGCCTGGCGAACCCAGTGCATAGCATAGCTACTGAAGGTGAATCCAGAGCCTGCACAGGAGAGTCTCAGGGACCCCCCAGGATGTACCAAGCCTCCCCCAGACTGCACCAGCTGAACCTCACACTGGACACCTGCAAACAGAGAGACACAAAGGTCAGAAATTGCCACACATCACATACCCACTGTTTCTCTCATTCATGCCCATTCACACTCAATATCTCTAGTTCTCCATGAATCACCTTTTAATATAGCAACAAGGAAAACCCAGCTCAGCACAAACTCCATGGTGATTCCTGTGTGTTCAGTCCTGATCACTGAATGGAAACACCTGGGAATCCCAAGGCTGGGGCTCCACTCCCAGAGCTGCAGGGTCAGGGCTGGGCTGGTTTTCATCAGGAGAGGGAGGGCTCTATTTGCATGTCACCTACTATATAGCAAGCTATGGGGTGGGACTCCTGAGGAGAGGGCAGGGCCCAGAGTAGATGAGAGCGTCCTGGGGGATTTTGATGACAATGATTGTGTTTGGGAAAATGCTGTCTTAATGTGAAATTGTTGTGCGATAAACATTTAACAACTATCATATTTTTAATTATTTTTACCTATGTGTATAAATGATGTTATTTAGCACTCAGTGGTTTCTTCGTTTACAGATGTAAAAGTGAACCCACACATGGAGGGGCTATGTATGTGTCTAAGGGCTTATATCTGGCATGAGTGAGTCCTAGTACCTGGGCCTATGCTCCTCACAGCTGGCCTCAATTGCTCTCTTAACCAACTATTGGACAGAGCTAAATGGGCCTAGTGTGGTTTGCAGAATCCACTTCCTGCCACGAGAACCTGTGTGATTTTGCTGCATTTACCTAAAAATACGGAAACATCTAGGCATCAGGCAGATAAATTTTTGGTGTATCTGATATTTAATGTATTCATTTGTTCCTTCTTATCATCCCTTTTTTGTCTAAAATTTCACTTGTTTACTTGTAATACATTTTATGAGTTTTAATTGACAGATGATAAAATTCACATATTTAACCTGCATAATAGTAAACTTTGATAAAGAAAATCTCTATTTTCAAGAAGGTGACAAGTCAACTCACCTCAGAATTCCTCTTGCTCTTTTACAGACATAATTTTGTTTTTCTCCTCTTTTCTTCTACCATTTCTTTATAAAAGTACTGATGTTTTCATATTTCTTTAGACTAGTTTTTATTCTCTAGAATTTATAAGAATGAAACAATATAGTATGTACTCTTATCTATTTGGCTTATTTTTCTCAGTAGAAATACCGAGAATTAAACCTTTTATGTTGTATTGTTTATTTTTTAATAAATAATAGGTAGCATTTCAGCAAACAAATGTAGCATAATTTGTTTTTCTAAGTTGCTAATTGGTATTCAAACTTTTCATTACTTTGGGTCTTACTAATAAATCTGCTACTCAATTTGGTAATGTACATAGATGATAAATTATATATAAAATATATTATTTTTGCAACAACAATAACACGTAAACAAGAGAATGTGCTATTTGGCAAATTTTCTTTAGCATGTCAAATAATTGAAGTTATGAAACAAAAAACAAACCTGTAAATCAAAGAGTATCTGAGACTAATCTCAATAGATTTAGGAAGTTCATTTTCCAAGATTAAGGACATGCCTGTGACACCGCCTCAGGGAGTCCTGATGATGTGTGCCCAAGCTTGTGGGCACAGCTTGGTTTTATACAATTTAGGGAGGCATGAGACATTAATCAATATATGTATATAAGATGTACATTGATTTAGTTCAGAAAGGCAGGACAACTTGAAGTGGGGAGAGGGCTTCTAGATCATAGGTAGGTTTGAGAGAAATGGTTGCATTATTTGAGTTTCTGATTAGCCTTTAACTGAATGCACAATTTACAGGAATAGTCACGTAGGCCTTAATCTGGCTTAGTGAAATAATAGAGCAAAGGGAGCAATCAGATATGCATTTGACTTACATGAGCAGAGAAATGACTCTGTCTGTCTTTGGCCCACAAGGATTTTACTTGTGGTCAAATTTTGAAGGAGGTCTGTAGCTTTTAAAAACCGTAGTAGCTATCATTTTAGTGAAATAATGGAGGTGGATTTACCCCAAACAGTTTTCAGCTTGACTTCCCTTGGGCTTAGTGATTTGGTGGTCCCAAAGGTTTATTTTCCTTTCAGGAACGTGGAAATCTTGAAAGAAATGAGTTCTTGTAGAGAGAAATGAAGCCATAGTGTTAGCTAAACTGAGGCCGAGGCTGCCACATGAAATATAGCCTATTACAAGACAAAGCTACAGGCCGGGCGCGGTGGCTCACGCCTGTAATCCCAGCACTTTGGGAGGCCGAGGCGGGTGGATCATGAGGTCAGGAGATCGAGACCATCCTGGCTAACAAGGTGAAACCCCGTCTCTACCAAAAATACAAAAAATTAGCCGGGCGCGGTGGTGGGCGCCTGTAGTCCCAGCTACTCGGGAGGCTGAGGCAGGAGAATGGCGTGAACCCGGGAAGCGGAGCTTGCAGTGAGCCGAGATTGCGCCACTGCAGTCCGCAGTCCGGCCTGGGCGACAGAGCGAGACTCCGTCTCAAAAAATAAAAAAATAAATAAATAAAACAAGACAAAGCTACAAACGTGTTGGATTGCTTAAATTCCAGTGTGGTAAACGTGTTGTCGTGTAAAATTCTCAGGAACCACATACTGAAGGGCACTGATAAAGTGAATTAAATATGGCCTGAGAAGGACTCCGTAATTCTGTGTTTGAGTCCTTCTGGACAAACTGTAACCTACCTGAATAGGTGGACAAGATTGAAAAGCCAACTTCAGAGCATGAGCCTGTAACAATAGCGGAGTCTTGGCCAATTCCAGCAGCCATACCTCAACCACTCATACACTCTTGAGTGTGCACATTTTGTTTAAATAAGACAAAAACAACCTGTAACCAATCCAGCTGTTTCTGTACCTCACTTCTGATTTCTGTACATCATTTTTCTAATCTATAAACCTTCTTCCACCATGTGACTGCACTGAAGTCTCTTTGAATCTGCTGCGATTCTGGGGGCTGCCCAATTCATGAATCATCCATTGCTCAATTAATCTCATTAACCTTAATTTGGCTGAAGGTTTTCTATTATCCGCATTCCTATGCAATTGAATCCCTTTGTTCTAGAATGAGGACACTCAGAAAAATCTTCCTTTCCCAAAGTGTCTGTCTGAGACAGAAGGAGAGCCCATACTACCGAAATGCGTTCAGACCCACCTCCCTCATCAGCACTACAGAATAAAGGGATTACCTACCATACAGGGGCAAGCCACTGAAACCATGATTCCAGAGGCACTGGTGGAGCCCCAGAGGAAATGGGATAAAAACCAAGGTTCTCACCAAAGTTCCATCGAAATGTACCTCCTCTCTGTCATGGAATCAAATCCTTAATCTCCAGGGCATCGCAGAAGATCTAGAAGACGATGATAATAGTGGAGACTATTGGAGGTGTGGGAGGGAACACCTGGGAAAAACAGGAGAAAATATATGTATTTAACTCAGTAGACTTCAAGCTACTTACATGTTAATTAACTGGAATATTTCATAGCTAAATACCTGATCTAGCATGAGAAATAATAGACATGACACATGGAGAATGCAACAGTGGGAAGCTGAGGTTCAAGTTCTGATGTTTGTTTACTGATATTTG
Organism: Homo sapiens; assembly: GCF_000001405.40. NCBI lineage: Eukaryota > Metazoa > Chordata > Mammalia > Primates > Hominidae > Homo > Homo sapiens. The sequence continues at coordinate 1,253,332 of NT_187383.1, read as the reverse complement.
TCCGCTGGCATGTCCAGAACTTCATGAGTACAGAACTCCTCTAATAGTGAAACAAACACTCACAGGACATGCATTTTTGTTTGAAATAAGTGTAATTCAGATGCTGGTAAAATTTTCTCCTCAGACTCCTTTGCACCAGCTCAGGGCTGACGTCTGTGTTGAGTGGGTTCTGGGCCTGCCCTGCAGCTCTGCCCTCACCCTGCTGGGGAGGATGCTGTTTGGGCTCACAGAGCATATTCTCCCAATGTTGCTCTCCCAGAATGAAAGGGCTGTCCCCTGGTTCACAATCCTCTTTCAGCAGCATCTGATGCTTTTGAAATTGTCTCTTGAAACAGTGATTTGTCATTACTATACCCAGTAAACTGCAGGGAGAGCCCAAGCACAGATTCATGAAACCACCAGAGAGTCACTTCCCTGGGACTGTCAGATGCAATGACACAGTCAAGATCCATGGTGAGTCCAGAAACTTTCAGATAATTCATAGGAGCCTCTTATTTCTCTTACAATTCTCTATTCAAAGTTCATGCCAAAAAGTATCTTCACAGAGAGAACTACATGGCTTAAAGCCCACAGAAATGAAAACATGCATGTACACACACATATACACCAACCACCCCCCCCCCACACACACACGCAGAGTGGTATGGCTGATTTTTACAGTAATTGGCTCCTAATTTGGGATCTTTCCTAGTGTAAACCAAAGGTTTCTGAGACAGATCTCAATCAAATTAAAATTAATTTTCTCAAAGTTAGGACAGCCTGGAAGAAAAATAAAAGTAACCACAGAAACTGTGTGTGGTTAGTGCCATTCCTTAAAGACGATTTTTAGGGCTTTCAATATACACAGAGGAAAAGCTGGGTAGAGGGGAAGTTTGGATGGTAAGAAAATTTACATGTGTAATGAAAAAGAAGCACATAGGGAAATATAAAATTACGTAGTTCTCCTGCAGTAAGTCAGCACTTTCCCATGCTGTTCTCATGATAGTGAATAAGTCCCATTAGATCTGATAGTTTTATCAAGGGGAGTTCCCCTGCACAAACTCTCTCTTGTCTGCCACCATGTAAGATGTCCCTTGCTTTCCTGACATGATTGTGAAGCATCCCCAGCCATGTGGAACCATAAGTCCATTAAACCTCATTCCTTTACAAATTACCCAGGCTTGGTTATGTTTTTATTAGTAGCAGGAGAACAGACTAATATATTTATTTTGCCAAAGTTAAGAACCCACCCATGGCAAGCCTCAGGAAGTCCTGAGACATGTGCCCAAGGTGATAGAAGTACAGCTTGCTTTTATACATTTTAGAGAGACATGAGACATCAATCAATATATGTAAAATGTACATTTTTTTTTCCTTCAAGACAGGACAAATTGAGAGGGGGTTTTGCAGTTTAGAAGTAGATAAGACACAGTAGATTGCATTGTTTTAAGTCCTTTATCAGCCTACCACTGAATCCACAATTTAGTCAGACTTAGTGAATCTTCATTTTTTCATAAGTGATACTGAAGAGGAAGCAATCAGATATGTATCTGTCTCATGTGGGCCTCAGAGGAATGACTTTGAATAGAAAGGGAGGCAGGTTTGCCCAAAGCCCTTTCCAGTAAAACACCCTTGTTTTCTGGAATATCACCGAAGGTTCTTTGTGTCGTGGCTATGAAAATCAAGGACACAGACACACAAAAGGTGAGGTTGGAGCAGAAATTTCATATGTAAAAGGAAAAAAAAAAAGCTCTCTGTCACAGAAAGGGGTCCCAAATGGGTTGCTGTGCTGCAGTAAAATGTAAGGATTTTTATAAATGTGCTACTGGGGAGAGGGTATCTTATCAACATAGGATGCAAAAACAGGACCAGGTGTGCCATCTGCATAGAGCGAAGTCTCTGGCAGCCCCATCTCATGCTTTTATTATGCAGGTGGGGACTTAGCTTGGTCTGCTCCACGTTCCTTATCTCCTTCCACCATGCGTGTGCTGAAAAAGGAGGGAGGAGTTTCCATGCCAGGTCCCAGGTACCTCCTTGCAGCTGGGGGCATCCCAAACCCCGTACAAGCTAACAGCTTTCCTAGCTCAGTGTGACCCCAGAAAAGGAAAGGAATGTGCTCATTAAGGCCCAGTGTTTTTATTGGGACCCATCCTATGTATGTGAACTTTGGTGATTACAAACAGAAATACCCTCTCTGCCAGAGTTGTTTATCTATATTTTACAGCCCAATCTTTCAGGCTGCTCTTTGTTAGAAGTGATCTCTTTGAACTGTGTCTGATTAGAAAAGAAGTTATTTTTGAGCTGATTCTTGTTAGAAGAAAAGTTTTTGCCAGAGACTCTTTCATCCTAACTATCTACCTAAATAATTTCTTTCTATCTCCTATTACACCAGCTGGACTCTTCTCTTTAGCTTAGTGATTTTGGGGTCTCAAGATTTATTTTCTCTTCACAATAGGCAGGTACAAAAGGAGACTTCATATGTAATTAAGTTGCTTGTATTAGTCCATGTTCAGGTTGCTATAAGGACATACATGAGGCTGGGTAATTTATAAAGAAAAATAGGTTTAATTAACTCACAGTTCTTCATGGCTGGGGAGGCCACAAAAAACTTACAATCATGATGCAAAGGGTAGCAAACACATGCTATTTCACATGACTGCAGGAGAGAGAAGTGTTAAGTGAAGAGGGAAGCCCCTCATAAAATTATCAAATCTTGTGATAACTCACTCACTAACAGGAGAAAAGCAGGAAGAAAACAGCCCGTATGATTCAATTATTTCCACCTCATTCCACCCTTGCAATGTGTGAATTATTACAATAAAAGGTGAGATTTGGGTAGGGACACAGAGCCAAACCATATCATTGATTTTATTTTCTTTAGAATTTACATTGTCTAGCTGTAAGAAAGCACAGCTTAACTTCTGCTGGTTTCAAGTTAGGAAAAATATTTAAAAAGGGAAATAATTGAAAACGTTATTTTGGAGACTTGTGCAAAGATACGCTTTAAAATTCAGTCCAAATTGTAGAAGATAATATAAATTGAAAAGCAAGTGGACAAGGTTAAAATCTATTAACTGATGCACTATAGTTTATTTTGAAATAATATTTCTCTCTATAATTCCCCAATTTTATTCGAGACAAAATCATAGTAGGACCAATTTATTTGTAAAATCAGTTTTAGGCTTATGAGACTTGGCCTGGTTTTTTTGTATAAGAGGCAGCAAAATAATCATTTAACATATTAGCTCTCTTTTTTGTTTTCTATTTTTTGTTTGTACATAGGCAATTTTATTCATAAATTGACTTTGCTAGAAATTTTTTGTAAGGAGTCAAAGGGTAGAGTCTTTAAAATCTTCAAGCCCAGTCAATATTTTATCTGTGCCACCAGATAGCTATGTGAATTGGGTTACTTTCTCTTTTTTCAAGTTTCCAAGAAAACTTGGGAGTCCTGGGTCTGTCAGAAATTAAATTGTTTACTTACTACACTTCAGGGCCCTGTAAAAAAAAAAAAAAAAGGTACATGCCAGTTTTCCCAAGGGGCTTTATCAGCTCTCCAGGTTAGATTCATTTTATAAAGTAAATATGAAAATATATAATTCAAGTTAAAGACTTAGTAAAATGACCATTGTCTCCAATTGTGCCCTGTTATGGAAGAAAGCAGATTTTTATTGAACCTATGCAAATAACTATTTTGATATAAGAATACTCACAGTTTCCAAATTTTGGAGAAATTATGTATATAAGAAGATATTATGTTTTTATTTTTTTCTTAATAAAGTATACCATACTCAATTGTTAACAACTGTGAATAGCTTAAAAGACAAACTTTTCCTGATTCTGAAAAAACAGAACATAAGTAATTAGCAAATGCTTTAAAGAATAAGCCATAAAAATAATTTCAGTCTTCTGTCAATTCAGTTCATGCAATTAAGTCCTGTCCTGCTTAATATTAGATTAACAATCATCATAAATCAATCAGGTATCAATGAGAGTCTTGGAAGTTTTAATCTCTATACCAATGGCACAATTTATAAAATTGTCACAATCGTATATTTAAGAGTACTCCTCAAAATTCTATAGATTATTATAAGCCACTTGATAAAGAATCAAAGTAAAACACCAACTGTGGATGACTGAAGTTTTAGAATAGCCATGGTTAAAGGCAGAATTGAGGGGAAAATTTGGTTACTTCTGCAATAAACAGAAATTTTACATAATAATCATAAACACTACCGATAAAATATACTAAGACATATCAAATCACTTGGATCTCATACGATTTTGGAAAATATGCTCTTTAATTTATATAAATATGGTCCAATTATATAGTCCACATTTATTTAAATATAGTCCAAAGTTAAAACACTTTTGCAAATTTGACGTAGCTCCCTGCATATTTTAATTATACCAAATAAGCTGAATAAGTTTAATTTTGGCTTTGGGGACCTAATATCAGAAAAGAATAATGAGGTCAAATGACTGCATTTAGAATTTTATTTTGTGAAGTTTGTCAAATATCAAAAGTTTACAATGTTTGATATTACAAAATAGGATTACAGATTGTTGTAATGTAAGTTATTTATTTAGTCCAGCGAGAACTCAGTGATTTTGAAAGAAAGCAAAAACTTTTATTTTTCAAAGAGAAGAATTAATTTTCTAAACAATAACCCCTTATAAGAACAGCATGAGAGAAGTTAAAACTGTCTCTCAATTCCGAAAAATAAATCTATTACATTATAATTACTTTTACCATAAAATTTAATTTCAAATGATCTCTTATAAACTTTTATAAGTTTTTCAAATTAAAAAGTGGATTAATTCTTCAAGAAACCCTTGTCAATTAATGTTTACTGTATAAAGAAACTTTCAAGTAATTTCATCTTTCAAAATTAGCTTTTACAATCTTACAAACCACTTCTTCTGTAACAGTCCCTGGGCCTGGAGTGGTTGAGTAGATTCAATTTCTGGCCTTGTGTCTTAAGTGTGTGATTAATTTTTATTGTCATTTTCTTCCACATCTCTAGATGGGGCTTCAATTGCTGTCAGAGTTTAAAATTTAGCAAGACTCGGTGTCTTTTTTATTTTTATTGTATTTATTTGTTTTTCCTGAGACAGAGTCTCACCCAGACTGGAGTGCAGTGGTGCAATCTCGGCTTACTGTAACCTCTGCCTCCCAGGTTCAAGCAATTCTCCCTGCCTCAGGCTTCCAAGCAGTTGGGATTACATGCGCCCGCCACCACGCCCAGCTAATTTTTGTATTTTTTATTAAAATGGGATTGTGCCGTTTTGGCCAGGCTCGTCTCTAACTCCTGCCCTCAGGAGATCCACCCTCCAAAGCCTCCCAAAGTGTTGTGTATCCTTTTTAGACCTAGGAATCAAAGATCAGTAATGTAGCAGCACAAGGCCTTTAAAAGTTACGCAGATAGTTACATTAACGTAATAACATTAATTTATATTTTCTCAAAATCTCAGTATTCCTAAGTAGTTGAAAAACTTAAAAACAACTACAGAGGAAGTATTTCAAGAAAATATAAAATTTGTTTTATGCCATTTACCAAATGGGAAAAAAAAACACCTTCAGCAGTGTGACTGTGTTTCCCTGTGGGGAAATCCATGTAGATAACCTGCAAGTCAACTCTAATGAAACGAAGTATTTGATTAATTAGACATAGGAAGAATGTGTCTTGGATTACAAGTGAAGATTTTGGTTTCATAGACAAATATAGACATTTTAAAAAACCCAAGAGTGCAGAATACTATATTGAAATAAAACATTTTATTAAGAACTTTAATATAAAAGATTTTTAGCATCAGGCAATCATAGCAGTTAGAAGCTAACAACGTTAGAAGTTAACTCTGTTAGAGGCTAACTGCTGTAAGAAAAAAATTGTTAGATGAGCTCATGAAAAATTTGAGATCCTCTCAAGCCTTCTCAAAAGAGAATAAAACTGGCAAGACGCAGTTTAAGAGTTAAACTTTTGGGTTAAAAAATTAAAATATCTTATAATTTTATTGAGTAAATCAATACTTTAAGACAATTTTTCATTCTAACCAATCTTTAGTATATTTATATATTTTTATATGAAAGCCAGATCTCTACAAATCTATAAGGACTATTATAAATACTTCCCTTTTAATTATAGTCAACTTCATAATATGAAGTTATTTTAATAAATTAACTTTTTACAAACCTTAGTTTGACTTACAAAAAACGCTTATGGCATACTTGAACATATAGTTTTATTCTAAACATCACTCTTTCTTAAATAAAGTCATTTTTATTTTAGGATAAAAAGTTGCAATACAAGATTCTTTCTCATATAAAATTATTTTTATTTTTTTATTTTAACCTTTCACACCAAAAGTACTCCTCTATGTCTAAAAATTTCTTTTTTTTTTTTTTGAGACAGAATCTTGCTCTTTCACCCAGGCTGGAGTGCAGTGGCATCTCTCTTATTTACTGGTTATGTTTAGGATGTTTTATAAGTAACCTCTGAATTAAATAAAATCTTTTTGTAAGAACAAATATTTTACAAAAATATTTTCTTATAGTATACATTCTTAAAATGATTAGCAATGACCTAAACATTTAGTCAATATCTATTATTTAATTAAACTTTAGATTTTTAAATTGTAGAACAAGTTTATTTAAAAGGTTTATTGTGTTACATTAACTTAATTTATTTTTTAAATAGCTTACCTAGATCATTTATGAAAACTATAATACTCATCCTTTAAAGCTTTTTCCCTGTTATCCATATTATAACCCATGAATTTCAGGTGTTTACCTAAGTAAAATTCTTATTAAATAAATGATTGTATTTCCAATAACTATTTACCTGTTTTTTATTAAAACAATAATATTAAACATTTTATTTGTCAAATTACAAAGATCATTCTGGTTTTAACTAGGTTAATAATTTTATAATCTTCATAGAAATGTTTCACACCATATAACATCCAGCTGCAATTTTAAATATAAAATCACTTGATCAATTGATATAAACCATAAGGTATTCTGATAATTGTTAAAATATTTCTAATTTTATTTTACCAATAATTTTGAAGCCAGCTTATTTATTACATATTTATTTAAGTTACATGTACTTCAGATGCGTTAGGGCTCATTGACTTAATTTAAAATAGTTATTTATTTTAAAGTCAATTTTGTACCTTGTAGCCATAACACATAACAAAAAAATATATATATATGTACATAATACATACAAGCACACATTCACACTAATACAAAGATACTAGAGCTTTTACTTTAAAACTCTAGCTATGGAATATCAATACAAACTCAACAGATGTTCAACAAAAAAGGGTTAGATGTAAACAGTGGTTGTCATCTTAAAACCAGTAGAAAGGCCCTGTAAACCGGAAAACAAAATATTTTTAAGCCAAAAACATATCCTCATCTTTCTTTATAAACTTCACCATAAATTGATTATACTCTCTTACTATTCTAATTTTTAGTAACCCTAATTCACAGTGAGAAGCCTAGGATTACTTAATTTAACATGACATGAGTTTAAGATTTTAAATTACTGAAGACAATTATGAGTCTAAATTTACCAAATTAATATTTGTAAAGCAATGTAAAATGTAAAGGTGACTCTGAAAAATAGATGTACATTTTCTTTACAAAGCATTTCACTAAACAGACTTAACTTGATTGGAGGTCTTTGAAACACAGCTTGATTACATTACTGCCCTTAGAGTGGGACCATTTAAGAAAAAGGGCCAAGAAAACATGCAGTTTTTAATTCATAAAGTACAATTGCTTATGCAAATGTGCAAAGAAATGAGTAGCCTTCTATAGTGATGACCATTTCCTGTAAACTGCCCTCAGCCACACCTAACATAGCTTTCAAAGCCACCCCTAAAATTACCGCTTTCATTCACTATTGCACACACCATGAATGAATCCTCTCAAAGTACAACGTAATTCTGGTAGCATCCAAAGCCAAAAACATGACACAATACAAGAAAGCAGAGCTTTATACTTGCTCTGCTTTATACCGAAGAATCTGCCAATGATTGAAACCACAAAGGAAGCAGAAAAACTCCCACCATGTTAGTGGCAAGATACAAGAGGAACCCTCCTCCCTGCTCCCACTCAGGGACCTGATTTGGAGCTGCCTCCTAAGGGAGCAGTGGTGTCCTCAGTGCCCCTTGGTGTCCTCACTGCTCCCTGGTTTCCTGAGCACCCCCTGGTGTCCTGAGTACCCCCTGGTGGTTGTGAGCAACCCCTGGTTTACTAAGCACATCGTTGTGTCCTGTGAGCCCCTTGTCCTCAACGCACCCTGGTGTTCTGATCGCCCCCTGTAGGTTCTGAGCTATCCTTTGCGTCCTGTGCGCCCCTGGAGGTCCTGAGCACCCCCCGGTGTCCTGAGCACGGCCTGGTGATTCTGAGATGCCCCTGGTGTCCTGAGCGCCCCCCTGGGGTTCTGAGCACCCCTGGTGGTTCTGAGCACACCCTAGTGGTTCTGAACCACCTGGTGTCCCGATCGTCCCCGGTGGTTCTGAGTGCCTCCTCATGTCCTGAGTGCTCCCTAGTGGTTCTGAGTCCCCTGGTTTCCTGAGTACCCCCTGGTGGTTCTGAGCACCCGCTGGTGTCCTGAGCGCCCCCTGGTGTCCTCAAAACCCCCTAGTGGTTCTGAGCCCCCTGGGGTCCTAAGATCCCCCTAGTGGATCTGAGCATCCTCTGGGGTTCTGAGGGCCCCCTCGTGGTTCTGAGCACACCCTAGTGGTTCTGAGACCCCTGGTGTCCTGAGCACCTCCTGGTGGTTCTGAGATCCCCCTGGTGTCTTGATTGCCCTTTGGTGTTTCTGAGCTCCCCCTAGTGTCCTGAGGGCTCCCTGGTGTCTCCAGTGTCCCCTGGTGGTTCTGAGTGACCCCCACCAAGTGTCCTGAGTGCCCCCTGGTGGTTCTGAGCACCCCTGCTATCCTGAGCTACCCCTCACCACTGTGTCTGGAGTGCCCCCTGGTGGTTCTCTGTGACCCCCCCCCCGCCACACCCCCCCCCCCAGTGTCCTGAGCGCCCCCTGGTGGTTTTGAGCAACCCTGCTATCCTGAGCTACCCCTCACCACCGTGTCTGGAGTGCCCCCTGGTGGTTCTGAGTGACCCCCACCCCAGTGTCCTGAGTGCCCCCTGGTGGTTCTGAGCACCCGCTGTTTTCCTGAGGCTCCGCACCCCCAGGTGGTTCTGAACATCCTTTCTTGTCATCAGTGCCCCATGGTGGTTCTGAGCACCCTCTGGTGGTTTTGAGTGCCCCCTTGTGTTCTGAGCGCCCCCTGGTGGTTTTGAGTAACCCATGGTGTCCTGAGCACCCCCTGGTGTCCTGAGCATCTCCTGATGGTTCTTAGCGCCCCCTGATGTCCTGAGCACCCCCTGGTGGTTCTGAGAAGCATCTACCAGGCAGTCCCCTCCTGTCCCCCTGCAGGGAGGTTGGTGTCTGAGCTCACTCAGATGTCCCCTCACTGTGTCCCTCAAAGTAATACACGGACTTTTCCTGAGCTCTCAGGTTAATCATCTTAAAAGAGAATCTCCTGAACTGAGTGTATTTGAGGATTGTTAATCATCTTTTTACTCAAGGAGAGTCCCACTGAGAACTTCCATTTGAATTATTGTTATTACCCACACCCACCCCTGTCATGAAGCCTGCTGGATCAAGCTTATGCTGTTTTCAGTGAAAGTGAATCCAGAGGCTTTGCAGAAAAGGCAGAATTCCTGGTCTGTAGTATTTCTCTGTCTGACTCCGTTAGTTAACGTCACAGGGGACTTCTGCAAACACAGAGGCAACAGACTGAGAACAGCCCCACCTTTGAGCAGCCACAGCAGGGCCTGATCCACGGGGAACCTGGATATTGAGAGTGATGACAAGAGAAGCCCAGATCAGCACAGACCCCATGGTGTGGACACTGAGGAAGGGCACAGATGTGGGGTGGCTCCTCACCAGGATCTACAGGAACAGGGGATGAGCTACTTTTCATTTGCAGAGGAGGGGCTTCATTTCCATGTCTTTCTCCCTGGGGACATGAGTGCACTGCTCAGCAGGCCTCTTCCCATCTCTGTCTCTGGATTCCAGGGAGGGCAGGGTCAAAGGATTCCTGGGACTGGATGTTCAGGGTTGATCTGCCCATTACTCTTTTTTTTCTCGTATGTGGACCCCTATAGGGTATCTTTACAGTATCAATATTTATCAACAAATAAGTACAGTAAACAAATAAAAATAAACCTTGCCCAGAGGAAATGGACTCCTGCCTGTAGGCTGTGCAATTAGAGCTGTAAAGGACTGTCTTCTACAATAAAGGAAAGTCTTCAGTTAGAATTTTAAAAATGACAATTTCTACAAACTATCAGAGCTGGAGTCCATAATTACCACTATCCTAAGCTCATCTTGCCACATAACTGTTCGTTGTCAGCTATATGTGCTTGTCTGAGGAAAAAGTCAATGTGGGGACATGTGTGCTTATCTGAGGGAAGAGTTCACATGAAGACAGGGGTGCTTGTCTGAGGGAAGAGTCAACCTGAGGATGCGTTTGTCTGAGGGAAAGGTCCACGTGGGGACAGGTGTGGGCATTGTCTGATGGTAAATGCCCATTCAGAGACGGTGTGTGCCTGGACTGAGCTGAAGTTTGAGGGAAATCTTTCTCAGTCAAAGGAAGATGCGAATCATCTGGATTAATTGCTTGTCAGCAGGGAAACTTGGTTGCACATGAACCTGATAAAAGAAAAGTCTCTTGTGAATGGAAACATCTTATGTGCAAATGGGGAAAGTTACTTCATTCTTTGTTGCCTGCATCTCATGCAATTCCCTGCCCACACGGTGTAAATGTATTTGATATTTTATTTTTGTACACTCTGCATTTTATCCTGGGGTTCATGATGTGCTACATCATTTTATAAGTTGTATATATTTAGATTCATAGTTTACATCATAGAATTATGAGAATTAACAAATTGTGTCATGCGTTCACTACTGCAGATCATAAAAAAGTTTCACTGTTTGCAAACAGTACCTTTTTCTCCTAATGCATACCCTCTCTCTAAATTTCTAGAAAATCCTCATATATTTATGACATCTACAGTTTTGTCTTTTACAGAATGTCAAATAAAATGTATACAACATATTTCAAATAACCTCACTGAAGAAGGTGGCACATAAAGTTTCTCACCTATATAACTTAGAAATCAGGGTGTTCTGTAAATCTAAAGTATAAAGAAACTGCACTTAAACACTTTTTTCTAGTCAATAAACATACTTCCAACAGGGGTACAAGTTAACAATTCTAATACCACGATGCATATATTCTAAATTGTACAACAAATTGAATGAATGGCAAATGATGGGAGGGGTTCCTCACTTTGCAGTAGGTGGTTATGGACAGGCAAGGAAGGAAAGCTTGAAACATTCATGTATCATCATAGTAGATTGTAGATACCAGTGTTCTAAAGTTTGAGGCAATAAACATACAGAAGATTGGATACATAAATAGATTAGATGGGTCCATTAACATGGGTTAATATATACATACACATTTTCTAGGCCTGTTAGCTTAGAGATTCTAGAAACACTGACAGTACATTAACAACACACACACCCAACATCATAATTTTGTGTGTTAATATAATTCTTTAATATCAAGGACCGGCAATCCTTGGAGAAATAACTGATTCTATGTGTAGAAAAGATAATAGAGATAATGAGCTTAGTATTTCTTGTAACACCAGGAAATAGGGAAGTGATCAAAAACAAAAGGATGGGGCATGCTGTAAAAATACAGAATCCAAACTAAATGAGCTCACAGAACCTAAAAAAAAGCTGTGGTGATTTGAGCGATAAAATAAATAATGTAGCACCAGATCTTCTCCATAGTAAAAAATAAACATTCATGAGCCAACACCGACATTAACAGATTATTGAATAAAGAAAATTAGAAAAAAGGCACCTTCCATTCAGAAGAATTCTAAACATCTTAATAATCTTCTCATTAAATAGGAGAAATTCAAATAGTTATGCTGTGATTGTGGCCTGAGATTTGAGACAAGAGAAAAATCCTGTTAGTGGAATTCATAATTAGTTTTTAGATATCATGCCGAAAGTATGAGCTATGAAATAATTATTTTATGTAAGTTTACACATACACACACACACACTATATATATATGCACACACACACATATGTATATAAATATTTTTCTGCCACAGACACTGATATGGGAGTAAAACAACAACTACAATTTGGAGAATATACTTGTAAAACACATATTTGTTAATCAATTTTTTGTTAACTTCGTGAGTGACTTATATAATGGGTATATAAGGAAACTTACAACTGATCAAAAAGAAACAATGCAATAAAAAATAATCCACATACCATACGAGACACTTCATCACAATTATATGAAATAATTAAATACAAAATTTTAATTAGAAATATGTGCGTTTAAACAACAATGAGATATCACTACTAATCTATTAGAATAGTTAAAATACGCAATACTCATAGTGCCAAATGGCAATGAGGATGCGGAAGAACAAGATCTATCATGCATTGCTGGCATGAACACAAAATTATAATTGCACAAAATGGAAAACATTAAAACATTTTGATATTTTATATAATGGAGATAAGTGTAGAGTTAAAATGTGATCTTAGCAGCTGTGCTCCAAAACATTTACAACACCCGTTCCAAAACTTATGCTCGCACTAATATTTTCAGAGGAATTCTATTATTGGTTTTATTAATTTGATTTGTTTTCCACTCCCTGAATTTTGCTTACAGAATAAAAGTTGTATGGAAAATTTCCCACATAATTAGAGTCTATACGCATTTCTATTTTCCTTTTTTCAGCAATGACTTAAACTCGCTTTCTAAAAAAAGTCTTTAAATCAAATAAAATCCCTGTCATCTCTCAAGCCCAGCACTGCTGCCACCTCCCTCAGGATTGCTGACTGTCTCAGGATGTGGGTTTTCACATTGTGTGTCTCGCACAGTAGTACACATCTATGTCCTCAGATCTCTGACTGCTCAGCTCCATGTAGGCTGTGCTCGTGGACATGTCCCTGGTCATGGTGACTCTGCCCTGAAACTTCTGTGCATAGCCTGTCTTACCATTGCCAGAGTAGATCCCTCCCATCCTTTCAAACCCTTATCCAGGGGCCTGTCGCACACAGTGAATATCGTAGCTGGTGAAGGTGTATCCAGAGCTTTGCGGGACACCTTCACTGAGGCCCCAAGCTTCCTCCTTCAGCCCCAGACTGCACCAGCTGCACCTGGAATTGGGCACCTGTGGAGAGAATACAGGAGTGGATGAAATTCTTTTTGACTGAAAAGAGTCCTCTCATCCTTCGGAGTAGGTGGTCCTTTACCTGTAGCTGCTGCCACCAAAAAAGTGATCCTTCAGGTCCAGTCCATGGTGAGGAGCTGTGTTCTCAGCAACTTCTCTAGAGGAGGGATGTGGTTGTTGGGTGATGCTCTCAGAGCACAAGAATAACCATATTTAATCTCAGTGGATCTCATGATATTTGCATATTCATGATTCAGAGAATTTTATAACTCAAGACCTGATTCAGGACAAGAAAGAGAGGATAAATGGCACATCAGCCATACAAAAGTGAGATGGTGATGGTCCAAGTCCTAATCCCACTTGAGGAAATGCATGCCCTGCTCCATTTCCAAACACTTTGTGGACAGAGGTCCTTTCACTGAAGAACCAGCACCCACAGGACGCGTTCCTCACAGTGAACCCATATTTGATTAGCATGGAGACAATCTGGATCATTTCTTGGACCATCACTACGACACTGAGCAGATGCCTTTGCCTCATTCTGGTCTCATCAGCCACCCGCACAGACCACTGGTGACTCTGAGAAAGAGAATGCTGGATGTCCCATGTGAGTGTCCAGCAGGGCCTATGGACAAGCTGGGTGCTCCTGAGACAGTGTCTTCAGCATCTGCCTGAGATCCTAAGATCTTTAACAGAAGACTTTTAGTTTACTGATTTGGCCTGTGATGTGTGATTGGCGCTGATTTTCTCATAAGACTGACAATAACAATGAAGGGTTGGCATAGCAATTAGGAGTTCTTCATGAACTCCCAGCTCTCAGAATAATTTCCAAGGAATCTGTGTTTTGAATAAGCTTGGGTTTTATTTCTCACTCTATTGAAAATAATTTTGTGATGTATTTACATCAGGAAACAAGACACTCTAACAAGAGAGCTGTTTTTAGGTGAGGTGCAAAGTAGTGGAGAGATGGAGGTGTCCTTGAATTCTCAGAATTGCTGGAACTTGAATACCAAGTTCACCTCTGAAAGGCAGTAGTCTATCTGTGAGGATATCAATCAGCTCTGCCTTCAGGAATCTTTGGATGTGGAAAAGATCAGGAGTGTGATTTATTTTTATCCATCGTGGTTAGAGGGAAACTTCCGGTCCCAGGAAGTGGGTGATTTTAACAGAAGCACCTGAGACCTTTCCTTCTGAGTCGTTTTGAATCCTGAGATCTATTGGAGATCGCAGGAGAAAGCAATGGGGCAGATCTCCATTCTCCTTAATGTGTGATCCTGAGGATGTGGCCTGACCTCTGTACACTTCCGTGTTAAAAGATGTAGATTGGGGATTGCAGTGACAATTTCATATGCAAACTCTATAATAGGTCAGCACTGGAGAATAGTCTCATCACCAAGATTACTGCAATTACCTTTCCTGGGAACCAGAGAGAACCTCCGTGACCCCTCTCATCTGAGCACACAAGGAACTCTGCTTCTGCCCTGACAGATCACACCTGTGACACGGGGCAGGACAACGACAATCAAGTCTAGTGTCCTCATTCATATATTGAGCAATCTAGCTCGATCCTTCTATCTCTGAAAGGCCCTCTCCTCCACTGAATTGCATGAACATACCTTTGGGTGTGGGGCATTACAGCTTTGTTATTTGATATTAGTTTAGTGAATTACATAATAAATAATCTGCCTCCATGGACGCTGGCAACAGGAGAATCATCAGAAGCTGGGTGAGTCATATAATCAGGACAAAACTGTGCTCTCTTCTTCGGACCTGGAAAGAGTGGGCTGACCTTGTGTGGGGCAACAGAGGGGAGGAGACAGACCAAACATCCAGAACCAGGTGAGCACCTCACTTACCAGGTAGTCTCTGGGCCTTTTGTTTGAACACATGCAGAAGGACCTGTGCTCACCTTCAGGGAAATGGTGAACTTGGAGAAAAGATCACAGTGACCAATAATTTTTTACTTATCGAGAAAAAAGTGTCATAGGTCTCTATGCATCAGTATGCATGTGTACAGGTTGCTACACAAAAAAGAGGAAATTATATTAGCTGGAAAGAAAACCAAAGAGCTTCTGAATGCGTAGATGTTGTTATTCTCAAATATGCTAGCTCCCATTTTAGGATGCTGCTCCCTAGGGGCCAGGACACTGGGGCCGACAGAACATGCTGCTGAGGCTCAGTTCTGGACAAGAGCTACTGAGAACCAGAGACTCACTTCTTCCACACAGCCTCACTGATGGATGAAGGCTCTGCCCTGGGTGCAGCAGCACTGAAGACGTTGGCCCCCTGGTTCCCAACCCTGCTTCTATGGAAGAAGGTCTATCCCAGCAGGAGCTGCATGCTGATAAAGTGGAAAGTTTCTCCCCAACCCTGCACTGAGCACTCAGCTCCTACCTTGAAGAAGAAAAACACTCCTAATCTCCACCTGCAGAATCTTATCTTGGAGCTCTGTCTCAGGAGCGGGGGTGAGGCTGAAATTTGGTCATAAAATAGAGTCCCGAATCTGGTCTTGAAGGACCTGACTTCATTTACAACAGAGTGTGGAGAATTACAAAGCCCAAGAGTTGCTTCAAAAACGGTGGAGGCTGTGGTAAAATGCACTTGGACGGAGATGGGTGAATGCATGGGAGATCCAGGCTAAACTGCAGGGCTGCTGGCCTGCAGGAGAGAACCAAGAAGAAAGAGAGCTGGGAAGAGTTCTCCTGGGATCAGTACAAATGTCAGGCACTGTTTGTTCAAAGGCGCCCATGTTTGTTTGGTTCCATCTGTAGAGCAACTTAGACCTCAGTGCATTGTTGAAAATATAAACTTCCAACTGCAAGTAGTGGAGCTCAACATCTGGTCCTGGTCAGGGAAGAGACAGAGAGAGCCCAGCCCAAACCAATGACATGTGAGGGTGACAGTGAAATCCACAACTGTGTCTCTGGGGATCTTTCAGGCAGGCCTTCTGTCACTCAGAAGAAAGTCTGGAGTTCACCTGTAATGCTTTATGTCAAATTTTCAAAGACATTCATGTTGTTTTTAGTTTCTAACATACACACACCACACACACACACACACACACACACACACACAATGTTAAACATCTGAATACATGTGTGTGAACATATGATTTTAATCCTTTGTAGGACATACTTAGGAGTGAGAGTTCTAGGTCATGGATTAAGGACATGTTTAATTGTATAGGAAACTGTAAATGATTTTCCCAGAAACTGTTTCATTTTGCATTCCCACTAGCAATATATTAGTCTCTAGGGTGACTGACTTCTTCACCGACCCTGATATTGTCAGTATTTCTTCTTTATTTTTTGTCTTTCTAGGAAGTCTATGGTAGTGTCTCCTTTTGGTCTTGATTTGCAGTTCTCTAGTGGAAAATCACATTCATATGCTGGTGTGTCATCTGTACATCTTCGAGGTTTGCCGGTTCATATTATAATTACATTGGTAGATATATGACTTGCAAATATTTTCTCCTTTGCAGCTTGTCCTTAATTTTCTTGATAGTCACTTGAGTAGAAAATGTTTTAAAATTTGAAGTTCAACTAACGTTATTTTCATTTATTGGTCACAATTTTAATTTTCAGTATTGTTGATCAACTGTTACTAATCATGTTTTAATTATATTTGTTTTTATTTTATATGTATAAATTTGTGGGGAGTGACTGCAATTTTGTTACATATATATATTGCATAGTAGTCTTGGCTTTAATGTATCCATGATCCAAATAATGTACATTGTACCCATTAAGTAATTTCTCACCATTCTCCCACCTTCTGCTCTCCCATCTTTCTGAGTCTCCAGTGTCCATCATTCCTTTCTCTATGTCCCTGTGCACATATGAGTTAGCTCTCATTTATAAGTGAGAACATGTGGTGTGTGATGTTCTGTTTCTCAATTATTATACTTAAAATAATGATGAATTCCATCCATGTAGCTGCAAAAGATATGATTGCATTCCTTCATATGGCTGGATAGTATTTAAATGTATATATATGTAACATTTTCTTTATAAAATTATCTGTTGTTAGGCATAGGTTAATTCCTAAGTTTGATGACTGGGCTATTATGAATAGTTCTGCAAGAAAACAAAAGTCGGCTTATCATTCTGATATAATGATTTATTTTTCCTTTAGGTAGTTATTTGTGGTTATCGAATCAAAGTAGTTCTACTTTTCTTCTTTGAAAAATCTCCATACTGTTTTCCATAGAGGCTGTGCTAATCTACATCCTCACCACAAGTGTCCGAGCGTTCCTTTTGCCTTCAATCCTCACCAATACCTGTTATTTTTGGCTCTTTAATAGTAGCCATTCTGACTGGTTTAAGAAATATCATTGCAGTTTTAATTTGCATCTCCCTGATAATTAGTGCTGTTTAGCATTGTTTACTTATTTATCATCCAGCATTTTCCCATGTATATCAATACATCAACTGGTGTACCTTAAATACATACAATTTTATTTGTCAACTTTAGCTCCATAAAGCTGAAAATGTAACTCAGTCTTATAATAAAAAAATGCATACTTATATTTCTATGTATTTTATCAATATGTGAGAATATAAACAGAAAAACTTGTACGAAAATAGTTACAACAGTTTGTTTATAACATTTATGTTGGAAAGAAATTTAAATTTCATCAACAGGAAAACAAATATACATATTGTCATTATTTCACATAATAAACTGATTTATTTACTTAATAAACTGTCATTTACTGATGTTATGGATTGATTCAGATATGAAATATTCATATGTGTATTAGTACGTACATATGTATATATATGATGACAAAACCTTGAGACATGAAATTACATAAATAAACCTAAAAAATAGCAAAAATAAGTTCAAAACAGAAAAAATTAACCTATAGTGACAAAAATTAGAACATTTTTCTATTTGCATTTTTCTGATGGTTAGTGATGATGAGAATCTTTTAAAATATTGCTGGCCACCTGTAAGTCTTCTTTTCAGAAGTGTCTGTTCTTGTTATTTGCCCATTTATTAATGGGGTTATTTGTCTTTGGATTCTTGATTTGTTTAAGTTTCCTATACATTCTTGATATGGTTTGATTGTGTCCCCACACAAACCTTATCATGAATTGTTGCTCCCATAATTACCATGTGTTGTGGGAGGGACCCCGTGGGAGATAATTGAATCATGGTGGGGGGGTCTTTCCCATGCTATTCTCATGATAGTGAATTAGTCTCATGAGATCTGGTGATTTGATAAAGGGGAGTTTCCCTGCATGAGTTCTCCTCTCTTGCTGATGATTTTATAAAGGGGAGTTTCCCTGCATGTCCTCTCTTCTCTTGTATGCCACCATGTGATATGTGCCTTTCACATTCTGCCATGATTTCGAGGCTTCCCCAGCAACGTGGAAGTGTGAGTCTATTAAACCTCTTTCTCTTGTAAATGCCCAGTCTCAGGTACGTCTTTATCAGCAGCATGAAAAGCAACTAATACAGTAAATTGGTATCAGTTGAGTGAAGTGCTACTGATAAGATACTCAAAAACATAAAAGCGAATTTGGAACTGGAAAACACGCTGAGGATGAAACAGTTTGGAGGGCTCAGAAGAAGACAGAAAAAAATGTGTGAAAGTTTGAAACTCTCTAGAGATTTGTTGAATGGCTTTGGCCAAAATGCTGATAATGATGTGAACAATAAAATCCAGGCTGAGGTGGCCTCAGATGGAGACGAGGAACTTGTTGGGAACTGGAGCAAAGTTGACTCTAGTTAGGCTTTAGCAAAGATACTGGTGGCATTTTGCCTCTGCCTTAGAGATTTGTGGAACTTTGAGCTTGAGAGAGATGATACCAGGTATCTGGCAGTAAAAAATTCTAAGCAACAAAGTATTCAAGGTGTGACTTGGGTGCTGTTAAACACACTCAGTTTTAAAGGAGGTAGAACATAAAAGTTCAGAAAATTTGCAGCCCGACAATGCAATAGAAAATAAAATCCCATTTTCTTAGGATAAATTCAAGCCAGCTGCGTAAATTTACATAAGTAATGAGGACCCAAATGTTGGTCACCAAGACAATGCAGAAAATGTTCCAGGGCATGTCAGAGACTTTTGTGGAAGGTTCTCCCATCGTAAGCCAGAGACCTAGGAGGAAAAAATGGTTTCATGGGCTGGGCTCAGGGTCCCTCTGCTATGTGCAGTCTAGGGACCCGGTTCCTTGCATCGGAGCTGCTCCAGCCATGATTAAAAGGGGCCAAGGTACATACAACTCAGGCTGTGGCTTCAAGGGGTGAAAGCCCCAAGCCTTAGCATCTTCCATTTGGTGTTGAGCCTGCAGGTGCACACAAGTCAAGAATTGAGGTTTAATAACCTCTGCCCAGATTTCGGAGGATGTATGTAAATGCCTGGATGTCCAGACAGAAGGTGGCTGCAGGGAGGGGCCCACATGGGAAACTCTGTTAGGGGCAGCGAGGAAAGAAAATGTGGGGTGTGTGCTTTCACACAGAGTCCCCACTGGTGCATTGCCTAGTGAAGCTATGATTAGAAGGCCACAGTTATTCAGACCCCAGAATAGTAGATCCACCAACAGCTTGCACCATGCACCTAGAAAAGCCATGGACACTCAGAGCAAGCCAGTGAAAGCAGCTGGGTGAAAGACTGTACCCTGCAAAGCCAGAGGCATATAGCTGCCCAAGACCATGGGAACCCAACACTTACATCAGCATGACCTGGATGTGAGACATGGAGTCAAAATAGATCTTTTTTGAGCTTTAAGATTTGACTGTCCCACTGGATTTTGGACTTGTACAGGGCCTTTAGCCCCTTTGCTTTGGCCAATTTCTGCCATTTGGAATTGCTCTATTTACCCAATACCTGTACTCCCATTGTGTCTAGGAAGTAACTAACTTACTTTTGATTTTACAGGCTCATAGGCAGAAGGGACTTGCCTTGTCTCAGATGAGGCCTTGGAATGTGGACATTTCAGTTAATGCTGAAATAAGTTAAGAATTTGGGACTGTTGGGAAGGCATGATCCATTTTGAAATGTGTGTACATGAGATTTAGGAGGAGCCAGGGGCAGAATGATATGATTTGACTGTGTCCCCACCCAATTCTCATCTTAATTGGAGCTTCAGTAATTTCCTAATATTGTGGAATAAACCCCCTGTGAGATAATTAAATCGTGGGGGCGGGTCTTTCCCATGCTATTCTCTTGAGAGTGAATGTCTCATAATATCTGATAGTTTTATAAAGGGGGATTTTCCTGCACAAGTTCTCTTTTCTTGTCTGCTGCCATATGGGACGTGCCTTTCACATTCCACCATGACTGTGAGGCCTCTCTAGCCTTGTGGAACTGTGGATCAAACCTCTTCTTCTTCTTTTATGATAAATTGCCTAATATCGGGTATGTCTTTATTAGCAACATGAAAACCAACTAATACAATTCTGGATATTAGGGCATTGTTGGATGCAACATTTGTGAATAACTTCCCACAATCTGTAGGTTGTCTGCTCACTATGCTGATAGTTTTGTTTGTTTGTTTGTTTGGTTGGTTGGTTAGCTGGTTGGTTTGCTGCATAGTAACTCTTTAGCAAATTAGTCTCTCCTTATCTATTTTTGTTTTTGTTGCAATTGCTTTTGGATACTTAGCCAAAAAGTATTTGTCAAAGCTGGTGTTGAGAAGAGTATTTTCATGTGTCTTCAAGGATTTTTATAGTTTGATGTCTTACATTTAAATCTGTTATCAATTTTGAGTTAATTTTTATATATGTTGAAAGCAGACATCCAGTTTGAATCTTTGTCATATGGCTAGCTAGTTGTCCCAGTACCATTTATGGAACAGGGAATTCCTTTCTCATTTCTTGTTTTTTTGTCAGCCTTATCAAATATCATATGGTTGTAGGTGTGCAGCCTCACACCACTCAAATTTTTATCACTAAAAAGTCAAAAACCAGTGGATACTGATGGGGCTGTGGTGAAAAGAAAACACTTACACACTGTTAATGGGAATATAAATTAGTCCACCCACTTTGGAAAGCAGACTGGAGATTTCTCAAAGAACTTAAAACGGAGATATTATATGAACCAGCTATCCTTCTACATGGTATACACTACAAGGTAAACAAATAATTCTACCAAAGAGACACATGTGTGTGTATGTTTATTGCTGTGTTATTCACAGTGGCAAAGACAAAGATCAGCCCAGATGCACATCGATGGTAGAGTGGATATATAAAATGTGGTATATGTAAAATGTATAATACTACACAGCCATAAAAAAGAATGAAATCATGTCCTTTGCAGCAAAACAAATGGAGCTGGAGTTCTTAATCCTAAACAAATTAATTCAGGAAAAGAAAACTGAACACCACATATTCTCCTAAGTGGCACCTCAGCATTGAGCACACATGGATAAATATGGGAGCAACAGACACTGTGGACTGCTAGACAGTGGAGGGAGAGGGTGATGAAATCTGTATTCCAAACCTCAGCATCACCCAATAATCCCATGTAACAAATCCACACATGAACCCTCTGTTTCTAAATTATAAAGTTGAAATAAAAAAAATCCTTATGGGAGAACTAACTTGAAGCACTGAAGAGGACACTTTGTGGGGAGATGGACCTGTTCCTCACCCTCACTTAGCTGCTGTAGACAAGTATGTGCACATTTGCCTGGAACCCTCTAACTGTACCTGGAAAATCTGTGCATTTTGTATATGCTAATTTTATCTCACAAAAATGGAAAATAGACAATTGTAGAAAAATATTTTATATTAAAATTAAAATCTTAAAATAAATATGAAAATTCAAATACAAAATGAGAATGTGATTGTTACAATAATTATTAATGTGCATTCAGCTATATCTACTAGAATAAAATCACAGAAATAAGAAAGATAAATGTAACATCTGAAAATAAAAAAATTAATGAACACACTGAAGACACCTGGGACCCACAGGTGGGGTGACTTGACCTTCAGTCATCCTCTTGGTGATTTGAGGGTTTTCCCAGGAAACGATGAGACATAGTTTTTCAATGGGGCTCTGGTGACCCTGGTGAGATGTCTGAAGGTCCCCGAGGCCTGACCATCCAGCCAGCGCCCCTGGCCTCTGGACGCCCTGCCTGCCCTGCAGAGGCGGTTGGCAGTGCCACCTGGCTTTTGGCCGGGTCCTGGGGAGGCAGAGAGAGGCCAATTTTGGTTCTCACTCCTGGCCCCCCAGAGGGCACAGTGAGGAGCCAGTAGGGAGAGGATAGGAGAAGAGGAGGAGGAGCGGTGTCCCCGGCAGCAGGATTCCCACTTGGAGCACAAAGTGAAGCAAGCACAGGGGAGGGGGACTAGAATCAGTCCCCCACAGCAAGCACAGAAAGGAGGAGCTGCGCAGAAGGCAGAGCCCCCCAGCCCCTGGGGCCTGGCTGGGGAAGGTCCGCACTTAGGGAGAGCTGGGAGCTGTTGAAGGTTTGGGGGGAGGGGAAACGGGTTGTGTTTCTTCATTTCTTTTTTTGTTTTTGACTTTGTTGGTTCATCCTTATTTTCTAGCTTTGGATCATTTTTGTACCAAGGCGAGCAAGCCTTTTTGAAAAATAACAAAAGAGGAAAAAAAAAATCCCTCCTGGAAAAAAAAAAAAAACCCTGGAAAATAGAAAAAAAAAAAGGACCTCATAAATGATGCAATTACTTTTAATTGCAGGCAACTCTTTACATTTAAGTGAAGTGTCTTAACATTTTATACGGTTTTAAAAATATATTTACATATTCTATATATAATATACGTAATATAAATATATATAAATATTTAAAAAAGAAAAAAGTAAACCACGGCACTCTTCCTGGCCACTGTTTTGGTGGGGGAGGGGGGCTGGGGGGGGCGGGCACGTCGGCCTGGCTTCTGTGGTCCCAGTGAAATGGTCTGGTTTGATTTGGCTGTACAGAGATCCCCTGACTTGGGAGGGGAGGGGGGAGTGGTGCCCCCTCCTCCCTCCACTCCATTACTCTCTGCTTGCTACTTCGCTTGCCCCCAGCTCCCACCCTCAGCCCTGTGACTGGAATGTGTGCCCCACCGTCATTGTCCTGAGTTGAATGTCCCTTTGTGGGGGAGGTGTGGGGGCAGTGTCCATCCACAAAGGGGCAGAAGGAGGGAGCCACGGGCCCTGCCCCACCTGCTCGGGGGAAGCCCAGTGGGATTTGCATCTTTCTTTCCCTTTGGTTCCTGCACATTTATGGGCCGGGAGGCATCCGTGTGGAATTGCGTGCAGCCTGTGTGTGTGCTGGCACAAGCCCATGCACTGTGTGTGCAGACGCATGGCGCCTGCACCCACAGGCATGGCCGAGCACATGTGTGGGGGAAGGCGTGGGCACATAGGTGCATGTAACCTGTTTGCGCATTGGCACGTGCCTACCTGCATGTTAGCGTGAGAGGAGCTTTGTGTGTGAGAACATGTGTAATGTGTGTGCAGACATGCCGAGCGCCAGAGACTTGTGTGTGGGCCACGTACATGTGGACAGAGACGCATACATGGAGGTGCATGTAATCTGTGTCTCCGAGTGTGTGTGTGCACGTATGTGTGCTGGTGCAGACCCAGGTGTGTGGGTGTGCCTCTGTGTGCGTGTGTTCCATCATCCCTGCACCACTGGCTCCAGATCCCTTCCTGAGCCCCCGTCCCCACTGGCCCTCTCACAGCCTGCAACACATCAGTGCCCCCAGCTGCATGCGCCTCGCTGCTCTGTCCATCAGTGTGTGCTTGACCAAGAGAAAACTAAGACGTCTCGGGGAACCCCTGTACCTGGTCCTCTCAGCCCCCGCCCACTGTGCTGTGTTACTCGCATGGGGGATTTCCTGCCCCTTCCACAATATGCTGTTTCCCCCAGGAGGCTCAGGCCTGAGGCTCGGAGTGGGGTCCCCAGGGGGCCCCCTGGGGTGAGCCCCGGCTCCACACCCTGCCCCATCCACCCTGTAGGGCCCATGTTGGTGTAGCGGTGATGGCTTCTGTGGATATTCTGTGACCTCTGTCGGTGTAACTTGACAATTTCTAAATGGAAAAGGGTTGCTGCGTTTTCTCTGTCTCTTTTTTTAATGTCCTTTTTTCTTCTCCCCACCTCCCTGCTCTCTTTCCTTTTCAGTTTTTCTAGCCAAGTGTTTGGGGCTTTAATAAAACTTGTTTCTTTTTCCCCTCCTGGATCTCCTTCCTATAGGCTGATGTCTCATTATTTCTCTGCTTCACTCTGGAGGATCTGGAAGGTGCTGGGATGGGTGGGGTGGCAGGTGGGGAATCCCTGGCAGCCACTGGCCTTCAGCTGGCAGAGCATGAAGGGGAGGACAGAACAGGGCCCCTGGGATTAGCCAGGTGGGCTGGTGTAACACCAGTAATCCCAGCTACTCGGGTGGCTGAGGCATGAGAATCGCTTGAACCCAGGAGGTGGAGGTTGCAGTGAGCCGAGATTGCACCACTGAGCTCCAGCCTGGGTGACAGAGTGAGACCCTGTCTCAAAAAACAAAAACAAAACAAAACAAAAAAACAGTTCTCGGCTTGGCATTCCAGGAGGTGTCCTGCCTAACCCTCACAACCATCGGTGAGGTAGCTACCGGTACTACCTACTCAGGCAAGTGACAAAGCTCAGAGATGTTGGGCATCTTACCCAGAGTCATACAATTGGTAGGTTGTAGACAAACCAGTAAGTTTGAATCCAGCTCTGCCTGACACCAAAGCCCATGGTTACCCTAAAACCAAGCAGGGCTGATGACCTCCAGCAGTCCCCTGAATTGGGTCTCAGCCTCCTGCCCTTTGAGTGAGATGACCCTTGGTGGGGGTCCACCAATCTTTTCTTTCTTTTCTTTTTTTTCTTTTTTTTAGACGGGGTCTCCCTCTGTCACCCAGGCTGGAGTGCATGATTACAGCTCACTATAGCCTCAACTTCCCTGGGCTCAGGTAATCGTCCCATCTCAGCCTCCCAAGTAGCTGGGACTACAGGTGCCTGCCACCACACCTGGCTACATTTTTTTGTATTTTTTGTAGAGACGAGGTTTCGCCATGTTGCCCAGGCTGGTCTCGAACTCCTGAGCTCAAGTGATCTGCCCACCTCGGCCTTCCAAAGTGCTGGGATTACAGGCGTGAACCACCGAGCCCGGCCACACCCATCTTTTCTAGATGCAGCAGCTTTCAAACCCGTAAAGTGGTAACAATACAAAATGCATTTGACACCTCTGTGCTTTAGGTATGTACAGACATGTGCACAAACAGCCACAGCAAAGCAGCACCTGCTACACAGAGCACCATGGTGTATGCCACGGGTCCTGATTGGGTTTTACAGGCTTTCCCGGAATTCTGAAGGCTGTGCCACTGTTCCAGCATGTTCTAAGAGTCCCCGAGGCTGCCTTCCAGCTGTTCTGCATGACTGAGGGCTGGCATGTTACCGAATCTCTTCTCCCCCCTCAGCATCACTTCACTTCCATCCCTGAAGGTAGTGACCGTGTCCTGGAGCCACAATCTTCCAGTCATCACAGGGGCCCCAGTTGCAGTTTCTTCTCCTAAAGACCTCTTTGGAGACAGAGGGCAGCAACCTGCCTACTGTCTGCAGGGAATGCCCCTCCATGAGTCACCCACCCACCAAAGCCCAGCAACCCTTGAGACTCACAGAAAGCCAGTCCCCAGCTTGCCCGTAGCCCATCCCTATGTCCTTTTTAGAATGTCAGCAGATCTTGCCTTCTCTCTGCCATCCTATTCCCCAAAAACTGGGAGAGGAGCCAAAAAAAACCCTCTCCCAGAATCACTGCACTCATGACAGTTCAAGATCAAGTAACAAACGGAACCATCCGCTGCACACCTGGAAGGAGGCCAGCACTCATTCAGCCGCCAGATGCCTATCCAGGATGCACTCCCTGTGAGGCACTGCTCATCCACTCCTTGGGGCTGGGGCTCTGTCTGGCAGGGGAGCTGCCAGGACAGCCAGCAGACAGAACACAGACACCCGAGCTCAACCAAGGCAGGTGCTGGGAGCACACAGGAAAGAGGCCAGTGACAGGTGTGGCGGGGAGTAGCAGGGTTGGTCACATTTGAGAGGAGACCTTGTGGGTGGGTGAGGAGTGGGCTTTGGGGGTGCTGGTGGCTGAGGGTCCCAGGCACAAGGCCCTGGGTGGGACGTAACCAGTGGGTTCTGGAAAATGAAGGAAATCCAAGAAGAGTGAGGAGGGGAAAGTGCAGTGTGGTGGGCAGAAGACACCTCATGTGAGGCCTTATGGGCTGTGGTAAGGAAGGTGCCATGGAAAACAATAGGAGGGTTTAAAGTAAGAAAGTGTCATGAACTGACATGTTGTTTCAGAAGTTGTCTCAGAGTGGGCTGGGCGTGGTGGCTCACGCCTGTAATCCCAGCACTTAGGGAGGCCGAGGTGGGCAGATCACAAGGTCAGGAGTTCGAGACCAGCCTGGCCAACATGGTGAAACCTGGTCTCTACTAAAAATACAAAAATTAGCTGGGCGTGGTGGCAGGCACCTGTAATCCCAGCTACTGGGGAGGCTGAGGCAGGAGAATCACTTGAACCTGGGAGGCAGAGGTTGCAGTGAGCCAAGATCATGGCATTTCACTCCAGCCTGGGTGACAAGAATGAGACTCCGTCTCAAAAAAAAAAAAAAAAAAAAAAGAAGTTAATCAGAGTGGCATGCACCTGCAGTTCCAGCTACTGGGGAGGCTGAGGTGGGAGGATTGCTTGAGGCCAGGAGTTCGAAGTTTCAGTGAGCTATGATGGCATCACTGCACTCCAGTGTGGGTGACCGAGGGACACCCTGTCTCAAATACAATACTGCCTACTGTCTGCAGGGAAGGCCCCTCCATGAGTCACCCACCCACCAAAGCCTAGCAAACCTTGAGACTTACAGAAAGCCAGTCCCCAGCCCTGTCTCAAAAATGAAAAATAGGCCTGGCGCGGTGGCTCACACCTGTAATCCCAGCACTTTGGGAGGCAGAGGCGGGCGGATCACGAGGTCAGGAGATCGAGACCATCCTGGCTAACACAGTGAAACCCTCTCTCTACTGAAAATACAAAAAAAATTATCTGGGCATGGTGGCGGGCGCCTGTAGTCCCAGCTACTCGGGAGGCTGAGGCAGGAGAATGGCGTGAACCCGGGAGGCGGAGCTTGCAGTGAGCCGAGATTGCGCCACTGCACTCCAGCCTGGGTGACAGAGTGAGACTCCGTCTCAAAAAAAAAAAAAAAAGAAAAAAAGAAAAACCGGAACTTATCCCTCCCAATAGCCATGCTTTATTAATGTTTTATGATACTAATTGCTACAATTTATGAAGAGTCCGTTAATCTTCTAACAACCCAGACAATAGATATTATTACCTCTGTGCTATCAGTGGGGAAGGCTGACTCTGGCCAAGATTTGAGTGCGATCTGACTGCCTTCAGAGCTCAGGTTCCTGATGGAGAGGAGGCAGGCGCTACTTGACGTGTAGTGGTCGGGGAAACCCTCAGCTTCTCTCCTTCACTGTCTGCACATCCTCTCTGGGCCCCCCCTGGGCATTTTCTGACTGTTTGATCATTGAGTGGCTTAAGTGGTCCCTGAGCTCAGAGTGACAGAGCACCATCCACAGGATGGGGGCCTGGGGCTAGTGGCATCTGTGCTCCTTAACTGAGAACAGGCTTCCTCGAAGCTCACTGGTGCTGACTGGCTGATACCACTCATAATGGCACACCTGGCAGGGGGATCCCTCCATCCCCTCCCCTTTGTCATTGTTCCAGAAATCTTCACTCAAAATCTCAGCCTGTGCTTTAGTTCAGGGTGACAATCATGCTGCCTCTCCGTGTCCATACTAGAAAGGCAGGAAAAAATCTCTATTCCTTTCACCTAAGCCCTCATAGATTTGGAGTTTTCCCAAAGAAATGTTTCCTGCCGGGCGCGGTGGCTCACGCCTGTAATCCCAGCACTTTGGGAGGCCGAGGCAGGTGGATCACGAGGTCAGGGGTTCGAGACCAGCCTGACCAACATGGTGAAACCCCGTCTCTACTAATAATACAAAAATTAGCCGGGCGTGGTGGCAGTCATCTGTAATCCCAGCTACTCAGGAGGCTGAGGCAGGAGAATTGCTTGAACCCGGGAGGCGGTGGTTGCAGTGAGCCGAGATTGCACCACTGCACTCCAGCCTGGGTGACAGAGCAAGACTCTGTCTAAAAAAAAGAAATGTTTCCTATGAAATATATCAAACCCCACTGGAGGCCGGGCGCAGTGCCTCATGCCTGTAATCCCAGCACTTTGGGAGGCCAAGGCGGGTGGATCACGAGGTCAAGAGATCGAGACTATCCTGGCCGACATGGTGAAACCCTGTCTCTACTACAAATACAAAAAATTAGCTGGATGTGGTGGTGAATGCCTGTAGTACCAGCTACTCGGGAGGCTGAGGCAGGAGAATCGCTTGAAACTGGAAGGCGGAGGTTGCAGTGAGCTGAGATCGCGCAACTGCACTCCAATCTGGGCAACAAAAGTGAAACTCCATCTCAAAAAAAAAAACCCACTGGATAGGCAGAGCAAGTTTTACTGTATTTTATTTACCCTATTTTATTTGTTTGAGACAAGGTCTTGCTTTGTCACCCACACTGAAGTGCAGTGGCGCCATCATAACTCACTGCAACCTCAAACTCCTGGGCACAAGCGATCCTCTGGCCTCAGCCTTTTGAGTAGCTGGGACTACAGCTGCAAGTCACAACCCCTGGCTAATTTTTCAATTTTTGCAGAGACAGAGTTACCAAGGCTTATTTTGAACTCCTAGACTCAAGTGATCCTCCTGCCTTGGTCTCCCAGAGTGTTGGGATTACAGGCGTGAGCCAGCAAGCCTGGCCTAGAGCAAGTTTTAGAGTACAGTTTGTTATTGTTTGTATGGCTGCTTTTTTTTTCTTTCTTTCTTTCTTTTTTTTTTTTTTTTTACAGAGTCTCACTCTGTTGCCCAGGCTGGAGTGCAGTGGCACAATCTCAGCTCACTGCAACCTCCGCCTCCTGGATTCAAGCAATTTTCCCACCTTAGCCTCCTGAGTAGCTGGCACTAGAGGCACGTACCACCATGCCCAGCTAATTTTTTGTATTTTTAGTAGAGACGAGGTTTCACCATGTCGGCCAGGCTGGTCTTGAACTCCTGACCTCAAGTGATCTGCCCACCTCAGCCTCCCAAAGTGCTGGGATTACAGGCATGAGCTACCACGACCGACCTGTTATGGCTTTTTTAAATTATTTATTTATTTATTTATTTATTTATTTATTTTATTTTTTCAAGACAGGGTCTTGTTCTGTCACCACGGTTAGAATGCAGTGGTACTATCTTGGCTCACTGCAGCCTCGACCTCCTGGATTCAAGCAGACCTCCCACTTCAGCCTCCAGAGTAGCTAGGACTACAGGTATGTGCAACCATGCCTGGTCAATTTTAGTTTTTTGTACAGCCAAGGTCTCAGTATATTGCCCAGGCTGGTCTCAAACTACTGGGCTCAAGTGATCCTTCCACTTCCACCTTCCAAAGTGCTGGGATTACAGACGTGAGTCACCATGCTTGGCCTGTTACGGCTTTATTGAGATTTATTTCACATACCACAAAATGCACCCTTTTAAAGGCTACAGTTCAGTGATTTTTAGCATATTCACAGATATGTGTGACCATCACCACAATCTAACTTTAGATTATTTCAACTCCCTGAACCCTGACCACTTGACAGTCATTCCCCATTCCTGCACCCTCCTCCCTGCCACCTACCTCCTCACCCCGACCCACAGCCCTAGGGAATTAGTAATTTACTTTCTATCTGTATGGATTTCCCATTGCAGACACTTCCCACAAATGGAATTATGCAACATGTCATCTTTTGTGATAATCTTCTTTCTACATGTTTCCAAAATTCATCTATGTTGTAGCATGTATCAGTACTGATGCAGGGCAGGCAAGCCCCCAAATTGGGGTTTAGCAGAGGAGGATTCTTGGTTTTGTCTGGGAAATAATTCAAGGGTGAGCCGGTGGTGTTAGACAGCAGCTTTTATTGAAGCGACAGTGCACAGCAGCAGAGGTGCTGTTCCTTGTGGAGCGGGGCTACCCCGCAGGCCGTGTGCTCAGAGTAGCAGCTCAGAGGTGGGTCTGCACTCATAGTTACACCCACTTTTAATTGTATGCAAATTAAGGGGTAGATTATGCAGAAATTTGTAGGAAAATTTTGGTAACTTTTGGGTCATTGGGTCGTTGCCATGGAAAGGGGTGGTAATTTCTGGCTATTGCCGTGGCAATGGTAAACTGAAATGCTGCACTGGTAGGCATGTCTTATGGAGAACTGCTTCCACTCCATCTTTGTTTTAGCTAGTTCTCAATTTGGTCCAGTGTCCAAGAGCTGACTCTGGTGTCAAGTCCCACCTCCTACCTCAGTATTTCATTCTTTTTTTTTTCTTTTTTTATTTATTTATTTATTTATTTTTTTTTTGAGACAAGAGTCTCTCTCTGTTGCCTAGGCTGGAGTGCAATGGCGTGATCTCGGCTCACTGCAACCTCTGCCTCCCAGGCTCAAGCGAGTCTCCTATCTCACCCTCCCGAGTAGCTGGGACTACAAGTGTGTGCCAGCATGCCCGGCTAAGTTTTGTATTTTTAGTGGAGAAGGGGTTTCACCATGTTGGTCAGGCTGGTCTTGAATTTTTGACCTCAAGTGATCCATCCACTTTGGCCTTCCAAAGTGCTGGGATTACAGGCATGAGTCACTGCGCCCAGACTGAATAATTTTTTCTTGTATGGATATATCATATTTTACTTATCCATTCATCGGTTGATGGATATTTAGGTTGTCAGTACATGAACATTTGTGTACAAGTTTTTTTTGTGTGTTGACATATGTTTCAGCTCTCTTGAGTATATCCTAAGGAATAGAATTGCTGGATTTTACAATAACTCTAGGTTTAACATTTTGAGGAACTGCCAAACTGTTTTCCAAAGTGGCTGCCCCACCAGCCATGTAATAAGCATTCTAATTTCTCCACATTCTTGTCAACACTTGTTATTGTCTGTCTTTTTACTGCAGCCACCCTAATATGTATGAAGACGTAGCTCATGGTTTTGATTTGTATTCCCCTGATGACTACTGATGTTGAAAATCTTGGCCAGGAGCGGTGGCTTATGTCTGTAATCCTAGCACTTTGGGAGGCTGAGGCGGGCGGATCACGAGGTCAGGAGATCGAGACCATCCTGGCTAATGGTGAAACCCCATTTCTACCAAAAATACAAAAAAATTAGCCGGGCATGTTGGTGGGCGCCTGTAATCCCAGCTACTCGGGAGGCTGAGGCAGGAGAATGGCATGAACCCGGGAGGCAGAGCTTGCAGTGAACCGAGATCGCACCACTGCACTCCAGCCTGGGTGACAGAGCGAGACTCCATCTCAAAAAAAAAAAAAAAAAAAAGAAAATATTTTCATGTATATAATAGCTATTGGCATATCTTCTTTGGATAAATGTATTCAGATCCTTTGCTTATTTTTATTTAAATTGGGTTGTCTTTTTATTGTTGAAGTTTTATTGTTCTTTATATATTCTAGATATGAGTCCCTTATCAAATATATGATTTGAAAATGTTTTTTCCCGCCAGGTGTGGTGGTGCATGCCTATAATCCCAGCTCAGGAGGATCACTTGAGCCCAGGAGGTCAAGGTTACAGTGAGCCATGATCATATCACTGCATTCCAACTGGAGCCACAGAGTGAGTCCCTGTCTCAGAAAAAAAAAAACCACACACACACACACACACACAAACACACACACACTTTTTCTTCCATCCAATGATTGGTTGTCTTTTCACTTTCCTAATAGTATCCTTTGACACACACAGTTTTTAATTTTTATGAAGTCCAATCTATCAATTTTTTTTCTTTTATAGGTTGTGCTTTTGGTGTCGCAGCTAGAAGATCCTCACACCTCAGCCTCCCAAGTAGCTGGGACTACAGGCATACACCACCATACCTCACTAATTAAAAATTTTTTTTTGCCTGTGCATGGTGGCTCATGCCTATAATCCTAGCACTTTGGGAGGCTGAGGTGGGCAGACCACTTGAGGTCAGGAGTTTGAGACCAGCCTGGCCAACATGGTGAAACCCCGTCTCTACTAAAAATACAAAAATTAGCAAGGCGTGGTGGTGGGAGCCTGTAATTCCAGCTACTCGGGAGGCTGGGGCAGGAGAATCACTCTAGCCCAAGAGGTGAAGGTTTCAAGGAACTGAGATTGTGCCACTGCACTCCAGCCTAGGCAACAGGGTGAGACTCCATCTCAAAAAAGAAAAAAAAAAAAGAGGAAAAAAATTTTTTTGGTAGAGAGGGGGTCCTGCTATATTGCCCAGGGTGGTCTTGAACTCGGTGTCCAAAAGTGCTGGGATTACAGGACCTGCCACCACACCCGGCTAATTTTTGTATTTTTAGTAGAGATGGGGTTTCACCACGTTGGCCAGGCTGGTCTCGAACCCCCCGGGCTCAAGGGATCCGCCTAACTCAGCCTCCCAAAGTGCTGGGATTACAGGCATGAGCCACCGGCCTGGCCTCTTCTCACATTCTTGATGATGTCTCGTGACGTACAGAAGTTTTAAATTTTTCTGTTTTTTCTTCCATTGTTCAAGCTTTTGGTGCCAAATCTAAGAATCCATTGTCATATTCAAGGACATGAAGATTTACCTTATGTTTTTTTTCTAAGAGTTTTAGATTTTATTTTAGAGTCTATGGTCTATTTTGAGTTAATTTTTGTAGACAGAGTGAGATAGTGGTCCAATTTCATTCCTGTGCATGTGGTTATCCAGTTGTCCCAGCACCATTTTTTTTTTTTTTTTTGAGATGGAGTCTTGCTCTATCGCCCAGGCTGGAGTGCAGTGGTGCAATCTCGGCTCACTAACCTCCGTCTCCCGGGTTCACACCATTCTCCTGCCTCAGCCTCCCGAGTATCTGGGACTACAGGCACCCGCCACCATGCCCGGCTAAGTTTTTATATTTTTAGTAGAGACGGGGTTTCACCATGTTAGCCAGGATGGTCTCGATCTCCTGACCTTGTGATCCGCCCACCTCGGCCTCCCAGCGTGTTGGGATTACAGGTGTGAGCCACTGCACCCAGCCTCCAGCACCATTGTTTTAGAAAAGATTATCATTTGCCCCATCGAATGGTCTTGGTAACATTGTCAAATATCAAATTGACATCCAGTGTGTATCATGGATGTAAAAAATATATGTATCAGTTGACCATAAATATTTGGGTTTATTTCTGGATTCTTAATTCTTTTCCATAGGTCTATTTATCTAGCCTTATGCCAGTACCACACTGTTTAGATTACTGCAGCTTTGTAGTAAGTTTTGATATTGGGAAATGTAAGTACTGCTACTTTGTTTTAAATTTTGTTTTCACTATTTGAGGCCCCTTGGAGTTTCCTATTTAGTGGATTCCTTAGAATTTTCTACATACAATCTCATGTCATCTGCAAATAGAGACAGTTTTACATCTCTATTTGTGGATGGCTTTTATTTCTTTTTCTTGCCTAATTGCCTGGGCTAAAACTCCCAGTAGAATGTTGACTAGAAGTGGTAAGAGTGGACATCTTTTCTGTTTCCTGATCTTAGAGGGAAAGCTCTCAGTCTATTAATTTAATAGCATGAAATACAATATTAGCTGTAGTTTTTTTTTTTTTTTAGACAGTGTCTCCCTCTGTCACCCTGGCTGGAGTGCAGTAGCTCAATCATGGCTCACTGCAGCCTCGATCTCCTGTGCTCAAGCAATCCTCCTACTTCAGCCTCCCAAGTAGCTGGGACTACAGGTGTGAACCACCATGCCTGGCTAGTTTTTGTATTTTTTGTAGAGATGGGCTTTCACCATGTTGCCCAGGCTGGTCTTAAACTCCTGGGCTCAAGCAAGCCACCCACTTCAACCTCCCAAAGTGCCAGGATTATAGGCATGAGCCACCCTGCCTGGCCTAGCTACAGATTTTTCATAGGTATGTTTATCAGGTTGAGGAAGTTTCCTTCTATTCCTAGTTTATTGAATTTTATAATCATAAAAGAGTGTTGAATTTTGTCTTGCTTTTTCAGCATCTATTGAGATGATCATGTAATTTTTATTCTTTATTCTCTCAATTTTGTGTGTTTCATTGATTGATTTTCAAATATTAAACCAACCTTGTATTCCTGGGTAAATCCCACTTGGTCATGGTGTATAATCCTTTGTATACGTTTCTTGATTTGTTTTGCTGGTGTCTTTTTGTTGTTGTTGTTTTGAGACAGAGTCTCACTCTCTCTTCCATGCTGGAGTGCAGTGGCGTGATCTCAGCTCACTGCAACCTCCACCTCCTGGGTTCAGGCAATTCTTGTGCCTTAGCCACCAGAGTAGCTGGGATTACAGGTGTGTGCCACCACACCCAGCTAATTTTTGTATTTTTATTAATAGTAGAGATAGGGTTTTGCTATGTTGGCCAGGCTGGTCTCCAACTCCTGGCCACAAGTGATCCACCTGCCTCGGCCTCCCAAAGTGCTGGGATTACAGGTGTGAGTCATCACACCCAACCGGTTTGCTTGTAGCTTGTGGAGGACTTTTGTTTCTATAGTCACAAGGGATATTAGTCTGAAGTTTTCTTGTGATAACTTTTTCTAGCTTTGGTATCAGGGTAATACTGGCCTCACGGTTCCTTCCTCTTCTTTTTTTGAAAGAGTTTGTGAGGGATTTGTATTAATTTTTCTTTAAATATTCGATAGAAATCACCAGTGAAGCCATCTGGGTCTGGAATTTTCTTTGTTGAAAGTTTTTAAATGACTAATTAAATCTTTTTCCATGTTGTAAGTCTGTTCAGATTATTTATGGGTTCTCCTTCTTATGTCAGTTTTGGTAATTTATGTCTTTCTAGGAATTTTTTCATCTCTTCTATTTCTCTAACTTGCTGGCATGCAGTTGTTCACAGTGTTCCCTTATTATCCCTTTACTTGTGTGTGTGTGTGTGTGTGGAGATGGACTCTTGTTCTGTCTTCTAGGCGGAGTGCAGTTACACGATCCCAGCTCACTGCAACCTCTGCCTCCCAAGTTCAAGTGATTCTCCTGCCTCAGCCTCCTGAGTAGGTGGGATTACAGGCGCCCGCCACCATGCCTGGCTAATTTTTGTATTTTTAGTAGAGACAGGGTTTCACATGTTGGCCAGGCTGGTCTTGAACTCTTGACCTCAAATGATCCACCCGCCTCGGCCTCCCACAGTGCTGGAATTACAGGTGAGAACCACTGCACCCAGCCCCCCTTTACTTTTTATAAGTATTGATAGCTCCCTTTTCATGCCTGAGGTATTAATCTGAGTCTTCTCTTTTTTTTTTTTCTTGGTCAGTCTAGCTAAACAGTTGTCATTTTGTTGCTCTTTTCCAAGAAAAAACTTTTGGTTTTACTGACTTTCTCTATTTTTTCTATTTCCTATTTCATTTATTTTTACTCGTACCTTTATTATTTCCTTCCTTTGGCTTTCTTTTGGTTGAGTTTGCTCTTCTTTTTCTAGTTTCTTAAGGCAGAAGTTTAGATTATTAATTAGAAATCTTTCTTCTTTTCTAATATTGACGTAGTTACAAATGTCTCTCTAAGCACTGCTTTAGCTGCATCCAGTAAGTTATGTTATGTTGTGTGTTAGTTTCCATTCATCTCAAGATATTTTCTAATTTCCCTGTGATTTCATCTTTCACTCATTGATTATTTAGGAGTGTTTTAAAATTTCTACATATTTCTAGCCGGGCATGGTGCCTCACGCCTGTAATCCCAGCACTTTAGGAGGCCAAGGCAGGCAGATCACTGGAGGTCAGGAGTTCGAGACCAGCCTGGCCAACATGGTGAAACCCCGTCTCTATTAAAAATACACAAATTAGCCGGGTGTGGTGATACACTCCTGTGGTCCCAACTACTTGAGAGGCTGAGGCAGGAGAATCACTTGAACCCAGGAGGCAGAGGCTGCAGTGAGGCGAGATAGCGCCACTGCACTCCAGCCTGGAGGACAGAGCAAGACCCACCTCGAAAAAAAATAAATTCTACATATTTGTTAATTTCCTCGGTTGTCATTTTCTAATTTAATTCCATTGCAGCTGGGGAACAGCCTTTATATAATTTCAATCATTTTCCATTTATTGAGGCTTGTTTTAAGGCCTAGTATAAGTCTATCCTGAAGAGTGTGTCATGCGTAGCTGAGAACAATGTGTGTTCTGCTGCTGTGTGGAGTGTTTCGATGTCTTTCAGGTCTTGGCTTACAGTGTTGTTCAAGGCTTCTACTTCCTTGTTGATCTTCTGCCTCGTTGATTTATCCGTTATTGAAAGTGGGGGCTGGGAGCAGTGGCTCACGCTTGTAATCCCAGCAGTTTGGGAGGACGAGGTGGGTGGATCACGAGGTCAGGAGATCGAGACCATCCTGGCTAACACGGTGAAACCTCGTCTCTACTAAAAATACAAAAAATTAACCGGGCATGGTGGCGGGCACCTGTAGTCCCAGCTACTCGGGAGGCTGAGGCAGCAGAATGGCGTGAACCCGGGAGGCGGAGCTTGCAGTGAGCAGAGATCGTGCCACTGCACTCCAGACTGGGCAACAGAGTGAGACTCCGCCTCAAAAAAAAAAAAAAAAAGGAAAAGAAAGTGGGGTATTGAAGTCTCCAACTACTATATTGAATGGTCTAATTCAGTTCAGTTCCCTTCAGTTTTATTAGTTTTTGCTTCATGTATTTTGGGCTCTGTTGTTAGGAGTATATATGTTTACAATCATTTTATCTTCCTCATAAACTGCCTCTTTTATCATTATAAAAGATATTGTATCTTTAGTAACAATTTTTTTTTTTTTTTTGGAGACAGAGTCTTGTTCTGTCGCCTAGGCTGGAGTGCAGTGGTGCTATCTCGGCTCACTGCAACCTCTGCCTCCCAGGTTCAAGCAATTAGGAGCTCCTGTCTCAGCCTCTGGAGTAGCTGGGACTATAGTGCATGCCACCACGCCCAGCTAATTTTTGTAGTTTTAGTAGAGATGGGGTTTCACCATGTTGGTCAGGCTAGTCTTGAACTCCTGACGTCAGGTGATCCACACATCTTAGCCTCCCAAAGTGCTGGGATTACAGGCGTGAGCCACCTCGCCCAGGCTTCAGTAAGAATTTTTGTCTTAAAGTCTAATTTGTCTCACGCTTGTGTAGCCACCCTAGCTCTCTTTTAATAACTCCTCACATGGTTTCTTTTTGCATCCTTCTACTTTCAACTCTTGTGTCTTTGACTCTAAAGTAAATCTCTCACAGATCATTTTATTTTATTTTATCCATTCTGGGCTGGGCCCGGTGGCTCACACCTGTAATCCCAGCCCTTTGGGAGGCCCAGGTGGGAGCATCACTTGAGCCCAGGAGGTTGAGACCAACCTGGTTAAGATAGCATGACCTCGTCTCTACAAAAATTTTGTTTTTAAAATTAGCCAAGCGTGGTGGCGTGGCCCTGTAGTCCCAGCTATTTGGGAGGCTGAGGTGGGAGGATTGCTTGAGCCCAGGATGTCAAGGCTGCAGTGATCTAGGATCACACCCCTGCATTCCAGCCTGGGCAATTGAGCAAGTCCCAGTCTTATAAAAAGAAAAAAATAATAATCCATTCTGCCAATTTCTGCCTTTTGATTGGGGTGTTAAATTCATTTACATTCAATGTATCACTAATAAGCTAGGATTTATGTCTGCCATTTTGCTAATTGTTTTCATATGTCTTGCCTTTTTTGTTCCTCTATTCCTTGATTCTGCCTTCTTTCTTTCCTTCTTCCTTCCTTCCTTCCTTCCTTCCTTCCTTCCTTCCTTCCTTCCTCCCTCCCTCCCTCCCTCCCTCTCTCCCTCTCTCTCTTTCTTTCTTTTTTTTTTGGAGACACAGTTTCACTCTGTTGCCCAGGCTGGAGTGCAGTGGTGCCATCTTGGCTCACTGCAACCTCCGCCTCCCCAGTTCAAGCAATTCTCTTGCCTCAGCCACCCGAGTAGCTGGGATTACAGGCGTGCACCACCACCCCCAGCTAATTTTGTATATTTAGTAGAGACGGGGTTTCACCATATTGGCCAGGCTGGTCTCAAATTCCTGGCCTCAAGTGATCTCCCCACCCTGGCCTCCCAAAGTGCTGGGATTACAGGCATGAGCCACCATGCTTGGCCTTCTCTGATTCTTGAAGGGGCCTGAAGTAGATAGGGAATCCCTGCATTCCAATATCTGTTGTCAATGCAAAAATTTTCACGGCCAGTTCTCTGTCAGGGTCAGGGTCATGGGGAGGTTTCTTATGGGGCAAGGGTTGGGGTCAAGGAATTTGAGGAACTTGAATAGGGCAGGGCTGAGGAAATCAGAGCCTGGTCAGGAGCTAGACTTCTCCCTGTACCAGTGGGGGTGCTCGGGGATTATTGCAGGCCGTAAAGAAAGCTAAGCATTAGGCGAGGGACCACCAGAGAAGACAAAAGTGGTCCCCTTCCTCAAGAACTTAGAATTAAGATGATAAGGAGAGTGGGGTGCCGTGGCTCATGCCTGTAATCTCAGCACTTTGGGAGGCCGAGGCAGCAGGATCCATTGAAGCCAGGAATTCAAGAACATCCTGCACAAAGAAGCAAGACCCCATTTCTACAAAAAAATACAAAAACATTAGGCAGGAGTGGTGGTGTGTGCCTGTAGTCCAGCTAACTCAGGAGGCTGAAGCAGGAGGATCACTTGAGCACAGCAGTTAGAGGCTGCAGTGAGCTGTGTTCAGGCCACTGCACTCCAGCCTGGGTGACAGAGCAAGACCTGTCTCAAAAAAAAAAAAAAAAAAGATGATAAGGGAGCCTTCTGAGTAAAGAACAGCTCCACTCCACCTGTGGTGGAGCTAAGAGACCGCCATGTGTGCCTGCCCACACTCCTACCCGGGACAGCCTAAACCATCCACACAGGGAGGCGGGATCAGAATGTGGCTGTAACTTGGGGCACCGACGCCGCCTGGGTGTCCTGGACACAGCCTGGAGAAAGTCTAGAGACAGGGCTGTCACATCTAGAACAATGGTTTCTGATGAGCTTGGGAGCACCCTGTCCAAATTGAATCCTCCCTAGAAACCCAGCAATGTGAGACAGAACCAAGAGTGGCTCAGATGGAGGCCGTGGGAGCTTGGATGCCTGCACACTTGGTCCTCTCATATACCTGTTGGTGGTCACAACCCCATGGTGGCTCCAGGGAACACAGTTTGACCATCACGGACCTGGGTTTTAGAGTCAGGCAAGAGAGACAGAGGCTGGCAGTTGTGAGTGTCCGGCACTTGCAGGATTTGTGCCCACCCTCAGCGCTCACAGCCTGGTGGGAGGCCAGGCCCTGGTGCCCAAGGCAGCCCCTTCCCTACAGCTGGGACAGGAGGCCACAGGTTCTCAGACACCTGGTGCCTCCTGCTTCCCTGACTCTGATTCCTGGTCTCCCCAGTAGATGAGACTGAGACCACTGCGGCAAACACAACTCAACGTCCCTGTCCCTGCAACAGTTATTCCTATCGCTGTACTTAATAGACTGGCAGCCTCATCCATGCCTCCGTTTCTTAGAGGCTTGGCCAGCTGGTTTCAGCTCAGGCTCAGGACAGAGCCAGTCCGTGTGCCAGAAAATCAAGAAACACTCAGAGCCTGAGAACAGAGGATCAGAACTCAGATACCAGAGCACCACCAAGGAAGGAGGCCACCTAACCAGCTCCCTTGCCTGAGGCCCAAGAATATGCCCAACCTTCTAGTTACTTAAGTTCTCTGAGCCTTGGTTCCCCCATCTGTAAAATGGGGATGGTACAAAATTCAAGGTCTTCCGTAAAAATGAAATGAAACCGATGTTTGTGAAAAGTTATCTGCATACTGGCTGGCACCTAGTAGGTGCTCAGTAAATGTGCATTCCCTCCTCTTTCATCTCATGCTAGTGATTGTGATGAACTCACTGGGTCACAGTGAGGTCTCTGAGTCAGTTTACAGTAAAGACGTACTCTCTGAAAAGCACGTTCTATTGTTCAAGCCCCTATAATTGAGAAGGCCTCCTGCAGGAGTCAGGCAGGCCCAGACTGGGAAGCGGTAACTGCTAGGGTCTCAGGAGGAAGGAATTTCAAGCCAGGAGGCTTCAGGGAGGCAGTGGCCTGTGAGCTCTGGGGAGGTCAGTTTTGAGTCCACTGGAGACACGGTGGGGTCACAGGAAGCAAATGAGGACATCTTCTGGCCAGAAGGGACTCAGAAGGGGCTCTCCGGGGAGTGTGGAGAAGCCAGGCCCAAAGGGGCAGGGCACGGCTGCTGGGCAAAGTGCTGGCTCTCGAGAAGGGGCCGCAGCCTTCAGAGGCCTCAGCCTGCCCATGATGCTCCTCGGCCCCTTCAGGAAATCTGCCTTGCTTTATGGGACCTATTTCAGACTTCCTTCACTCTGCTCAGACATTCCCTGCCACCTTCATGCCCAGCAGAGGTCCTCACCTTCCACTTCACTGAGGAAAGAGCCATCAGCTGGGAGCAACCCCAATGACCTGCTGCCAACACTGCCTGCTAGTGTGCCCCTGCCACCTCCCTCTCTTCCTACTACACCTGGGGATGCATCTGCTAGGAGCACAGGCTACTGCTGCTTCATGGGCTCTGGGCCCAGCTCTTCCTCTCTCTCTGTCTCTCACCTGGATCATTCCCATTGGCAAGTAAATATGTGCTTTCATCTTTTTTTTTTGGTTGTTTGTTTTTGAGACAGGGTCTTGCTCTGTTGCCCAGGCTGGACTGCAGTGGCATGATCATGGCTCATCACTGCAGCCTCAACCTCCCAGGTTCAAATGATCTTCCTGCCTCAGCCTCCCAAGTAGCTGGGACTACAGGCATGCCCCACCATGCCTGGTTATTTTTGCATTTTTTGTAGAGTTGAGGTCTCACTATGTTGTCCAGGCTGGTCTCAGACTCCTGGGCTAAAGGGATTCTCCTGCCTCGGCCTCCAAATGTGTTGGGATTACAGGCATGAGCCACCATGCCTGGCTGCTTTCATCTTTTCATGAAAGTTTCCCTCAAGCCACATATTTTCCCATTTTGTTCTGTAAATATCTCTTCACAATCGGACTTCTCACAAGAGTGGTCTATGTATGCGCTCTTCCCTCCCTCACTTTATTAGCTCATTCCATCTGGTTTCTGCCTCCACTGTGCCTCCAAATCTGCCAGACAGATAGTCTATTTCTTCATTAGCTTAGTGTCTGTCTCTCAGTAGAAGATAAGCTTTGTGAGGGCAGGAACCTATCTGTTTGGCTCATTATTTATATTTTCAGTACCCAGCACAGTACTGATATAAAGTAGACATTCAACAAATAT
This sequence comes from Homo sapiens, assembly GCF_000001405.40. NCBI lineage: Eukaryota > Metazoa > Chordata > Mammalia > Primates > Hominidae > Homo > Homo sapiens. The sequence continues at coordinate 1,211,806 of NT_187383.1, read as the reverse complement.
TTGTGGTATTATCATATGAATTAGCCCTATCTTTTTCAAAAGCATTGTTAGGTTTTGGTATCAGGGTAATGCTGGCCTCATAAATGAGTTGGAAAGTGTTTCTTCCTCTTCTATTTTCCTTCCTTTTTTTTGAGACGGAGTCTCGCTCTGTTGCCCAGGCTGGAGTGTAGTGGCACGACCTCAGCTCACTGCAACCTCCTCTTCCCAGGTTCAAGCAATTATCCTGCCTCAGCCTCCTGAGTAGCTGGGATTACAGGTGCATGCCACCACACCCAGCTAATTTTTTTGTATTTTTAGTAGAGATGGGGTTTCACCACGTTGGCCAGGCTGGTCTTTAACTCTTGATCTCAAGATCCGACCTCAGCCTCCCAAAGTGCTAGGATTACAGGTGTGAGCCATGGTGCCCAGCCATCCTCTTTTATCTTCCAAAAGAGATAGTGGAGAATTGGTATTATTTCTTAAATAACTATTTAAATATTTAAATAATTCAAATATTTAAATAACTATTTAAATATATCAATATTTAAAATTATACTATTTTCTATTTAGAATATTTTAAAATTATTAAAGTAAATTGTTTAAACATTTAAAAAATTCCTTAAATATTTGGTAGAATTTAACAGTGAAACCATCTGGTCCTGAAGTTTTCATTGTTGGGGGGTTTTAAATTACATATTCAATTTCTTTAGGAGGTATAGGACTATTCAGGTTATCTATTTTTTCTTAAGTGAGTTTTGGCAGTCTGAATCTTTCAAAGAATTGGTCTATTTCATCTAAGTTATTGAATTTATGGGCATAAATTTATGGTCTATAGCCAGGCGTGGTGACTCACGCCTGTAATCCCAGCACTTTGGGAGGCCAAGGGGGGCGGATCACGATGTCAGGAGATCAAGACCATCCTGGCTAACCTGGTGAAACCCCATCTCCACTAAAAATACAAAAAATTAGCTGGACGTGATGGTGGGCACCTGTAGTCCCAGCTACTCGGGAGGCTGAGGCAGGAGAATGGTGTGAACCCAGGAGGCGGAGCTTGCAGTGAGCCGAGATGGTGCCACTGCACTCCAGCCTGGGTGACACAGCAAGACTCCGTCTCAAAAAAATAAATAAATAAAAAATAAAAAATAACTTAGGGGTCTGTAGTGATGTCCCTCTTTCATCCCTGATACTGATAATCTGTGCCATCTTTCTTTTTATTCTGTTAGTCTGGCTAGAGGTTTATCAATTTCATTGATTTTTTTTCAAAGAACCAGCTTTTGGTTTCATTGCTTTTCTTCAACTGTTTTCAATTTCATGGATTTCTGCTCCTCTCTTTATTTCCTTCTGCTTGCTTTAGGCTCTCCAAAGACCTTAAAGGATATCTGTTTTATTTATTATAGCACCCCACAGATTTACTGATATTCCCATTTTATAGATGAGGAAGCTAAGGATCAGAAAGTGGTTAGGTAACTTGCCCAATGTCCCAAACTACTAAATGGTGGAGCCAGAACTCAAACCCAGGACTGTCTGACTCCAGAGTCTGTGCTTCTAACTACTGAGTGACATTGCCTCCTAGCCACATAACTCCCAGGCCAGGTCCTTCTACTACAGCAGATGCCTCACTAAACACTGCCAAGGTAAGCAACTTCTCAGCTTACCTTGGGCACTCGGTACCTCCTGCCTTCCCTCCCAGGGACCATCAACTTTCCCCACGGTCCAATTGCCATTCCCTCAATTCTCTTGAACAAAAACCAAAGTGGGCTGGCTTGTACAGGGATCAAGCCTTCAGAATTGCCTTTGTACGTACCTTGGACTTGACTGAACTATAGGTGGTAGAATCTGTTGGTGAAAGACAGAAAAAAAAATGAAAGTTGCATCAGGGAAAAAGAAAGTTGAGTCTTATGCACACAATTCCTCTCCTCAAAGGCTTCAGAAACCAGGGAATTCTGAAACATGAGATCTCCCCAGGCCCTAGGAGTATGATGGACTTCTGATGTCCATCTATGGGAAAGGGATGGAGCAGAAAATGATGTTAATTGCCACTTCCTCTAGAGGCAGGAAGTGACATCAGGCTGCCAGCCACTGGCCCCTCATTTACCGAAGGCTAAGGGCAAGGGGGCATTGTCTTTGAGCCTAGTTCCTCTCTCCTTCCCCGCCTGTCCCTGTTACTCTGAAGCACTGGAGAGAAAATGCTAAATATCAGGTGCAGTCCATGGAAACCACCACAGTGAAACACAGCAAATCACAGATGCTCTGGAGAAATGGAGACCACACAGTGCACCTCCAGACCTGGGGTCACCCTGCCTCATGGGCAGGGTCCCCAGTTATCACCCAGTTATGAAGGAGACTAAAAGCATGATTTCTATGGGACTTGGGTCCCACTCCCTTAATATCACTGGGGTGGAGAAGGAACCAGAAACACGTCCTGGTGGGTCCTCTCCAAGGCTAGAGAGGGAGCAGGTTGGTCCAAGGGCCTCCTGGGGTCCCACAGGGTAGTGGGCAGGTGTGGTTAATCCACACTCTCTGGCAGGCAAGTTAGATGCCCCCCTCTCCGGACCCCTCCCCCTGCACAAGGTGAGAAAAGCAAGATGGGCGACCACACATGACACACGGGGCGCGGGGGGCGGTGGGTGATTAGAAGAGACATGGGGTCCCTCTCTGCCGTCCCACCCCCATGTCTTCTGGCCCCTCCTGAGCCTGCCTCTGGTGACTAGGGAGCTCCTGTGTGCCTCTGTCAGAGACAAACAGAAATGCTAAAACTAAAGAGAGGGACAACAATGGCGGGGGGAGGAGTCAGTGGCTGCAGCCACAAAGGGAGTGGCCCTCATCTGTCTCTGAGCATGTAAATCATCTGTCCTCTGCCATGAGAGGGCCAAAGGCCCTGCAAACAGGACTTAGGGCCCCGGTTTCTTAAGCAGGAGGAGGCGGCCCATTGGGGTGACTGAGGCAGGAGTTAGAGATAAAGAGAAGCTTCTGGGCATGGCATCGCTGGTCTCCAGAGAGTGTCGGTCCCCAGCCCGGATGACTAGCAGTGGTGAGACTCGGCAAAGAGAGGCCACAAGGTCTGTGGCACTGCAGAAGGGCAGCAATTCGATGCCCCGGTGTCCAGGCAACGGGGAGGGCCCTGGGCCCAGTGAGTGCCTCCTTCCTCCTGAGAAGGGGCTCTAGGATGGGAGGGGCATGGACTGCTGGGGTAAGTGGATAACAAGCAGGGGTAACTGGCATGTCAGTGTGGGGTCCTCACAGTCCGGGACATTCTGCCTGCCTCTGTGCCCACCCAGCCTTCTTATAATCACCCGCCACTGTTAGTGACCGAGGCCGCGACACTGCACTGTACTCTTTAAATCTCCAACAGGTCCGCTGGAGGAGGGGAGGGGGAGGAGAAGAGAAAGGGGTGGGAGGAGAGCACGGGGAGAGGAGGAGGGAGAGGTGGGTGTGCAAGGAGAAAAGGAAGAAAAATTAAAAAGAGGAACATGCCCAGAGGGACACAGCCAGCCCATGAGAAATTAAAGGCTGAGGAAAGAAACCAGTGAGAGAGGGGGAACAAAGCTCCAACCCTGCCTGGGGCGGGGCAGCTGCACAGACAGGAGGTGGGCACGGGGCAAGCTGGACTTCCCCAGGGAGGTAGAAGGCCCCCAACAGCCCCATCTCCATGGTGGCTGGCAGGGGAGGGCCCCGCTGGGGTGGCACAGGGAAGCTGGGCATCTGGCCAGGTATCTGGGACCCTCAGGAATGCAGTGTCCACCCTCCTGCCTCCCCACTCCCAGGCCCCTGTGCTCACCTGACCCCGGGTCACCAGGGGGCACTGTCCTGCCAATGTTGGGCAGGAGGTACTCAATGTTGGGCACTGCCTGAGGCTCCTTGCTGCCCACAGGGGTCTGCGAACAGGAGGAGGGGTCAACTGGCATGCCCTCGGATGCTGGGCTGCCGACCCCCCAGAGGGGGGTGCCCTGATGACAGAGCCCGTGTCTCCTCCATCAGACTGGGCTCACTGGGGCAGGGACCGTCTCCCTCATCAGCCGGGTGCTCTTAAGGATGATACCTACATGTCCCCTGTTAGACAGCTTTGTGCTTTCCTCAACATCTCAGAACCACGAAGGCCAGAGCGGCCCCTTCAGCTAGGGGCAGGAGCTGTGTCTCCCGCACTAGACTGGAACTCCTCCAACCTAAGTCCTTCTCAGTAGCCTGGAGGGCAGGAGCTGCCTTTACTCCTGAATTGGGTTCCCTCTGAGCAAGGCCTGTATCTCCCCCATTTAGACTGGGGATTCCTGAAGGCAAGCTTTGTGCTTATCTATCAGACTAGGGGCTCCTGAGGAGAGGGTCTGTGTTTCCTCCATCAGACTTGAGGGAAGCCTCAAGGACAGACACCTTCCCCAGCTTAAGTCTCGCTGCCTGCCCCACCCCCAAGGACTGGGGCTCACCCCAGACCAGCCCCCATGCCAGCCCAGCCCGCAGCATCACTTACTCTCTCTCTCCCTTGTCCTCTTCGTCACTGAAGAACCAGTCTGACTGCAGAGAAGACAAAAGGAAGGGATGAAATCAGCATGGGAAAGAAGAGTCTCTTCCACCTGCTCATTCCAGAGGACCCACTCAGGCGGCAAGGGGAGCCTCTCTCTCAACAAACCCCAGGCTGGTGGGGCTGCAAAAGAGGGCTCAGAGGGAGCTTGATGGATGCTAAAACCTGACTCCACAGACTATGAAAAACCCTGGGGGAGAGAAAAGGTGGGACCCCAGTGTGGGAGGAGACACGGCAGTGAGTGGGAGCGGCCACGTCAGACGGGAGATAGGCTTAGGGAGAGCTTCGCTTTTACTTGCTTTTCTCTAAACACTGTCCTGGGCACACCCCTATGGCATACTCCCCACAGCGAGCCGGGGGGCAGGGAGGCACCAGTGCCGTTAGTGTTGGCCAGGTCCATGGCTGTGACAGCCGAGCATGCCCCAGGCCACCTGCCACCCATGGGTGCCACACTGACAACAGGGGTGTCACATACTCAGCCCAGAAAAGGAAAATGACAGGAGAAAGGTGTTGGAGGTTTCCTGACGGGCAGGAGGCGAGAGCTTTCTCATAAAGGCCAAACAAGAGACAAAATAAAGACCCCCACAGTTTAATATATTTTGTAAAATTTGAGAATCTTGAAGATAAAATTCTAAGTTTTCTGAAAAAAAAATCCAGATTGCTTATAAATGAACACGTATCACAGGTACTTGGAACTTTCAGCAGCAAGACACAAGAAGACAAGACAAGAAAGTAAGTTTTGATGTGTTGAAGGAACCTAGAATTTTATACCCTGCTAAACTCTCATTTAAAAAAATGAGAATGTAAAATAAAGCTATTCTTTTTTTTTTTTTTCCAACAGAATCTCACTCTGTCACCCAGGCTGGAGTGCAGTGGTGCAATCTTGGCTCTCTGCAACCTCTGCCTCCTGTGTTCAAGTGATTCTCTGGCTTCAGCCTCCCAAGTAGCTGGGATTACAGGTGCATGCCATCACGCCTGGATAATTTTTGTATTTTTAGTAGAGATGGGGTTTCGTCATGTTGGCCAGACTGGTCTCAACTCCTGACCTCAAGTGATCCACCTACCTCCACCTCCCAAAGTGCTGGGATTACAGGCATACCACAGATTGTTTTAATCACCCCTTAAGTGAACCTCCTGCTCTCTGGAGCCACCACACCTGGCCTTGAAATAAAGCTATCCTGAGACAGCAGAAAATTTTTTACACAAAGACTCTCTTAATTGAATACTTGAGCAAGTAAAGAGATGGACTTCGGCAAGCTCCAAGAAATAACTAAGGCACTTTTGGCTTTTATTGTATTTATTAATTTATTTTTGAGATAGGGTCTCTCGCTGTTATCCAGGTTGGAATGCTGTGGCATGATCCTACCCTTGAACACCTGGGCTCAAGAGATTCTCCCACCTCAGCCTCCTGAATAGCTGGGACTACAGGCATGTGCCACCTTGCACAGCTAATTAAAAAAAAATTGTAGATTTTGGGATTACAAGCATGAGCCACTGCACCCACCACTTTTGGCTTTTAGATGTGGTGGAAGGAAGACACAGAAACTGATAAGCATTAGAAATTGACAGTGACAGGCTGGGTGCAGTGACTCACACCTGTAATCCCAGAACTTTGGGAGGCTGAGATGGGTGGACCACCTGAGGTCAGGAGTTTGAGACCAACCTGGCCAACATGGTGAAACCCCATCTCTACTAAAAATATAAAAATTAGCTGGGCATGGTTGTGCACACCTGTAATCCCAGCTACTCGGGAGGGTGAGGTGGGGGAATCACTTGAACCCGGGAGGCAGAGGTTGCAGTGAGCTGAGGCCGCACCACTGTACTCCAGCCTGGACAACAAGAGTGAAACTCCATTTCAAAAAAAATAAATGAATAAAAATTAAGTCAATTACCCTTTACCCCCCTCAACACCTATGAAAGAACAGGAACAGGCAATTTATAATCTCATTATGTAGACTCAAAACACACAAAGAATATTATATATATTTAAGGATAGCCATGCATTTACAATAAGTGGAAGGTGTCCTGGAAGGACACATATTAGCCTATTAAGAGTGGGCACCTAGGGGAATGAAGAGGGGAAACAAGGGGACTTGCCTGAGCATGTGCCATGAGCCTCAGTTATTATTGCTCATGATCTGACATGTGATTAAATCAAACAGCACAGGAAGGCCAGAAGGGAAACAAGAAAGAGATAGAAGAGAAGAGAGCGAAGGAAGATAAGAAAAATGCAAGCTCTGGCTGGGCACAGTGGCTCACACCTGTAGTCCCAGCACTTTGGGAGGCTGAGGCAGGTGCATCAGCTGAGGTCAGGAGTTCAATACCAGCCTGGCCAACAGGGTGAAACCCCAGCTCTACTAAAAATACAAAAATTAGCCTGGCATGGTGGCGTGCGCCCATAATCCCAGCTACTTGGGGGTGCTGAGGTGGATCACTTGAACCCAGGAGCTGGAGGCTGCAGTGAGTGGAGACTGCGCTGTTGCACTCCAGCCTGGGCGACAGAGTGAGACTCTGTCTCAAAAAAAAAAAAAAAAAGAAAAGAAAAAGAAAAATGGAAGCTCTGGAGTCAGTTATCTTGGTTCGAGTTCACCTTAGCCAAGTTACTTTCCCTCTGTAAGTCTATTTACTTATCTCTAAAACGGGCATGATGTGAGTACCTCCTTCTAGGCCTGAGGAGGATTGAGATGAAATACTGTATGGAAAATGTTGAGTGCAGCACGTTGTTAATGTATAATAGATGTCAGCTACCGTTATTCAAAAGTGCGTCTTCCAGAGACAGGCTGACCAGGGGGAGCCTGAGGATCGGCCCAAAGAAGCCAGCTGTTAACTCGGGTTGGAAGGTGCCCAGAAGTACTCTGCAAGCCACAGCATCTACAGGAAGTGCCCGGGTGGCCACGGCTCTCAAGAGGAATCCACACTAGTTCCTGCCACCCTGTTTCTGCACATGCTGTTCTTTCCGCCTGGGATGCCCTTTCTCCCTGCTCTGCCTGGCTAAGTTCTCATCATGGTCCTCTAAGGCAGTTCAAGAACTCCATGACTACGACCCCAGCCCTGCACCCAGGGCCAGGGTGGGTCCTTCTGTGGGGCTTCCTTGGACATAGCCCAGAGCAAAAAGAGATGCAGCTCTTACTCTGATAAACATTATTAAATGAATAAATGAATGAGAAACATCATTTTATGGATTTTTTTGTGTGTGTGTGGCAGGGTCTCACTCTGTCACCCAGGCTGGAGTGCAGTGTCGCAATCTCGGCTCACTGCAGCCTCCCACCTCAGCCCCCCAAGTAGTTGAGACCACAGACACGCACCACCACACCCGCTGGCAATATTCCTTCTGAGCAGGTTCCCATTCACCTCCGTGTTTCCAGCATGGGGATCTGTCTCTGGCGTGGAATAATGACCACGAGGAAGAGGATGACATTCAGTTCTCACACAACACTTAGAACCTGCCAGGCACCGCCGTGAGTGCTTTAGCAGACATTCACAACAATGTGAGGTAAACAGTATTGTCATCTCTACAGGTGTGGAGACTGAGGCACAGCAGGTAAGGAACTTGTCCAAGGCCACACAGCACATAGGAGCAGGCTGGCCCTAGAGCCACTGCCGTCAATCTCCCACCCCAGGGGGCACTTGGCAATGTCTGGAGACATTTTTGATTGTGACAACTAGAGTGATATTCCCAGCATCCAGCAGGTAGAAGCCAGCGATTCTGCTAAATGTCCTATAACACACAGAACAGCCTCCCACAATAAAGACTTATCTGGACCTCAGTGGTCACTAGTGCTGAAGCTGAGAAACATTAGGTGTCACTGCCTTTGCTGAGTGAGTCCCTGAGCAAATGCCCTGGGTGATCTTTGTTTGGGTTCCACTTGACTTCGTAAACATAGGTAGAGGCTCCTGGCAACTTGCCCGCTGCAAGATCAGACATCCAGGTTTGCTCTCCTCTCTGCTCTGCCATTATCTTGCTGCGTGGCCCTGGGCAAGTCGCTGTTCCTCTTTACCCCTCAGTTGCCACCCTCTTTCCGACCTGAAGACTGGTCTGGGTGCCCCAAGTGACAGCAGCACTGCCCTGGCTATGGAGCCTCTGGGCTAGACAGAGCTGGCACGCTTGGGTGGGCAGGCTTTCAGGGCTTGCAGAGTGGGTGGCTCATTCCCTTGACAATCATCCAGGGCTGGTTACGTTCAAATGCCAAGGAGGCAGAGAAGGGAAGGACACTAGCTCAGTTAGCTCTCGGGAATGAATCTCTGAGTAGAAAAGCCCAGCCTGGCCGGGCGTGATGGCTCAAACCTGTAATCCCAGCACTTTGGAAGGCCGAGATGGGAGGATCGCTTGAGTCCAGGAGTTCAAGACTAGCCCTGGCAACATAGTAAGACCTCATCTCTACAAAAGAATACAAAAATTAGCCAGTTGGTGTGGTGGTGGCATCTCTAGTCCCAGCTACTCAGGAGGCTGAGATGGCAGGATCGCCTGAGCCTGGAAGTGGGCCATATTTGCCCACTGCACTCCAGTGTGGGCGACAGACTGACTCTATCAAAAAAAAAAAAAAAAAAAAAAAAAAAAAACAAAAAAAAACCAGAAAGCGAAAAGAAAGAGAGAGAGAGAAAGAAAGAGAAAGAAAAGCCCAGCCTGATATAACCTCAATTAGCAATTTACTCATTCATTTATACTCCACAAACACTGAGTATCCACTGTGTGCCAGGCGCTAGTGTCAGTGCTAAATGAGACAAACTCCACCTTCTCCACCCTGCCCAGAGCAGGGACTCCCCCTTGGGGCTTTGGCCTCCTTCCTCCCTGAAGACTGCAGTTCCTGACACCTCAGCTGACTTCAGACCTTGGGCTTCCAGGGGCTTCTCCAGGAGCACAGGGCCAGACACCCACTCTTCCCTGCTGCTGCCCCCAAAACACACCCTCCTGGGAGGTTCCGGGGCTCCCTGGTGCCCTGGAGAGCTAAGCTTTCCCAAGGCCTCACCAGGATCCCGGATGCTGCAGGGCAGCCCTGGCCTCCCAGACAGCTCTGGAGTGGTGTTCCCAGTGTCCGGATGCAGCAGGCTGTGATGCTCCCTCCTGTGGCTCGGAGCCCTGAGCATGCAGTGAAGGAGGAGATGGGCAAGCAAGGCTGTTAACATGGCTCAGCTGCCCACCACCTCGCATCCTTACCCTGGCCCCCTCCCTCCGTCCCAAGCCAGCTCAAGGAGGGACCTAGGAGTCTGGCCTTTGGGCTGATAGCAGGAGGAAAACACAGGCTTTGGTCAGTCAGATCTGGCTTGAAATCTTGGGCTGCCACTTATTAGCTGTGTGACCATGAGCAAGTTGCTTTGCCTCTCTGAGCCTGTTTCCTCCTCTGTAAAATGGGGGTGATAGGGCCCAGCTTTCCTTCCCTAAAGTGTCTAGGGGGCTTGGGACTGAGGCTTCCCTTCCTCTGACCAGCTGCCAGTCTTATTTCCCCTGGCAGGAGGGGCTCTGTTCTCATCCTCTGTGGGCTGTAACAAGAATTGGAAATGGAAAATCTATGATTCATAATGACATCTGTGTGTGCCCCAGAAGGCGGCAGTGCTGCCTTAGGGTTGGGCTCTGGAAGACCAAGGCCTCCTGAGCCCTCTGCTGGCCACTCTGGGCTCTCCTCCGCCCATGCACGGTAACAAGAACCTACAGGACCACGGCTGTTGGCATCCAGGAAGCCATGAGAAGGGAGGTGGCCAGCCCAGTACATGCCAAGCACTGGTGCAGGATCCTGCCTCAGGCCAAGGCCCTGTGCCTTGCCCCATCCACCCCTTGTTACCATGGACATCACCTCTACCTCCCCAAAACCTCAGTGGGGCCAGCAGGGAAAGTCACTAGAGCCGGGGCCTCCTGATGTCAGGCCAGACCTTGGCCCCCGTCTGCTCGTGTCTGCCAGGACACCTCTCCAGGGGCCACCTTCTGAAGCTGCCCCTTCTGCCCTCCACCTGTAGCACCTTCCCTGCCCTTCCTCCTCTTCTGCCTTTCCCAGGCATCTTGGACGCTCGGGGGCCTCTTGACTCTCCTGCTGGGGACACAACATCCCAGGGCAGCAAGGATTCCAGGATCCATTCCTGCCTTGCCTTGAAATGCAGCCCATGGCTTTGGAGGAGTACATACCACCCTAGCAGCATGCTCTAAAGCTGCCGAGCCCTTCCTGGGGCACACCCCGCCAGGCTGAGCAAGAGTGAGGGGCTCAGAGGAACATGGCCTGGGCCCCAGGGGCTGCCGGGTGACCCCCGGAACAGGGGCTTACGTGCTGGATCAGTGTCTCCACGATCTTGTAGAGGTCAGGCATGTGGGTCACCATGTCTGTCATGTTGTCCTCAGACGTCCTCACCAGTGTCCGCCCAAAGACCAGGGCCAGGTTCCGGGGTTCCATCTGGGCAGCAGGGAAAGCAGGTCACTGTCAACATCCTGAACTCAGTCCTCCCTCACTCTGGCCCCTAAGGCCTCTGTCCCCAACTACATCCTCACCAGTCCCCAGCTTAGAGGGTGGACACCCCCTTGTATGGGCATGGAGATGCTTGATGAGTAGAGCACAGGCCAGATTTCAGCCCCTTTCATCCCCAGGCCCAGCAGCCATGAGCAGTGCCCAACCTGCACACCTATACAGGGCAGCCCTGAGTGGTCAGTGCCAGCAGTGGGAGACCCTGCAGTAGGAAACATGTTGGAGGTCCCAGGGGTTATTTTAGGCCTGGGAAAAAACCCGATCACTTCCAGGTGCCTGTAATCCCAGCTACTCGGGAGGCTGAGGCAGGAGAATTGCTTGAACCCGGGAGGTGAAGGTTGCAGTGAGCTGAGATCGTGCCAAGGCACTGCAGACTGAGTGGCAGAGTGAGACTTCGTCTCAAAAAAACAAACAAACAAAAAACACAAAAAATCCTATCACTCCCTTCATTTTCCCCACTGCAGAACCAGAAGGCATAAGGGGTTTGATGAGGAAAATGCAATGCGAGGGACTTGAGCTAAGTCGGAGGATGGCAATGCATCCGATACGGGGAGCCGGGGTTCCCTGCCTCTGGAAAGCCCTCAGAAACTCAGGAGATGGCTCTCTGGGGGAAAGCACTGACCAGCATGTAGGAGCGGGATGGGGACGGAGCAGTCATATAGGAGGGCGTGCCTAGAGGGGCCTGAGTTATTGGACCTGCAGGAGCTCAGTGCGTGCTGAGGGCCCCCACACAGTAAGTCCGTGCTTGCCTCCCCCAGACTCCATGCGGGACTCCTACCCACCTTGTTTTTCTCAGAGTGGTCAGCGATGGTCTTGAGATGGCCCACAAGGAATTTGAGCGTTTCATAATAGTGTCCTGGGAGATCCCGGATCTGAGCAGGAGAGAGGAGGGGCATGGGGACAGGCTGTAAGGGCCTGCCGCTGTCCCCCGTCACCACCATGCCCCAAAGATCTCCCACTACCATGCCTCAGGGAGTCTGGAACCTATCCTCTAACCCCCCGTTCTCTTGTGTGGATGGGGAAACTGATGCCCTGAGTGGAGCAGGGCAAGGCCACAGGGGTCGTGGGTAACACCGGACTCCCTGCCTCCTGGGACAGAGGTGCTCAGGCAGCTGCCCCACCTCGTGCCTGGCAGCACCTCTCTCTCCTTACCAGCTTCCGCAGCGTCCTCATCCGCTCCCGCGCGTCCTCAATGCAGTTGGCCTCGATGAAGTCATTGTATTTGTCTAGAACACAGCAGAGACTCTTTAGAGAGGTAGGGGCAGCACCTTACCCTGTTCTCCAGGCCGAGGGCCCTGCTGGGAGGGCTGTGTTTTGAACTCCTCCAGTTCGGGGGCTCCAGCATGGGCGACAGCCTCTTGTGTATGTGAACACACCCACCACAGCTGCACTTACCACAGCTGCACTCACCACAGCTGCACTCACCACAGCTACACTCGGGTGTGCACCTGACCTGGGGTAGCCCAGCTGTGTTCATTTGGGAGGCAATACGACCTGAGGTGCATGCTGATCGCAGAAAAGGGGTCCATGCCCCCGTCTCCAGGACATGGACACCAAGGTTCAGCAGGTCAGAAGAGAAGGGCACCTGGAGAGGAGGAGGGGCTTCAGACAGCCTCGACCAAGGATTCCCCCAACTCCCTTCAGAACAATTCCATGGGGACCTTTAAAGAATGGAACATGATAAGCCTATTCTGAAATTCATCTGGATGAGCTAATGCACAAAGACAGCCAGGAATAGTTTTTAAAGAAAGAGTAACGCGGGAGGATCTGCCCTACCAGGGACTGAAACATCCTGAATGGATGGCACAGCTGAAGCCGGCTGGCACGGCAGAAAAGGCAGAGCAATGTTAAGGCTAGAAAGGGGGGAAGTGGGCCATGTGGATATTTATTATATGATAAAGGCAGCACTTCCAATCGGGGGGAGGGATGGGGGCCTCAACAGATGTCCCCGGGACAAATGGCTACCATCAGGGGCGGGGGGGATCATTTCTAGCTCACAATACACAAATGCAATCACACGGCAGAGCCAATTGTGAAAATTATAAAAGCTCTGGGGAAAAAATAAGAAAATATTTTTATAATCCTAAGGCCATCCTAAACATGAGATGCAGAATCCATGAAGAAAAGATGAACAGCTTTGGTCACATTTTAAACAATTGTTTTCGGCCAGGCACGGTGGCTCACGTCTGTCATCCCAGCACGTTGGAAGGCTGAGGCACATCAGCTGATCAATTGAGGTCAGGAGTTCAAGACCAGCCTGGCCAATGTGGCAAAACCTCATCTTTACTAAAAATATAAAAATTAACTGGGCATGGTGGCAGGTGCCTGTAATCCCAGCTACTTGGGAGTCTGAGACAGGAGAATGGCTTGAACCCAAGAGGCCGAGGTTGCAATGAGCTGAGATCGTACCACTGCACTCCAGCTTGGGTGACAGAGTGAGACTCAGTCTCAAAAAAATAAATAAAATTAAATAAAAATAAAATTAAAAATTGTTAGGCAGGGCGCGGTGGCTCACGCCTGTAATCCCAGCACTTTGGGAGGCCAAGGAGGGTGGATCATCTGAGGTCAGGAATTTGAGACCAGCCTGGCCAACATGGTGAAACCCCGTCTCTACCAAAAATACAAAAATTAGCTGGGCATGATGGTGGGCACCTGTAATCCCAGCTGTTCGGGAGACTGAGGCAGAAGAATCGCTTGAACCCAGGAGGCAGAAGTTGCAGTGAGCCGAGATCGCACCATTGCACTCCAGCCTGGGCGACAAGAGTGAAACTCTGTCTCAAAAAACAAAACAAAACAACAACAAACAAAAATTTTGTTTTCAGTTTCTATACTGCAAAGTGAAAAGGCAAATGGCAGGCCAAAGCAAATATTTGCAAAAACTAACAAAGGGTTAATATGTGTAAAACACAAAGAGCTTTTCTCCCACAAATCAACATAAGAAAAAGATAAACAACCCAACAGAAAAATGGGCACATGGTCTGATCAAGTAATTACAGAGAAAATAGAAACAGCCAGTATGCTAATGAAAAAAGATTTAATCTCCCTAGTAATTAGGGCAATGAAAATAAAAACAATAATGAGATACCATTTCTCTTATCTGATTAGCAAAAGTTTAAAATATTAATAATATTTAATGCTGTCTGGGTGAGGTGGCTCAAGCCTAAAATCCCAGCACTTTGAAAGGCCGAGGAGTGATGATCACTTTAGACCAGGAGTTGAAGACCAGCCTGAGCAACGTAGTGAGACCCTGCCTCTACCAGAAAAAAAATTTTTTTTAATTAGATGGGTATGGTGGCACAAACCTGTAGTCCCAGCTACTCAGGAGGCTGAGATGGGAGGATCACTTGAGCCCAGGAGGTTGAGGCTGCAGTGAGCCATGATTGTACCACTGCATTCCAGTCTGGGCAACAGAGCAAGATCCTGTGTCAAATAATAGTATTTTTATTTTTATTTTATTGTATTATTTATTTATTTATTTATTTATTTATTTTGAGATGGAGTCTTGCTCTGTCACCCAGGCTGAAGTGCAGTGGTGCGATCTCGGCTCACTGCAACCTCTGCCTCCTGGGATCAAGCAATTCTCCTGTCTCAGCCTCCCTAGCAGCTGGGACTACAGGCACCTGCCACCACACCCAGCTACTTTTTGTATTTTTAGTAGAGATGGGGTTTCACCACAATCAGGCTGGTCTTGAACTCCTGACCTCAGGTGATCCACCCGCCTCAGCCTTCCAAAGTGCTGGGATCACAGGCATAAGCCACCATGCCTGGCCTTCAAATAACAATAATAGTTGTAATATCCAATGCTGTTGGGGATGTGGAGAGACAGACTCCTACATTGTTAGTGGGAGTCTAAATCAGGGCCTCTTTCTCAGAGTGCAATTGACACTGGTCTCAGAAAGGTTCACCAGGACTTTGACCCGGCAATTCTACATCTAAGAATCCCCTTAGAGAGCACAGATCCAGGCGTGCAAGGACTTATTCAAGGAAAGCCATTGCAACAGGTTGTGTGATAGCAAACATTTGAAGACAAGCTAAATATCCATCAATAGAGGAGTACTTAAAGAAATTATAGTCTATTCAAACCATGAAATTCTATGTGGTTGATTTAAAAGAAGAATGAGGTAGAGCTCTCTGCACTGACACGAATGAATCTCAGAATTACAACTCTGCTTTTGTTAAAGACAACTCAACCAGCGGTGTGCTGGAGTCCGCTCACACCAGCTCCTGAGAGCAACTGTGTGCCTCTCTTCCCAATTCCATGTTGGTGACATCATGTTGGTGGCTTGAAATAAACCATGGTAGGAGTATTTACACCATGGAAGCTGGAAAACGCTAGGCATTAGGGCTTTTTTCTCCCAGAAACAGATGTTAAACATCTGCCAGCACACCCCTGAACCCACCCAACTCCAAACCCCACGCAGGCACGTGTGTATCTCTGCCATGCATATAAGAGGGCCAGGAGAGAAACACAACAGATTGTGAATAAGCAGTTCAGCAAACAGCCAAAGCGCATCGGAGCCCGACGCCTGGGGTGGAATCCTGGCTCTGCCATTTACAACCTGTGTGACCTTGGGCAAGGCATTAAACCTCTCTGAGCCTTGGTTTCCTCATCTGTAGAGGGAAGACAATAGCACCTTCCTCATGGAGTTGCTGTAGGGAGTTGTGCTTGGCACACACTAATGCTCAGAAAGTGTTAGCCACAACCTCCCGTGAAAGGGAGGAGGAGATTCACAGGGTCCTGTGCTGTTTTTATTCACATCTGCACAATCTATGTTTTTTTTTAATAAGATTTTGTGTTAAAAAAAAAAAAGCCAGCGTGGTGGCTCATGCCTGTAATCCCAGCATTTTGTGGGGCTGGGGCAGGCAGGAGGATTGCTTGAGCCCAAGAGTGCAACACCAGTCTGAGCAACATAGTGAGAAACTCCCCCCATCTCTGAAAAAAACTTTTAAATTAGCTGGGTGTGGTGGTGTTCACCTGCTGTCTCAGCTACTCAGGAGGCTGAGGTGGGAGGATCGCTTGAGCCCAGTAGCTTGAGGCTGCAATGAGCTGTGATTGCGCCACTGCACTCCAGTCTGGGCGACAGAGCAAGACTGTCTCCAAAAAAAAAAAAAAAAAAAAAAAAAAGAGTAAAACCAAATGCAAAAGTAGTGGTCAGGGGTGCGGCACAGACTGGTGTCCCCTCCCCACCCCCACTTCCACCTCCTACTCACCATCAGTGAAAAGAGGCTCGGGCAGCTTTTGGAAGAAGGACTTGAGCAGGCTGTTGATCACATTGAGGTCTTGCCAGCGCTGGGGGAGGAGTCAGATGTCAGGCCACAGGCAGGCCTAGCCCAATGCCCATGCCTCCATGATCATTCACCCCAGAGCCCAATCAAGCCCACCAGGCCCTCCCTGGGACCCACTTAGACTAAGCTCTCTACTCATCAGGATGGTGGCAGCAGAACTGAGTCCCCAGAGAGGTCCTGTGCCCACACTCACACTTGGCCCCAGCCCCTCCCTGCTCCTGCCAGCGCGGGGGCTCCAACACCTCCCCATTCACAGAAAGTCCCAGGCACTGTGGGGACACAGTGAGTGGCAGCTGCTGCCTCCACTGGGCACAGTTTAAGCATCCGTGACACCGCAGTCATTCATGCCAGCTCCTTCCTGTCTCAGGTCCTCTGCATGTGCTGGTTCCCTCAACCAGAACTTTCCTCCCCGCCTCCACACAACTGGCTCCTCATCCCCGCCTAAAAGTCGCTCTTCAAAGAGGCCTTCTCTGACCCTCATAGCTAAAGCAGCCACCTTCACCACTGCCCTGTCACCTGCACCCCAGCCCTGACTTTGTTTCCTTCATGGCGCTTAACCCAATTTGTCATTATTTTCTGCTTTTGTTTCTATGTTCATGCCTGTCTCCCTGCAGGACTGTAAGCTCCAGGAGGAGCCAGGATCCCGTCTGTCTCATTTCCCACTGTGCTCCTATCACCTAGCTAGGACAGTTAACCTGATACTTACATGGCCCTAAATCAGTGGTTCTAACAGAAGGAGGCAATTTTGTCCCCCAAACTCCCACTCCACCCCCAGAGGACATTTGACAATGTCTGGAGCCATTTTGATTTTCCCAACTGGGAGGTGACACTTGCATCTAGTGGATCGAGGCCAGGGATGATTCCAAATTTCCTCCAGCGCACAGGGCAACCCCACACAACAAATAATTGTTCTTCCCAAAATGTCCACTGAGGTTGAGAAACCCTACTCTAAAATAAATGGTTATTGAGTACAAGAACTAACGGCCGGGTCGTTGTCCCTTCTGTCCTCCAGGGGGCACCATGCCCCCAGCTTCACCCACCTCATCCTGCTGGTTGATGTCACCAGGCCCACGATTGAGCTGCTCCTGTAGGCTGGACACCACTGCATTATTGCCAGGCACTCGGTAAAAGCCTGTGGACTCCAGCCCTCGTGCCTCCACAATGTGACAGCATGCAGCCACGATTAAGGGGACATGCTGGGGACACAGGGGAGGGGTGTTAGGGGGGACAGGGGCCAGAGGAGCTGGGGAGGCCAAGAAGGGGACAATGCAAGGCCCAGAGCTGCTGCCAGGAACCCTTGGGGGGAACAAAAGGCCCTTGCTGCCTCCAGTCTGAGAGCTACAAATGACACCAAAGCCTCGCCATGGTCTGAGAAGGAGCCGGGCTCAGCCTCAGCCCTGCTGCTCCCTCCCTGGGAGGCCCAGGGCAGGCCTCCCCTCTCTGGGCTGTTTTCCCAGCTGTGTTTGTACAATGAGGTGGAGAGCTTGTTCCATGTCCCTTGCTGCTCTGACCCTCTGTGCCTTGGTCTCCCCCTGCCGGGCCTGCTCTGGCGTGTGGCAGAGACCCACCTGGTTCTCCGTGGCTGGCTGGCAGTCCTCCAGCCTGACCCCAAATGCCCTTGGGACAGCCTTCTTATTTTTCTTGATGATGTTGATGCCCCAGGGGGTTTTGGGGGCTGCAGCACTGTCATCTGAAGTGGGGGAGACAGAGCCAGAGTGAGCTGGAGTATCCAGGAGGGTCGCACACATTCACTGCCACATTCACACATTTGGATGTATGGGGATTCCATCAGAGAAGAAACCAGATGCCCAGGGCTGATGGGACATTGTATGGCAAGAGAGAAGGCCTGAAGGGGAGGATGCTTACCCCAAAGGAGAGGCCCAGAGCAATGCAAGGACTTCTGTGTGGCTCGTGGGCCAAAACTACAAGGCGGAAGCCATAGAACTTTGTTTCTTTAGAGACAGGGTCTCTGTCGCTCAGGCTGTAGTGCAGTGGTATGATCATAGCTCAATGCAGCCTCAAATTCCTGGGCTCAAGCAATCTTCCCTCCCCAGCCTCCCGAGTGGCTGGGACTATAAGCTCATACCACCACACCTGGCTAATTAAAAAAAATTTTTTTGCCAGGCACAGTGGCTTATGCTTGTAATCCCAGCACTTTGGGAAGCTGAGGCTGGCAGGACCACATGAGGCCAGGAGTTCGAGACCAGCTGGCCAACATGGCAAAACCCTGTCTCTACTAAACATACAAAAATTAGCTGGGCGTGGGCCGGGTGCAGTGGCTTACGCCTGTAATCCCAGCACTATGGGAGGCCGAGGCGGGCGGATCACAAGGTCAGGAGATCGAGACCATCCTGGCTAACACGGTGAAACCCCGTCTCTGCTAAAAATACAAAAAAATTAGCCAGATGTGGTGTCGGGCACCTGTAGTCCCAGCTACTCAGGAGGCTGAGGCAGGAGAACGGTGCGAACCCAGGAGGCGGAGCTTTCAGTGAGCCGAGATCACACCACTGCACTCCAGCCTGGGCAACAGAGCAAGACTCCGTCTCAAAAAAAAAAAAAAAAAATTAGCCGGGCGGGGTGGCGCATGCCTGTAATCCCAGTTACTAAGGGGGCTGAGGCACAAGAATCGCTTTAACCCAAGAGGTGGAGGTTGCGATGAGTTGAGATCATGCCATTGCACTCCAGCCTGAGTGACAGAACAAGACTCTGTCTCTAAATAAATAAATAATATATAAAAAAATATTTTGTAGGGATAGGACTTTGCTATGTTACCCAGGCTGGTCTCAAACTCCTGGCCTCAAGCAATCCTCCAGCCTCAGCCTCCCAAAATGATGCTGGGATTATAGGTGTCAGCCACCATGCCTGCTGGCCCAAGGGAACAACTTTCTTTTATTTATTTATTTATTTTATTTTTTTTGAGACAGGGTCTCGCTCTGTCACCCAGGCTGAAGTGCAGTGGTGTGATCTCGGCTCACTGCAACCTCCACCTCCCAGGCTCAAGTGATTCTCGTGTCTCAACCTCCCAAGTAGTTGGGATTACAGGCGCACACCACCACGCCCGGGTACTTTTATTGTATTTTTTTTTTGAGACGGAGTCTTGCTCCGTCACCCAGGCTAGAGTGCAGTGGCGCAATCTTGGCTCAATGCAAGCTCTGCCTCCCAGGTTCATGCCATTCTCCTGCCTCAGCCTCCTGAGTAGCTGGGACTACAGGTGCCTGCCACCATGCCCAGCTAATTTTTTGTGTTTTTTAGTAGAGATGGGGTTTCACCGTGTTAGCCAGGATGGTCTCGATCTCCTGACCTTGTGATCCACCCGCCTCGGCCTCCCAAAGTGCTGGGATTACAGGCGTGAGCCACCGTGCCCGGCCTTTTGTATTTTTAGTAGAGTTGGGGTTTCGCCATGTTGGTCAGGCTGGTCTTGAACTCCTGACCTCAGGTGATCTGACTGTCTTGGCCTCCCAAAGTGCTGGGATTACAGGTGTGAGCCACCTTGCCCAGCCAGGTAAGAACTTTCTAATAGCCAAAGGTGAGGGAAATGGGAAAGGTTGCTCTTGGAAAGGGTGGGCCTCTCATCCCTGCAGAGACACCAGCAAAGATTAGAGGACCACCCAGCAGGGATGTCAGGGAGGGGAATCAGGCTCCAGGCCCTTCCACCCCAAGACCCTGAGAGCCCCCAGACCCTCACAGGCATGCACACGCAGACAGACATACCGGTAACCCTGGCACACAGTCAGGCACACACGAGCAGACACAGCCCAACACACACACACATGCCCTCCCCTCTCCATGCCCTCTTCCCCAACACACCACCCTGTCTCAGTGGCCACCTTCCTACCCTTGCTCCCTGCGGGCAGGTCCTGAGTCCTGAGGCCACGTGCCGCACTCTGCTTGAGGAACTCAGACTTGAGGCCCCCCAGGCCGCGAGAGCCTTTGGGGGAGGAATCAGCTTTGGGCCCAGAGCTATGGCTGTGTAGGAAAAAGGGGGAGAGGAGAGGTCTTCACTTGGGGTGGCCAAGCAGGCCACCCACCCTGGCCTCCTGCCCCTCGGGACATCCCCTCCACCCTGAGGCAATGCCTCCATGCCAAACTGCAGCCTGGAGACCCTGGATACCCTGGATACCCCTTTCCCCAGCAGAGGGCAGCCCTGGAGGTGGTCCAGGAAGACATCCTCTGCCTTCAGCCCCTTACCACCCCCACAGAGGAGACTGCTCCATGAGGGCTAGGCCTCACCTCACTTTGCGATAATCATTAAGCTTCTTGCTGATCAGAGCTTGGTTGGCACAGCCGGGGTCCTGAAGCAGGAGAGGAGAGAGCGGATCATGTCAGTGCCCACAGCCAGCCCACCCCTGGGTTCATCCCTAGCCCTGCTTCCCCTCTTGTCCACCTGCCAGGTGGACAGCCCAGACCCTGGAGTGAGAAAGACCAGGCCTGGACTCCCCAGCACCCTCTCACCAGCTGAGGCCTTGGGGAAGCCTCTTAGGCTCTCTGAGCCTCAGTCTCCTCGGTAATAAACATGGGGGGCTAAAAGGGAAGGCTCGGGGCTGGGTGCAGAATCATGCAGCACTCGCCACTTTCCTGGCAGATGCTGAGCAGGCATGGAGGAGGTGCCCCAGGAGGGACTGCTACTGCCATAGTGATGTGACTTGGAACCCCCCTGACTAAGCCTTGTTGGAGACAGCCAAGCCAGGCCCCCAGAGGAGGAGGCCCAAATTCCAGGTGCCTTCCTCCCTGCAGTGGGGAAAGCTGTTCCCGGGAGAGCAGAGCCTGGTCAGCGAGAGGATGTGTCCTCAGCAAGAGGCCATGCACTAGCGCCCCCTCCCACGGCCAGAGCAGGCCCAGGCCCACTGCCCTCTTGGCAGAGACCCCAGGCCCGGGATGCCCACATGACTTTGTGTGGGTGTCTCAAGGCACTTCTGTGCAGGCTCCTGGCCAAAGAAGTAAACAGGGAGGAATCCCTACCTAGGCCCCTGGAGTGTAGCTACGGCTGACCGCAATGGGCGCCATTAAAAAAAATTCTTCGGCTGGGCGCAGTGGCTCACACCTGTAATCCCAGCACTTTGGGAGGCTGAGGTGGGAGGATCATGAGGTCAGGAGATCAAGACCATCCTGGCTAACACAGTGAAACCCCGTCTCTATTAAAAAAAAATTAGCCAGGCATGGTGGCATGTGCCTATAGTCTCAGCTACTCAGGAGGCTAAGGCAGGAGAATCACTTGAACCTGGGAGGCGGAGGTTGCAGTGAGCTGAGATCGCGCCACTGCACTCCAGCCTGGGCAGCAGAGCGAGACTCTGTCTCAAAAAAAAAAAAAAATTCTCCCAAAGTCCCTGCCGAGGCCCTTGGCTCCAACCCTGCCCACCTGTGGCCAAAGGCCAAGCCTCTCAGCCTCCTCACAAGGTCAATGTGTTCATCCTCCTGCAGTCAGGCCAGCCCAGTGCAGTTCTGGTGTGGGGACACTCATGCCCTAACACACTCCATAGGAGGCCCCTGCCTTCCTCGCCTGCTGAGAAAAGCTGAGACTGGCCTGGAGCTGACCACTCCACATCAGAGCCTGCTCATGGCGATCCTAACACAGTCACAATAATCCCTGTCATCATTAGGGTCAGGATGGTGACTGCTGGTCCCCGCACCCGAGGACGCCAGGTCCTCCATGAGCCCTGCCCTTGCACCCTCGTCACCCCGAAACCTAGGGGGACACAATCACGAGGTGCACTCCTGTCAGCCCCCCTTTCTAGCAGAGGGAAGTGAGGCTCAGAGCGGACATCCCAGGTCCACAGCCGGTGAGAGGCCACCCCGCCCGCCCTCTGTGGCCGCCGGGCTGGCCGGGCCCTCACCTCGCCCTCGGCCCTGCTGTTCTCCCGGATCGCTCTGATCCCCCCAGCATGTCATCCCGGTCCTCAGCCTGAAAGAGATATTCACAGAAGTCAGCGGTGGTCAGCCGGAACACGTGCCTCCTCTTGGTCTCGCTGTAGATGTCCACGAGGCAGGAGCCGACGCAGACGGGCGCCGCCTTGTCCTCACCTGCGCCGGCCCCCACAGCCCCCGCCGCCGCCGGCCCGGGCTACCGCCGCTCCTTGCTCAGCG
Source organism: Homo sapiens (assembly GCF_000001405.40). Classification (NCBI taxonomy): domain Eukaryota; kingdom Metazoa; phylum Chordata; class Mammalia; order Primates; family Hominidae; genus Homo; species Homo sapiens. Next base: position 1,189,501 of record NT_187383.1, on the reverse strand, counting down.
AGAGCGAGCGCGCCAGCAGCGCGGCGTACACCCGCTTCCACTGGCGCAGGCCGCTGCCCGCTTTCTGCAGGGAGACACGGGGTTGGGGGAAACAGGAGTGGTGAGAGGTCAGTTCTGCCCACTGCTCTCACAGTAGCAGACAGAGGACAGCCGGGGGATGGACCCCACGCTGCCTACCAGGAGCCCCCTGCTCCACCCGGCTAGACCTGGGCAGCCTCCTGCCCACAGCCCACCAATGCTTTCTCAGTCCCTCGCCTGCCTAGACACCCCTACCCATCACCCTAAAGCCCGCCAGCAGACCCCAACCCTCTCCCCCTCTAAACACCAACATCAACACTCACCGAGCGGTGGCAATGCTCAGACACCCAGCATGGCCCTCCGTACATGAAATCCTCGGGAAGCCATTCCCAGCCCACGCCCCTCCCCAGGCTGCCCCTCACCCCAGCAAACCTGCTCAGAAGCTGTCCGCACTCTTAGAGGGTCGTTCTCCCCACTTTCCTGCCGCCCACCCAAGACTCCACTTGCCCAGAAGCTCCTCTCAGGGACACCCAGAACCGCCATGTGGCCAAAGCCAATGGCTGCTTCTCCCCAACTTACTTGCCTTAACCCCTTGGCGGCATCTGACACAGCCAGCCCCTCCTTCCCTCTCCAGACCCCATCTCGGCACCTGAGACCCCACGTTCCCGGCTTTCTTCCTAATGCCACTGGCTCCTTCCTAGTCTTCTCTACTTCCCCTCCCCCACCCTCTACACCTGTAGTTAAACAGCCAGGAGACTCGTCACCACGGGACATTTGTGTGGAGGGAGCTGGAGGGTGTGCTATGGCATCTGAGGGATGCGGCTAAACATTGCGCAATGCACAGGACAGCCTCCCCCAACAAGGAATTATCTGGCTCAAAATGTCAGCAGAGCAGAGGGTAACAGACCCCGCCCTAAAGGAGGCGGAGCTCCAGAACTTCGCCCTGACTCTCCCCTCCTCTCCTCTCCCTGCACACCTCCCTCAAGGATGTCACCTGTGCCATGCCTTTAAACCAGGTCCACCTGCTGATGGCCATTCCCGAGCCCAGCATCTCCCCCAGCCACAGCCCGGCACCCCCACCCTGCTCAGTGTCTTCATTTGCAGTTCCCATGGGCACTTTGCACAATACTTGCCAGGCCATGTGATTTCTTACCATCAAACCTCTTCTCCACTCTCTACCCCCATCTTTTCCAGCTCAGTCAATCCATCCAGTTGTCCAGAAACCTGGGAGCTGCCCTTGACTCCTCCCTTTTCCTCGCCCTTGACATCCCATCCATCAGGAAGTCACAACTGTTCTGCCTCCAAAACATCCCCTGTCTCTGTCTTTCCTGCCAGAGGAAAGACATCTTTCCATGCCATCAACGCCTCTTGCTTGGAGGATGCACAGACCTTCCCAGTCTCTACTCTTGCTCCTGCATCCATTCTCCAGCAGCAGCTGCAGCGATCATGTTAGAATGAAAAGGAGATCACATCTCTCCCATGCTCAGCATCCTCTCAAGAGATCCCATCGCCCTTAGAATCAAATCTAAAGTCTCCTGTGGTCTGTACCTGCCTTTCTCCAAATTCATCTTCACACCTTTCTCACTATGTCAAGCCAGGGGGCCCTTGCATGTGAGCGAGCCAAGCCTTTCTTTTCTCAGGGCCTCTCCGCTTGCTGTTCCTTCTGCCTAAGCCCCCCTCCCTCACTTCTATATGTGGCTGCTTCCTTCTTCCCCTTCAGATCTGAACTCCAGCATCACCAATGTCAACTCCTCAGCGAGGCTTTCTCTGGCCATATTTTTCCCTCAATGCAGCTCCCGCTTCTGATCAGCTTGATCCTTTCCAAGAACTTACTGCAGCCTCAGGCTGTCCTGGGGACAGGGAGCTTGTCCGTCCTCTCATTTCCATATCCCAGGGCCTACAGCAGCATGCAAGCGCTCATCAATATTTGCTGAATAAATGAATTAATGATCCTTGGAGCACCCTGAGGGCAGGAGCTCCATCTCCCATCAGACCAAGAGCTCCTCTCTGCTGGCTGGTGGCTCCACATCCAGCACAGGCCTCAGCTCTCAGAACAAACCAGACAAAGAGGTCCCGTGGCTGGCAGATGGGCACAGCCCACATCTGGCCTCCCATCATGTGGATCCTGAGCTGTGAGCCCTGCTCATCACAGAACTGCTGGAGGGGGACAGGGACATTCAGAGTAGGAGACAGCAGAGCCCTCCAGGGAGAATTTTAATGTGACAGTGAGGTGGTGACAAGGGCACCTCTCTGAGGCTAAACCAGCGGCATGACCTAGGACAAGTCAACCGCACTCCCAGGCCTCAGTGTCTCCGGCTGGTAAATGAGTGAGGGAGTTGGTCACCAAGGCTGCATGCAGCTCCCATGCTGGGGCTGAGGCTGAGGGGACAAGTCACTGTCCCTTTCCCTCCTCTGCCTGACAGTCCGTGTCTCTGAAAGAGGCTGGGGCTGGGAGGGAGCACAGAGAGGGTGCCCACGGCCTGGGTGGACCAAGGGCCTGAGGCTGACTTGAAGACTCTCCTCTAACGTCCAGGCCACAGCACCAAAGGAACAAGTGACATCGGGTTTTGGCCAGCAAGGGAGTGGAGGCCTGGTCCTCCAGAACTGGCCAGTGAGCAGGAAGGGGACAGCTCCTGTCCCTGAACTGGGCTCAGGGCCCCAAGGGGCTGAGGGTCAGGCTCCCCAGCAGGGGGAGCCAGCCACCCTCACAAGGACCCTTCATGTGGCTCACACGTTAGACTGGAAGGGCTGGCCCACTTGCGGCTCTCCTCGCACAGTGCACGTGGCTGGTCCCTCCTTGCCTCATGGCTCCCACCCCACGGGTCGCTGCCAACTTGCTGGCTCTTTTTGGTCTCTGTTGGCCTCCCCGGCCCCCCCCACTTCTCTCAAGGCTCAGCCAGGTCTCTTGCCTTCTTCCTTCAAGCCCCTGCACAGAGGCATATGTAACTCGTGGGTGCTGACAGACAAAGGCCGTCCCCAGGTGGGCCTCCCTCTAGTAATACGCCCTCAGAGCCTCTGTCCCCAGGACATCTCCACTGGGGTCTGTCCCAGGGCCCTCAGACTCACATAGCCCAAGTGGAGCCACTTGGCTTCCTCTCCCCAAACCTGCTCCTCCAGTGTGCCATGGCCCAGGGAGGGTCCCACCACCCACCACCCACCACCCTCCCTCAGCCCAAGCCAGGAATCCAGGAACCTTATCGCCTCCTCCTCCTTCCATACCTCCCAGCAGCTGGCAAGCCCTGGCCGTCCTTCCCATGGAATCTCTCTCTAAAGTGTCCGCTCCACCCAGCCCCACACCACTGCCTTGGGTCGGGGCCCCCACCCTCACTCACCTGGACAAGAGCAATGGGATTGGCTCCTCCTGTCACAGACATAACCCCAGTCTCCTGCCAGCCCCAGCCCACATTTAAAACCCTGGACAGAGCCGGGCACGGTGGCTCACGCCTGTAATCCAAGCGCTTTGGGAGGCCAAGGCAGGCAGATCACTTGAGGTCAGGAGTTCGAGACCAGCCTGGCCAACATAGTGAAACCCAGTCTCTACTAAAACTACAAAAATTAGCTGGGTGTGGTAGCAGGCGCCTGTAGTCCTAGCTACCCAGGAGGCTGAGGCTCGAGAATTGCTTGAACCCAGGGGGCGGAGGTTGCAGTGAGCTGAGATCATACCACTGCACTCCAGCCTGGGCAACAGAGTGAAACTCCATCTCAAAAATAGATAAAATAAAATAAAATAAAATAAAATAAAATAAAATAAAATAAAATAAAATAAAATAATAAAACCCTGGACAGGCTCTTTCTGGGTATGAAGGCCCCACACTCTGGGCAGGCACCCAATTACCCAGCTCATCTTCCACCTCTCGCCCTGGCTCCCAGCACACCTCTCCCCACCTTTCCCCAGGACCCTCTAAGGAGACATCCTCCCTGTCAGGCCCCTCCACTGTCTCCCAGTTTTGTGGCTTCTCATCCTTTCGTGTCTCAGCCTCTGGATACCTCCCTACCCACGCCCACCTGCCCCTGCACCCGGGCATCACGGCAGTCTGTGCACTTGGAACCATGATGCCACATGCGTTCTCTCTGCTCAACAGGAGCAACAGGAGCCCCAGGAGGGCAGGGCTGCCCTGGCTCCCTCACCACTAACTCCCCAGAACCTCCACAGAGGCTCCCGAGCAGGGAGGCCTTAGTCATTCTCCACGGAGGCGCATCAGTCCCGCCTCGACTTCACCCTCACTTAATCCACAGCAGCCCTTGGGGTAGGATAACATTGTTCCCATCGTACAGATCAGAAAGTGAGGCTCGGGGAAGGTAAGTGGGGTGCCCAAAGCCATGTGCTTGATATGTGGCTGGATAGGAACTCGAAGTCTGTCTGCTTCAAAGCTTATGTTCTTTCCAGGGACCCTCAAGACCCCAGAAGGCAGGGCAAAAAATTCAAATAGCAGTAAGTGGGCTGGGCACAGTGGCTCACGCCTGTAATCCCAGCACTTTGGGAGGCCAAGGCAGACAGATCATTTGAGGTCAGGAGTTCGAGACCAGCCTGACCAACATGGTGAAACTCCGTCTCTACTAAAAAAATACAAAAAAAAAATTTAATTGGGTTTGGTGGTGAGTGCCTGTAGTCCCATCTACCCAGGAGGCTGAGGCTGGAGAATTGCTTGAACCCAGGAGGTAGAGGTTGTAGTGAGCTGAGATTGCGCCACTGCCCTCCAGCCTGGGCAACAGAGTGAGACTCCATCTCAAAAAAAGAAAACAAATAGCAGTAAGCAGAAGTACAGCAGTTTCAAGTGCTGGGCACTGGGTAAACCCTTTACTTAGATCATCTCATTTAATCCTTAGCAATAGGCTTATGAGCTAGGGATTACTGTTAGCTCCATTTACAGACGAGGACACTGAGTCACGGCCAGGTGAGTCACCCAGCTCTCAGAGCAATGGGTGATGTAGTCAAGAGTCAAACCCGGGTTCATCCTAATTGCCGGGAGGGAAGGCAGTGGTCTCTCCTCCCACTTCTCCAGCCCACAGCACAGCCTGGGGCCAGGATTTGCACCCCATGGATCCAGGGGCTCTGCCCTTCTCCTCTCAGAGTCCTGCTGGTTCCCTCCCAGGCCCTCCCCAAGTACTACCCGAAGCCCCCTTTGCCTCTCACCTGGATCTCCATGGTGGCTCTAACTGGTCTTCTTGCCTCCAGCGTGGCCCCTCCCTAACTCACTCCCAGGGAGCCAAATGAATATTTTAAAGCTGTAACTCCCTTGGCAAGAGCCCCCGAGAGCCTTTGGTTGCCCTTAGGATGAACACTAAGCCCTTTGCTGGCTTGCCTGCATCTTCTTGGGCCTTAACTCTCCTACGGAAATCACCCCGGCCTTGCTCCTTGTTTTCCATGAGCCCCAGCGGCCATCTTCAGGATGGCCTGTCAAGCCAGGGCCACTGTGGGATGGTTTTGCCAGAATTCCAAGCACGACTCGATCAGATCCATCCCACAGCAAAATCCACCTCTCTTGTTAACTTCTTTTACATAAGTTCTTTAAATCCCCCTGCCAGGAAGTTCTTCCTAGCATCTATCCTCCATCCTTCATGCAACAACCTACACTGGTTCTCTCTGGCTCCAGAGGCTGTCAGGGTAGGCCTAGGAGAGGCTGGAGGGTTCTGCTGGAGCCAGCTTCCACCTCATTCCTCCACCCATCTTACCTTCCCCTTCTTGGTGAGAATCTGCTTATAATACAACCAGCCTTCTCTCCTGATATTGCTGAAGGTCGCATCTGAGAGGTCAGAGGTTGAGTGTCGCTTAGAAGGAGCGTCAGCATCTTCAGAGGTGCCCCAGCTATCCAAGGACTGCAGGGAGACAACAGAGGACAATTTAGGGTGGCTCCCACAATGCCAGCATCTCAGGAACCCCATGGACCACTTGTGGCTGCACAGTCCTGATATATATCTGTGCTACACCCCGATGTGCCATGCGACCTCATGGGCATTGCTTGTCCTCTCTGGACCACTTGTGTTGAGGTCATGAGACCTACATAAAGGAGAAGCCAGAAAGGAGGAAAGGCTATGACCTGTCAGCAGACCACACGCCTCACCACGCTAGAGGAGCCAATTCGGAGCCTCCCGTAACTATATAGACTTAGAAGAATTAAGAAAATGGAGGAAGTGATCGTGTCAACGAGGAGTTAAATAAACAGGGGAAGTGGGAACATCAACAAAGGCTGAGGGAGTGGAGCAGGTAGTCATGTCCACGAGGCGTTAAACAGAGGAAGTGACAGTGTCAACAGGACTCCAGCCAGAGGGCGCAAGTCAAGGGAGAGTTAAGTAAGCAGAAGAAGTGATAAGAAATAAGCTAGGTGCCAATATCACCGGGGTGTTCAACCAACCAATGAGACAGAGCGCTTGACATCAAGATGGCTTTTCCAGTCCATCTATAATCAAAAACAGCCAGGGAAAGGTGGGGCGGGCACGGTGGCTCATGCCTGTAATCCCAGCACTTTGGGAGGCTGAGACAGGCAGATCACTTGAGGTCAGGAGTTCAAGATCAGCCTGGCCAACATGGTGAAACCCCATCTCTACTAAAAACACAAAAATTAGTCAGGTGTGGTGGCACATGCCTATAATCCCAGCTACTCGGGAGGCTGAGGCATGAGAATTGGTTGAACCCAGGAGATGGAGGTTGCAGTGAGCTGAGATCGTGCCACTGCACTCCAGCCTGGGCAATAGAGTGAGACTCCATCTCAAAAAAAAAAAGAAAAATCGTGCATGAAAAATATATATGTGATTTTAGAAACAACAATATGTCCAGGTGTGGTGGCTTATGCCTGTAATCCCAGCATTTTGGGGGGCCGAAGCAAGAAGATCACTTGAGGCCAGGTGCGGTGGCTCAGGCCTGTAATCCCAGCACTTTGGGAGGCCGAGGTGGGTGGATCACCTGAGGTCAGGAGTTCATGACCAGTCTGGCCAACATGGTGAAACCCAGTCTCTATTAAAAATACAAAAATTACCCAGGTGTGGTGGCACACGCCTGTAATCCCAGCTGCTCGGGAGGCTGAGGCAGGACAATAGCTTGAACCCAGGAGGTGGACGTTGCAGTGAGCCAAGATCATGCCACTGCACTCCAGACTGGGCAATAGAGTGAGACTCTGTCTCAAAACAAACAAACAGCCAGGGCTATCACAGGCCTGATCCTGCCTCCCCAGGTCCTGAGGCTGGGAACTCCACCTGTCCACCAATCTCAACCCTGTGTCCAGGCCACACCTTTCCAGTGTCCACCCCGACCCCATCCCATGAAGACAAGATGCGATGCAAATACTGACTCAGGGTAGTGAAGGAAACATATGAAGCCCCAAATATAAGCTCGGGGAGCTTCTATTCTAGCTGGGGAGCCAGGCAGGGAGGAAGGGAAACACCAATTGTGCATGAGGCGTGCTGAGGAGGAAAACAGAGTAGCGAAGGGAGGCATGAAATGTCAGGAGTGGAGGCTGGAATTTCAGGGAAGACCTAAAAAGCTGCGAAGACAGTGGAGAAGTGAGTTGTGTGGCTATGGGGGATGAGTCTGGAAAGAGGCAGTCCAGACGGGGGCCCCTGGGTGGGGCTGCATGGTGTCATTCAGGGATGTCGGGGCCCACAGCAGAGGGCCGGTCCCGCGGTGGACACAAGGGTGAGGGGTGCAGGGAGGAGGGGGAAGGCAGGAGCTGGAGCAGGAACCCCCATGCCGAGGCTGTGGCCCCACCTCCCTGACACCCTCTCTCTCCACACCCTCACTCCTGCGCACACACACAGACCTGCAACTCACCCCGTCTGTGAAGAAGCTCCGGAGCAACAGCAGGCTGGGTATGCGGTTTGGCAGGTGCCTGGGAAGCAAGGGTGGAGGGTGAGGGATGTGGGCAGCAAAGCTGGGACCTCACTATCTCGTCACCCACCAAACCCCAAGCCCAGAAGCCTTCCAGCGGGGGAGGCACACTGTCCCATGCATAGAGGACCCCCAAGGCCAAAAGCCCTGCCCCAGAGCAGCTGGCCAGGGTGGCTGTGGCCACCCCACCCCATGTCCAGACAGGGCCTCACCGCAGAACCTGACCCTCGTCACGGAAGGTGTTGAGTCCATCATCGCAGGACTTGGAGCGCTCCGTGCTGATGGCCAGCAGGTAGGAGGAGCGGCGGCCAGCCTTGATGCTGCCTGCAAAGCCGCCTGCATCGGGCCTCAGGGTCAGCGGGGCAGCAGGTCAGGGGCTTCCCAGAGCCCTCCCTTCTAGGCAGGGGAGGTGACTCTCCCAAGGTGCCCCAGGAGAAGCAGAAACCAGAGGAAGAGGCCAGACATCCAGCAGCAGACCCAACAGAGACCCCTGGGACTGGGCAGTGAGGGAAAGGGTGGGGCTGTGGGTGTGGGGAGCGCTCACTGCAGTCCCGCGAGTAATGCCGTCCGAGGGTGAAGGTGAAGGTCGGGGAAGATGGGCTGGTGCCCAGGACAGCGGCTGAGTTCATGGCACTGGAGACCACAGCAAAGGCAGGGACATGCTTGGCTTGGAGGTCAGTGCTGGGGCTGGTGGGCTCATCTATGCATGTGGAAGGAGAAAGGTGTGAAGGCGGCAGACAGCGGAACCTGCTTGCCTCCACCCTAGCCTTGCCAGCCCCCGTGCCACTCACCTCCAGGCTCAGACACATCCCAAAGGGTCCTGCTGGCAACATGCCCACTGTCAAGCGTGACTGGCCCACTGTCCAGACTGTGGCCATGGAATCCTTACCCTCAGGAGTGGGGCTGAGACACCCTCCTTAGACCGGACTCCTGAGGACAGAGCCAATATTCCCCCATCAGACTTGGAGCCTCTTGAGGGCAGGGACGGTGTCTCCCCCATCAGACTGAGGGCACTCAGAGAGAATGAATTATGTCTCCCCTCTCAGACCAAGAGCCTCCTGAGGGCAGGGACAGCGTCTTCCCCATCAGACTGAGAGCTTCCTAAGGGCAAAAGCTCCCCCATCAGCTGGGGCTCCTCAAGGGCAGAGATGACATCTCCCCCTCAAACAGAGTGTGCTCTGGAAGAAGAGACTGCCTCTCCCGGCCACAGCCTAGAGCCTTTCATCAGGGCTCAGTGGTGTGGATGGGGCCCTTGAGACAATCCAGTGAGATCTGGAAGTGAAGAAAAAGATTATAATCTGGGATAAATATAAAAAATTACAATAAAAAATTTATTGCAAATTTACAAATTATGGTTGTTTATATGTACATGGTAAAGGGCAATGTTATGGTTTGTGAATACAATATGAAATAACTAAGATAATTAAGAAATAACTGATATAATTATCATTCATTGTTTCAAATTTTTATCTTTTATTGTGACAACATTTAACATTTACTCTTAGCTCTTTAAAATGACCAATGTACTATTTTAAATGAACCAATAGAAACCAATTTATGTAAACAATTGAAAATCTGGGAAATCAATTATGAATTACTGTAATAATTTAATAATTAAAAGTTAATAATGTAGTTAATTAAGTTTGATTTTTTTCAAACTTTTTTTATCATTTCATTGTAATGTTTAATACAAATGCCTACATATATACGCATTGGTCTGTGTATTTATACATCTTTCTATGGGTATAAATTTTTGTCCCTATAGCTATGTAGTTGCTGATGTCAACAAATGTTAATAAAACTCTGGAAGAATCAGTGCAAACAATTAGGAATGTTTATTTCTTGAAAGTATATACTTAAAAATATAATAATATGTAGAATGTTAATAATTACTAAAATTTAAATATTAATGATAAAATTCATAATAAATATAAGTAACAAAATATCACAGCCTAGAAGACTCCAGAGTCCTGCGAAGATAAACGTGACTTTTCCAGCTGAGGAGAAAGGAAACCTCTCCCGGCACCAGCTCCTGGGACCTGTCCCGTCCTCAGTGGGTCCCGAGCGCCCCCTGGTAGCCCTGCGCGCCCCTGCAGGGAGGTTTGTGTCTGGGCTCACACCGACCTCCCCTCACTGTGTCTGTGGTACAGTAATACACGGCCGTGTCCTCGGTTTTCAGGCTGTTCATTTGCAGATACAGCGTGTTTTTTGAATCAACTCTTGAGATGGTGAATCTGCCTTTCACAGGTGCAGCGTAGTCTGTTGTCCCACCATTAGCTTTGCTTTTAATACGGCCAACCCACTCCAGCCCCTTCCCTGGAGCCTGGCGGACCCAGCTCATCCAGGCGTTACTGCAAGTGAATCCAGAGGCTGCACAGGAGAGTCTAAGGGACCCCCCAGGCTGTACCAAGGCCTCCCGCAGACTCCACCAGCTGCACCTCACACTGGACACCTGCAAACACAGAGACACTAAGGTCAGAAACTGCCACACATATCCACTGTTTCTCTCACTCATGTCCACTCACACTCAATCTCTCTAGCTCTCCATAAATCACCTTTAAAAATAGCAGCAAGGAAAACTCAGCTCAGCACAAACTCCATGGTGATTCCTGTCTGTTCAGTCCTGATCACTGAATGAAAATACTTGGGAATCCCAAGGCTGGGGCTCGTCTCCCAGAGCTGCAGGGTCAGGACTGGGCTGGTTTTCATCAGGAGAGGGAGGGCCCTATTTGTATGTCACCTACTATATAGCAAGCTCTGGGGTGGGACGCCTGAGCAGAGGGCAGTGCCCAGATAAGGTAATGATGCCCTGCAAGAATCTGATGACAATGATGGTGTTTGGAAAACTTGCTGTCTTATTAGGAAATTGTGCTGTGATAAACACTTTGCACTAATCACTCTCTTACATTTTTACATATTTGTGTAAATCATATTTTTAGGGGTCAATGGTTTCTCTATTTACAGATGGCGAAGTAAACCCATACGTGGAGGGGCTTTGTATGTATCTAAGAGCTCATACCTGAGGTTAGTGAGCCCCAGTATCTGGGCCTGTGCTCCTCATCCACTGGCCCTATATTACTCCCTAACCCAACTCCAGGACAGAGCTGGGCATGCCTAGTGTGGCTTGTGAAACCCACTTTCTGTATTGAGAACATGTGTAATTTTGCTGCATTCTAGCATTCACCTAAAAATATGGTGAGAACTAGGGTTCACGAAGATAAATTATTAGGTGTTTCTGAAATTTAGTATTTTTTCTATCTTTATATCACTTACTTCTTGTGCAAGTTTTCATTTGTTTGCTGGTAATAAATTTTATAAATTTCAGTTTACTGATAATAAACTTCACATATTTAAAGTGTACAATTGATAAACCTGATGTAACCATCCTAGTTATCAAGGTGAACCAGAAAATTCTCAAAATTTCCCTCTCATTCTTCCATATTCCTCCTCCTTTCCTCTTCCCTTCTTCTACCATTTCCCCAAATGGTAAATTCTGATCTTCTTTATATTGCTGTAGATTGAATTTAATTTATCAGAATTTATTAAAATGGAATAACATAGTACATATTCTTGTTTGCTTTATTTTCCTGAACATCAATACTTAGATATTTTACCTTGTTGTTATATTGCTTAAGTTCAGTTTTTATTTTCCAGAATTTATATAAATGAAATTATATGGTAAATCTTCTCATTTGCCTGGTTTATTTTACTCAGCAAAAATACTTAGATATTTTACCTTCTTGTTGCATGTATCAGACAATTATTTATTATAAATGTTGTGTAGTATTCCATTGAACAAATTTACCATAATTTGATTTTCTGTTAAGCAGCTTAACAATGTTCAAATTATTTTATTACTCTGGTAGTACTAAAAATCTACTACTCAACTTGAAAATGTACATAAATGAGGAATATATTTTCTTTTTTTCTTACAACTACATCAACAATAACAGATAAACAGTCAAGATGAAATTTTGCAAATTTCTGAATGCTTAGGATAACTGAAGTTAAAAAAAAATCTTAAATTTAACAAGAAGCAAGTTCTTGTAGAGAGTAACAAAGCCAGCATATGAGATTACCTAAGGCAGAGTCTGGCGTATGAAATATAGGCTGTTAAAGATAAAAATACAAATATATATGGGATTGCTTGAAATTGAATATGGTTAGCTTGTTGTAGTTTGAAATTCTAAGGGACCACATACTGAAGAGCTTTTCTATCCTCTTGAATCCCTTTCCCCAAAAAAGGGGCAGTCACAAAATCTTCCTTTCCCAAAGTGTCTGTCTGGGAGAGAACAAGAGCCCCCATTTTTGAAAGGCATTCAGACTCGACTCCCTTATATCCACTACAGAACTAAAAATTACTTTGCAGGGGAACCACCAAAACCAGTACCCTAGGGGCACTGGTGCAACTCCTCAGGAATTGAGATGGGAACAGAGGTCACTGCCACGAAGTTCTGTTGAGACACAACTCTCTTCCTTATGGAATCAGAGCTTTAGTCTGCAGGGCAGGGCAGCAGATCTGGGAGGTGATGACACTGATGGGGAACACTGGAGCTGTGGGAGGGAACACCTGGGGGAAACAGGGGGGCTGTACCCCAGTGGAAGGGACAAGAACACACAGATGAGCATCTCATCTGGAGGAGGGTCAGGAACACTCAGAAGGTCACACCCAGACTTACGGGCACAATGCCTTTCTAGGAATATGGACCGAGATGAGGTCAGAGACTCTTCCTTCAGTGTAAGGGCTTCCACTAATTTATCAATTGTCAGTTACATATAACAGAGGAATGCACCTGTGGGAGCTGAAAGAGATTCTCTGGAGGATGGAACAAGGAGAAGAGACACAGTCACGCAGCAAAGAAGAACAAGATATCACTGGAGCATCTGTAGTCTCTGGTGGACATAGAAGAACAGACTTCAATTAGTTGTTGAAACCTTTATATCAGTCTTTACTAATTTATATGCTAAAATAGTTGGCCTCATCAGTGGAGTCTTATTATCCCCATCAGGGATGAGTGTCCATGTGGGCACGTGGTGCAGTTCTAGTCATGGGGGCAGGGGAGGTGGTCTGTTCAGGTGTTCCTGGTCCTTCAGAGGAGAATTGAAGAACTGTCTCTGCCCCTTTTCCAGCCAATATATAAAATATGTATGTGACCATGGGAATATTGTCACCATGTAACTGCATGATGGGAGTCACCCGAGGGGTGAAGCTGACTTTCTGGATGCATCAGTGTGGAAAATTGAGAAAAGAAACTTCTTGGGCACATGAGCTGTCAAATTATTCAATCCTGGAGCCATTCACTTCCAGAGGCTTCCTGTTTCATCAGGTTGTGATTTTCCTCATTGTGTAGTCAGCCTAGGTTGTCTTTCTTCACTCTCTGCTAAAATAGTCACACATAATATCTAGAAGCATTAAGATTAATAAGTAACTAATTTGAAAATTAGAACAAGTCCCAAGTGAAGTCAAAGTTACTGTGTGGTTGAGAGGAAACATGGCTGGATACTAAGAGTGTGTTCACATCTGTTTTATGTAGATTAGCAACATATTTTGTATATCCCTTAAGTAATACTTTCATTGAGACTCCTGATTTAACACTATTTCCTGATGAATAACACCTAAATCATAAAGGTGGAGGTTATTACCTAATAATTCATATTACTGGTACAAACTTTCACCTAGGGTATATTCCTATACCTGATGTAAAATCAGCCCAGAATGGAGAAGTTAATTCTCTTACTAGAGCTTGTCAATTAACTAAAAACCAGGATTAAATACAGATGTTCTACATTAGTGTGTAATTTTGAAATGTGTTGCAAGCAGAGGAGGTTCTTATGTCTCCTAGAAGCCCCATCAAAATGGACAAAAAAGACACTTTTAAATAAATTCCTACATTATAGAGACCTGACATATGAATTTGAAACCAAATGCCAACAAAGGAGAAAACAAACAAATAAAACAACTAGTATGGAAGCTAGAATAATGTGATGCACCATTACACCAAATATTCAGTCTTAACATGGTTTTTAATATTATGTAAACATGGAAGGTATTGCCATTGTTCATATGATACAGAATCAATGGCACTCACAAGCATCTGAATATGTTGAAAAATGGCACCTTCAAATAAAAATTATGAAAACTTCAATAAAATATTGAACTCTATTCACCAAGGGTTATACCATTAGCACTATGGCATGATGGTTTCCTCCCTCAGCACACATCAGTTATTACCCTATGACTTGGTAGCTGGAAGATTCACACTTTCGAGATTTTACCCTCATCACATACCTTTGTCCTATTGCCTGCATGTGTTAACAAAATATTGAAAATGATTTTTGTGTTATACACACTCCAATGACTAAAAATTTAAAGTTGCCTTTTTACCACATCTTTTAACAGCATTTTGTGATATCCGACCATGAAGTTATGTCTATTGTGTGTCTTTTATCACACAATGTGAATCTAGTTAGGAATCGCAGGAGCTTCCTCATTTGACACCAGTGGGTGTTTCACACTGTGCAATCCCCTTCCTGTGAGTGGGAAGCCTCACTCTGACCCACCACGAAACCATCACAAAAGCCCTGAGCCAGTCTGCTTTCTGGCTCTATCGAGCCATTTTGGGTGTTCCTTAGAGACCAGCACTAATCTCAACAGACCCCTCAAGAGGTAATTAACTTTTCCATATTCACATCGAGGGAGTATGCAGCACCCACAGATGTGACATCCACATGACATTTTAGTTGAGATCCCTTCGCCTTTTTGAGGTGTCAACTAGAACTGACGCTGTGAGCTTGTTGTCATGGCTGCTAAACACAGGACCCACCTGTTCCCTGAACCAACTCCAGGACAGAGCTGGACATGCCTGGTGTGGTTTGATAAACCCCCATTTTTAATAAAATCATGACATTATTTTGCTGTATTCTAGTGTTTCCCTAAAAATACAGGTAGACCCAGCGTGTATTCATGTGTATATTCAGGAGTCACTGATTTCTCATAGATATTTAATGGAATATGTAATCCTTTCTTTAAATTATACTTTACGTTCTGGGGTACATGTGCAGAATGTGCAGTTTTGTTACATAGGTATACACACGCCATGGTTGTTTGCTGCACCCATCAACCTGCCATCTACCTTAGGTATTTCTCCTAATGCTATCCCTCCCCTAGCCCTTTACCTCCTGACAGGCCTCAGTGTGTGATATTCCCCTCCCTGTGTCCATGTGGTCTCATGGTTCAACTACCACTTACGAGTGAAAACAGCGGTGTCTGGTTTTCTGTTCTTCTGTTAGTTTGCTGAGAATGATGGTTGTCAGCTTCATCCATGTCCCTGCAAAGGACATGAACTCATCCTTTTTTATGGCTGCATAGTATTCCATGGTGTATATGTGCCACATTTTCTTTATCCAGTCTATTATTGATGGACATTTGGGTTGGTTTCAAGTCTTTGCTATTGGGAATAGTGCCGCAATAAACACACGGGTGCATTTGTCTTTGTAGTAGAATGACTTATAATCCTTGGGGTACATACCAAGTAATGGGATTGCTGGGTCAAATGGTATTTCTAGTTCTAGATCCTTGAGGAATCGCCACACTGTCTTCCACAATGGATGAACTTATTTACACTCCCACCAACAGTGTAAAAATGTTACTATCTCTCCACATCCTCTCCAGCATCTGTTGTTTCCTATTTAATTGTCACCATTCTAACTGGTGTGAGATGGTATCTCACTGTGGTTTTGATTTGCGTTTCTCTAGTGACCAGTGATGAGGAGGATTTTTTCATGTTTTTTTGGCTGCATAAATGTCTTCTTTCGAGAAATGTCTGTTCGTATCCTTCACCTACTTTTTGATGGGTTTTTTTTTCTTGTAAATTTGTTGTAGATTCTGGATATTAGCCCTTTGTCAGATGGATAGATTGCAAAAATTTTCTCCCATTCTGTAGGTTGCCTGTTCACTCTGATGATAGTTTCTTTTGCTGTGCAGAAGCACTTTACTTTAATTATATCTCATTTATCAGTATTAGCTTTTGTTGCCATTGCTTTTGGTGTTTTAGACTTGAAGTCTTTGCCCATGCCTATGTCCTGAATGGTATTGCCTAGATTTTCTTCTGGGATTTTTATGGTTTCAGGTCTTGATAAGTCTTTCATCCATCTTGAGTTAATTTTTGTATAAGCTGTAAGGAAGGGGGTCCAGTTTCAGTTTTCTGTATATGGCTTGCCAGTTTTCCCAACACCACTTATTAAATAGTTCCGGAATTCTTTCCCCATTGTTTGTTTGTGTCAAGATTGTCAAAGATCAGATGGTTGTAGATGTGTGGTGTTATTTGGGAGGCCTCTGCTCTGTTCCATTGGTGTATATATCTGTTTTGGTACCAGTACCATGCTGTTTCAGTTACTGTAGCCTTGTAGTATAGTTTGAAGTCAGGTAGCATGATGCCTCCAGCTTTGTTTTTTTTTTTTTTTTTGCTTAGGAATGTCATGGCTATGCAGGATTTTTTTTGGTTCCATATGAACTTTAAAATATTTTTTTCCAATTCTGTGAAGAAAGTCATTGGTAGTTTGATGGGGACAGCATTCAATCTATAAATTGCTTTGGGCAGTATGGCCATTTTCATGATATTTATTCTTCTTATTCATGAGCATGGAATGTTTTTCCATTTGTTTCGGTCCTCTCTTATTTCCTTGAGCAGTGGTTTGTAGTTCTCCCTGAAGAGATCCTTCACATCCCTTGTAAGTTGTATTCCTAGGTATTTTATTTTCTTTGTAGCAATTTTGAGTGGGAGTTCACTCATGATTTGGCTCTCTGTTTTTCTGTTATTGGGTTATAGAAATGCTTGTGATTTTTGCACATTGATTTTGTATCCTGAGACTTTGCTGAAGTTGCTTATCAGCTTAAGGAGATTTTGGGCTGAGACGATGGGGTTTTCTAAATATACAATCGTGTCATCTGCACACAGAGACAATCTGACTTCCTCTTTTCCTATTTTTATACAATTTATTTCTTTCTCTTGCCTGATTACCCTGGCCAGATCTCTCAATACTATGTTGAATTGGAGTGGTGAGAGAGGCATCGTTGTCTTGTGCTGGTTTTCAAAGTAAATGCTTCCAGTTTTTGCCCATTCCATATGATATTGGCTGTGGGTTTGCCATAAATAGCTTTTATTATTTTGAGATACATTCCATGGATACCTAGAGTATTGAGTTTTTAGCATGAAGTGGTGTTGAATTTTGTTGAAGTCCTTTTCTGCATCTATTGAGATAATCATGTGGTTTCTGTCATTGGTTCTGTTTATGTGATGGATTACACTTATTGAATTGCATATGTTGAAACAGCCTTGCATCCCAGGGATGAAGCCGACTTGATCGTGGTGGATAAGCTTTTTGATGTGCTGCTGGATTCGGTTTGCCAGTATTTTATTGAGAATTGGTGCATTGATGTTCATCAGGGATATTGGCCTGAACTTTTTTTTTTTTGTTATGTCTCTGCCAGGTTTTGGTATCAGGATGATGCTGGCTTCATAAAAAGAGTTAGAGAGGAGTCCCTCTTTTTCTATTGTTTGAAATAGTTTCAGAAGGAATGGTAACAGTTCCTCTTTGTACCTCTGGTAGAATTTGGCTGTGAATCCATCTGGTCCTGGACTTTTTTTGGTTGGTATGCTATTAATTACTGCCTCAATTTCAGAATTTATTATTGTTCTATTCAGGGATTCGACTTCTTCCTGCTTTAGACTTGGGACGGTGTATGTGTCCAGGCATTTATCCACTTCTTCTAGATTTTCTAGTGTATTTGCATAGAGGTTTTTATAGTATTCTCTGATGGTAGTTTGTATTTCGGTGGGATCAGTAGTGATATCCCCTATATTACATTTTATTGCATCTATTTGATTCTTCTCTCTTTTCTTCTTTATTAATATGGCTAACTTTCTATCTATTTTGTTGATGTGCTGTATTCAGGAGACCCATCTCATGTGCAAAGACACACATAGGCTCAAAATAAAGGGATGGAGGAATATTTACCAAGCAAATGGAAAGCAAAAAAAAAAAAAAAAGAAAGAAAAAAAACAAAAGCAGGAGTTGCAATCCTAATCTCTCATAAAACATTTTAAACCAAAAAAGATCAAAAGAGACAAAGAAAGGCACTGCATAATGGTAAAGGGATCAATGCAGCAAGAAGAGCTAAATATCCTAAATATATATGCACCAAATACAGGAGCACCCAGATTCATAAAGGAAGTCCTTAGAGACCTACAAAGAGACTTAGACTCCCATACAACAAGAGTGGGAGACTTTAACTCCCCGCTGTCAATATTAGACAGATCAACGAGACAGAAAATTAACAAGGATATTTAGGACTTGAAGTCAGCTCTGGACCAAGCAGACCTAATAGATATCTACAGAACTCTCCACCCCAAGTCAACAGAATATACATTCTTCTCAGCACCTCATTGCACATATTCTAAAACTGACCACATAATTGGAAGTAATACACTCCTCGCCAAATGCAAAAGAACAGAAATCATAACAAACAGTCTCTCAGACCACAGTGCAATAATCAAATTAGAACTCAGGATGAAGAAATTCACTCAAAACTGCACAACTACATGGAAACTGAAAAACCTGTTCCTGAGTGTCTACTGGGTAAATAAAGAAATGAAGGCAGAAATAAAGATGATCTTTGAAACCAATGAGAACAAAGACACAACATATGAGAATCTCCGGGACACATTTAAAGCAGTGTGTAGAGGGAAATTTATAGCACTAGATGCCTACAAGAGAAAGCAGGAAAGATCTAAAACTGACACCCTAACATCAAAATTAAAAGAACTAGAGAAGCAAGAGCAAATTCAAAAGCTAGCAGAAGAGAAGAAATAACTAAGATCAGAGCAGAACTGAAGGAGATAAAGACATGAAAATCAACTCCAAAAAATCAATGATCCAGGAGCTGGTTTTATGAATCTTTAATTCTGTGTTGAGAAATTTAAAATTTCTTTAGTTTGATGATTGAAGTCCTTATGCCATCGTTCTGAGATTTTCTTTTTTATTTCTCATATATTTTATCCATCTCTAAATTCTTTTCTACCAAATTATATATGTTTCAATTTGTAGTATTTTAATAAGTTGAAATTAGAAAGTAACTATCTTCCCTTAATGTGTACCATTTAACAAATAATGACATAACCATAACTTTTCTCAAAACAGAAAAAATTATCCTCAAAATTTCCTCTTGTTGTCCTGTAATTTCCACTTCCTACACCTTCCCTTCTCATACCATGACCACGGCCAACTACTGGTTTTCATTATGTAACTTTAGATTAGTTTTCATTTTATAGAATTTATAAAAGTGGAACTGTATGTATGTACTTGTATTTCTTTGGTTTATGTTACTCGTCATAAGTACTTGTGAATTTACCCTTGTTGCTCATTTCCAGCAGTACTTGTTTGAACAGTGGGTATTATTCAAGTGAATGAATTTAGAACAAAGTGTTTACTGCTTAACCTGCTGATCAATATTTGGATTGCTTTCAGTATCTGGGTATTGTAAAGAAAGGTGCTACTCAGCTTAGAGAACTACACAGTTGAGAAAGACAATGTTCTTATTCCTACATCAACGTGAACAGCAGTTAAACTGAAAAAGCTGCACTTCAATACATTTTCTTCAACACATCAGGTAATTAAAGTTGTAGAACTCTTTGTGTGTGTCAGTTTGTGTGTGAGAGAGGAGGGAGGAAGGGACACAGAACAAGTGAGAGATCCTACATAACTGACCATAATTTATGAGGTGCTCAAATATATACAAGGACTTAGTCCTGAAGGACAAGGTCCACATTAGATGGAGAGGACAACTTGGTGCACCTACGTATGGCTATATATTTATATAAATATCATTGTCTAATAATACAATAATATACATTAGAATACATATGGTGGAGAGTAAAATATGTCAGTGATGAAAAACCCCACCTCCAGCACCTTTTTTCCCCTCTTGCACCTGCCTTAATGTGTCCTGAGCGCCCCTTGGTGACCTGAGCACCCCCTGGTGTTCTGAGCTTCCCTGCAGGGAGGTTTGTGTCTGGCCCCACAATGACTTCCCCCTCTGTGTCTTTTGCATAAAAATCCATGGTGGTGTACTCATTGCACATGTAGCTCAGCTGTAGGAAAAACTGCTTTCTGAATGTGTATCTGGAGGTGGTGACTGGACTCTTGAGAAGCGGGTGGTACTGTGTGCTTCCTCATGACCTACACACCTGACCCACTTCAGCTCCTTCCCTGGGGGCTGGCAGATCCAGCTCCAGGAGGAAGTACTGGTTATGATCGGAAATCCAGAGGCGGCACAGGTGAAGGAGAGGGTCTCTGAGGGCTTTACTAGAACATGACTGCACTGAAAAACACAATTTTTGTCATACGCAGCATCTGAATGACATTTTGATGAGAACGATCCCAGGCTAGAAGCATCAATAATAAGGTTGACATCAGTGTAAGGTTGGACAGGCAGTTGCTGTGCAGATATTTTCACAGAAGTAATTATTTTATTGTTGTGGTTGTCTTTGTGCAAGGTTGTGGCTTTTCTGAGTGTTATAAAACTAGCTCTTGTTGTTAGGGATATAAGTAATTATTTTGTTGTTGTGGTTGCCTTTGTGCACAGTTGTGGCTATTCTGAGTGTTATAAAGCTAGCTGTTGTTCTTAGGGATATAAGTAATTCTTTTATTGTTGTGGTTGCCTTTGTTCAATTTGTGGTTTTTTGGAGTGTTATAAAACTAGGTCTTGTTCTCAGGGGTATGTGCATGAGAAGCTTCCATAAATGGCCTTCCCCAGCTCCATGTGTCAGGATTTGAACACAAGGGACTCCAGTTGGATTCCGACAACTTTTACAGGCTCTTCTAACACTACCGGTAAAGAAGGTGACTCTGTGACAGTTTACACAGCACAGGATCAATTCCACATCCTCACCCCACTTTGACCAAAGAAGCTTATGCCCTCATTCCTAATGGCCACATGCATTCCCAGATGCGTCTCCAGAAAACAGAGTGGAGTGTGCTTAATAATGAGAGAGAAGAAAGTCTCAGCAGCCTCTCCCAATGGCTGCAGGAGTCACAGCCTGAGCCCCACCTAAGCTCCAGGGAAAGGGCTTGAGCCCCAGGATTTAGACCACAGGGACAACATCATTTTTTCCAGAAAGCAGGAAAAGCAAATGGAAAAGCAAGAACCACTAAAAATGAAAGTCAGAAAGCACCAGATCAGTGCTGATACTCATTTGAATATTTTCAGGAGAAATGTCATACATAAAACCTGTGAGGTCCTACATGACACTGAACCTGGTCCAGCCTCTCTCTTGGCTGTAATCAAAATCCCTAAAAGCCATTCTAGTCAGGGAATCCCATTGAAGTTCCTGTCCTGAGTCTGACTGGAGAAGACTCACCGGGCACCCCTGAGCTTCCTCACGACTCTGATGCTGGTGCGCATGGTTGAGGAGTTCTCATTCCTGTAGGTGGCAATGTACATACTGTGCATGTGAGAATGAGTCCTCATATTACAATGATTAAAAAAAATATGTAGAGATGACATTGGTGGGTACAGAAATCTAAAATTAAAGAGTTTCCCTAGAGAAACTGTCAGAAGCAGAGGAAGTCCCAAATCCTGACAGGAAACAAACCCCAGCCTCCATGTGAACCTGCTCTGGGGTTGACTCTGATGAATGGGTCCTGAGCGTCCCCTGCAGTGATTTCCCCCAACGTTCCTGTAGGAGGTTTGTGTCTGGGCTCACACTTGTGTCTCCTCACAGGATTTCTCACACAGTAATACACGGCCATGTCTTTGGCTCTCTGTCTGTTCTTTTGCAGATACAGGGACTTGCTGGAATTGTCTCTGGAGATGGTAAATTGGCCCTTCACGGAGTCCACATAGTGCGTCTTACCGCCATTCCAACTAATACCCGAGACCCACTCCAGCCCCTTTCCTGGAGCCTAGAGGACCCAGTTCATGTCACTGTTACTGAAGGTGAATCCAGAGGCTGCACAGGAGTGTCTCAGGGACCCCCCAGGCTGGACCAAGCCTCCCCCAGACTCCACCAGCTGCACCTCACACTGCACACCTGCAAACACAGAGACATCCTGGTCAGAAACTGCCACACATAGCCACTGTTCTGTCACTCATGTCCCCTCACACTCAATATCCTTAGTTCTCCATGAATTACCTTTTAAAATAGCAGCAAGAAAAACCCAGCTCAGCCAAAATTCCATGGTAATTTGTTTATTGCTGTTGACCCAATAGAAACACCTGAGAATCCCAGGGCTGGGGCTTCTCTCCCACGGCTGCAGGGTCAGGGCTGGGCTGCTTTTCATCAGAAAAGGGAGGGTCCTATTTGCATGTCTCCTATTACATAGCAAGCTCTGAAGTGGGACACCTGAGGAGAGGACTGAGCCCAGAGTAATGAGAGTGAAACAGCAAACCTGAACAACTACAGATAAAAAAAAAAAAAACCTCAGCATATCAGAGTTGATATCATGGAGCAAACATGAACTGAAAATTTGAGGATAGGGGTTGATAGGGAGACCCAGGATGCATATATGAGTGTACCTGGGGCAGGTGTCACTCCATGGCATTTAAGCTAACCTGGAAACATTTAGAGTTCCTTGAGGATGTGCGCATTAACAGTGTTGGAGTGTGAAGCTTCTAGAGCCATATATTGTTGCAGGCTTTCCTTACAAAGTTTGAAATATCCCACATGACCTCACACTCACACAGTGTGACCTTGCACATCCCCAAGGTCACCTCACATGTGCCCTGAGTCACCTCACACATCCCCAATGTCACCTTACACATCCCGCAGGTCACCTCAAACATTTCCCAGGTAACCTCACACAAGTCCCAATTCACCTCACACATCCCACAGGTAACCTCACACTCACCCAAGGTCACCTCGCACATCCTCCATGTCACCTCAGATGCGCCTTAGGTGACCTCACATGTGCTCAGGTCACTTCACACATCAGGCAGGTCACCTCACATATTCCCCATGTTACCTCACACACACTCCTGCTAAGCTCACACATCCCCCACGTCACCTCAAACGCACCCACATCACCTCACACATTCCCCAGGTCACCTCACATGTCCCACAGGTCACCTCACACATTCCCCAGGTCACTTCACATGTCCCACAGGTCACCTCACACGTTCCCCAGGTCACCTCACACGTCCCCCATGTCACCTCAGATGCGCCTTAGGTGACCTTACATGTGCTCAGGTCACCTCACACATCAGGCAGGTCACCTCACATATTCCTCATGTCACCTCACACACACTCCTGCTAAGCTCACACATCCCCCACGTCACCTCAAACGCACCCACATCACCTCACACATTCCCCAGGTCACCTCACATGTCCCACAGGTCACCTCACACATCCCCCAGGTCACCTCACACGTTCCCCAGGTCACCTCACACATTCCCCAGGTCACCTCACACGTCCCCCAGGTCACCTCACACATCCCCCAGGTCACCTCACACGTTCCCCAGGTCACCTCACACATTCCCCACGTCACGTCACACGTCCCCCAGGTCACCTCACACATTCCCCACGTCACCTCACACATCTGCCACGTCACCTCACATGTCCCACAGGTCACCTCACACATCCCCCAGGTCACCTCACACGTCCCCCAGGTCACTTCACACATCCCCCAGGTCACCTCACATGTCCCACAGGTCACCTCACACGTCCCCCAGGTCACCTCACACATTCGCCACGTCACCTCACACATACCCCAGGTCACCTCACACATTCCCCACGTCACCTCACACATCCGCCACGTCACCTCACATGTCCCACAGGTCTCCTCACACGTACCCCAGGTCACCTCACACATCCCCCAGGTCACCTCACACGTCCCACAGGTCACCTCACACGTCCCACAGGTCACCTCACACATTCCCACAGGTCACCTCACACATCCCCCAGGTCACCTCACACGTCCCACAGGTCACCTCACACGTCCCCCAGGTCACCTCACACATGCCTTAGGTCACATCATACATGCCCAAGTCACCTCATGAGTTCCCCATGTCACCTCATGCATGTCCGGGTAACCTCACACGCACCCAAGCCACCACACATGCACCCTGGGTCACCTCACATGAGCCCAAGTTCACCTCACACATACCCCCAGGTAACCTTACACATCCCCCAGGTCACCTCACACATCCCCCAGGTCACCTCACTGTCACGTGACCAGGTCACCTCACCTTCATACAGGTAGGTCGCTTCACACATGCTATGATACATGTATACATCATGGAATTGTTAATCAAGCTATTTAAAATATCCATCACCTCACAAATGTGTAATTTCTTTTTTTTTTTTTTTTTTGAGACTGAGTCTCACTCTGTCGCCGAGGCTGGAGTGCAGTGGTGCGATCTCGGTCACTGCAGCCTTTGCTTCCCAGGTTCAAACAATTTTCCTGCCTCAGCCTCCCGAGTAGCTGGGATTACAGGCGCCCAACACCACGCCTGGCTAACTTTTGTGTGTTTAGTGGAGACAGGGTTTCACCATTTTGGCCAGTCTGGTCTTGAACTCCTGACCTTGTGATCCACCCACCTCGGCCTCCAAAAGTGCTGGGATTAGAGGTGTGAGCCCCCACTCCCGACCTGTATAATTTCTTAGTGGGAAAAATTTTAACATTTACATTTTTAGCCATTTTGAAATATACAATGCATTCATAGCCATATTTTCCATCTTGTGCATTAGAACACTGCAACTTACTCCTTCTGTCTAACTGGAACATTTTACACTTTGACCAAAATCTCTCCTTTTCCAGTCCACCCCTCCAGCCCCTGGTAACCAACATTCTATTCTACTTCTGTGAGTCTACCATTTTAATGCACTACAGTGAAATCATGAATTACTTGTCTTCTGCTCCTGCTTGTTGCATTTCACATGTGGTCCTCTAGAGTCATGATTGCTGTCGCATTTCAAAACCAATCATGCCTGTTCAAGAGTCTGCCAAAGTCTTAACTCATTTGAGCCTTAACTCAAAAGTCCACAGTCCAAGGTCTCATTTGAGATGAGGCAAGTCTCTTCCATATGAGCCTGTAAAATAAAAACGAAGTCAGTTACTTCCTAGAAAGAATGGGAGTTCAGGCATTGTGTAAATACAGCCATTCCAAATGGAGAAATTGGTCCAAACTACAGGCCCCATGCAAGTCTGAAATCCAGCTGAGCAGTCAAATCTTCATGTTCCAAAATAATCTTCTTTGACTCCATGTCTCAAATCTAGGTTACCTGATGTAACAGGTGGGTTCCCATGGTCTTGGGCAGTTCTGCCCCTGTGGCAGAACTTTTTTAAAATTTTTCAAATGAAAAGTTTTAAAAAGCTTTTGCAGGGCACAGTCTCCCTCCTGGCTGCTTTCACGAGCTGGCATTGAGTGTATGTGGTTTTTCCAGAAATATAGTGCAAGCTGTCAGTGGATCTACCATTCTGGGTTCTGGAGGGCAGTGGCTTTCTTCTTACAGCTCCACTAGGTGGTACACCAGTAGAAACTCTGTGTGGGATTTCTGACCCCACATTTCCCTGTCACACTGGGACTAAAGGCACTTGCCACAATACCTGGCTATTTTTTGTATTTTTAGTAGAGACGGGGTTTTACCATGTTGGCCAGGCTGGTCTTGAACTCTTGACCTCAGGTGATCTGCCTGCCTATGACTCCCAAAGTGCTGGGATTACAGGCCTGAGCCACCATGCCTGGCCAAGATTAATATGTCATTTAATGATGTATTTGAAAACTTCATGGTTCTACAAATACACATACATACACAACAGCCCAGCAAAGACACATACATATGCCCATGCAAAAGTGAACGTATATCTAAACACCAAAATAGCACACCTATTTGTTTCATATTTTTTAATTACTTAATTGAATTTAAACTGTGTTTGCAGTTTGAGGTGGTAGTAGAAAATAATGCTCTTCTACGTGTATGTCTGCCTATTCCAATACTAAAAAGACAAATATATTTAAATACATGTTTTGTTAAAGCTGAATGTAAATGCTGTTCTTGCCAAATATGTCACTCAAATGTGCAATGGTATTAACTTTAAATATCAGTCTGTTTTTAATAAATTGAATAACTAATAAGACAAACATTGTATTACATTATTTGTTAAATTTAGATTGTAGTTTTCAAACCAGGAAAGATAAAATTGTTTCATTTGAAAAATTAAAAAAAAAACTTTTTTGGCATGAATATTCAATACAAACTCTGGTATTTATTTGTCAATATTCCTTTATGATAGAGAACATCCAGGATAATGAAACTGAACACAGCCCATGATTTTCAGGGCTCACTCACAATGGCATCTTCCTAGAGGATGGTCTCAGAGGGTCCAAGCACATGGGGATTTGGACTTCATCATCAAAACACTAGTGAGCCCCAGGGCTGAACACACAGAGGGCAGCAGGAGCTGCAGAGCCCACTCTGTGGTACTTAGGGAAATGAGGGGATGGTCTGCAGGACCTGGAAAAGGGTGAGTAGGGCAGAGTCTGCAGGTAGATGAGCATATTCTAAGGAGAGCCATTATCCTCTAAACTTGGTTGGCTTCAATGATTATGAAGACAAGGGAACTGATTCACCAGACTTGGAGGTCAGAAAGTAAAGTGACTTTCTTTTTCCTTCATGGAGACTGAGGAAGGTAAAATACTTTCAAAGAAAAAGGGAAGATGGAGAAACAGTCTGAAAAACAGGACACCTGAAGCCAACCAAAATGGAGAACAAGAGCATTTAAAGTCGTGTTTAATTTCCAAAAACAGCAGATGAAAGAAAAAGAAACAAAATGCCATGTATACGCTGAGTTAATGTTAAAAAACATGTACAATTGTTTGACTATTACAGCACAAAAATACAAAACTCTAATCATTGAAACAGTTTATATTGAGGATATACATTTTCTTTAAATAGGGTCTCACTCTGTCAACGAGACTGGAGTGCAGTGGCACAATCACAGCTCACTGCATCATTAACCTCCCAGGCTTAAGGGATCCTCCCACCTCAGCCTTTCAAGTAGCTGCTACCACAGGTGGAACCACACCCAGGTATTTATTATTATTATTTTTGTATAGAAAAGACCTCACTGTGCTGCCAGGGTGTTCTAAAAGTCCTGAGCTCAAGTGATCTGCCTGCCTTAGCCTCCCAAAGTTCTGGGATTACAGGTGTGATTTTTATAATTTTACTATTTTAATAATAGTATTATTTTTAATCAAGAGAATATATAAATAACCTATTTTAAAAATTGTCCTGAGAGATCATTGCTAGTATTACTTGGAAAATATGCAGCATTAAAAGTTGAATTAAATTCCTGTTCTAAGTTAATGTTTTGTAGGTAAAAGTAATCATGGATTTACAAGGAAGAAATGGTGAGAGATCCTGGGGAAGACTTTTGCTTGACCAGGTCGGGAATCACCAAGGTTTAAAAGAAAACCACAGCTTCTCAGGCTCCTGATTTGGAGCTGCTTCCTGAGAACCCCCGTGTACTGAGCACCCCCCAGTGGTTCTGAGTGCCCCTGGTGTCATGAGCGCCCCCTCGTGGTACTGAGGGCACTGTGATATCCTGAGCACCCCTGATGCTTCTGAGCGCCCCCAGGTGTCCTGAGCGCCCCCTGGTGGTTCTGAGCTCCCCCAGGTGTCCTGAGCGCCCCCTGGTGGTTTGAGCGCCCCCCCCCCCCCCCGTGTCCTGAGCACCCCCTGGTGGTTCTGAGCGCCCCCTGGTGTCCTGAGCGCCCCCTGGTGGTCCTGAACACCCCCTGGTGACCTGAGTGCCTGCTGGTGGTCCTGGGCAAACCCTCGTGTCCTGAGTGCCCCCTTGTGATTCTGAGTGCCCCCTGGTGTCATGAGCACCCCCTCATGATCCTGAGCACCCCCTAATATCCTGAGCACCCCATGGTCCTAAGCACACCCTGGTGGTTCTGAGTGCCCCCAGGTTGTCCTCAAGGCGCCCTGGTGGTTCTGAGGAGCATCTACCATGCAGCTCCCTCCTGTCTTCCTGCAGAGATTTTTCTGTTGGGGCTCACACAGATATTCCCTCTCCTGTGTCTCTCACAGTATTACAAGGCCTTGTCCTTGACTTTCAGTTTGGTCCCTTTAAGGTAGACTGCACATTAAAAGGTGTCACTTGGGACTGTTAATTTATTTGTGCTTATGGAGAGTAACTCTGAGAACTCCCACTTGATCACTCACTGTTTCCACCTACACAAATCCCTGTCGTGAAGCTGGCTGGACCAAGCTCATTGCTGTAGCCAGTAAAGGTGAAATCAGAGGCTTTGCATGAGAGTCTCAGTGAGCCACTGGGTGTACAATTTTTCCCCCTCTGACTCCATCAATAAATTTCACACAGGACTTCTGCAAACACTGAGGAAATGGAAGAACGGCCCCATGTGGAGCAGCCGCACCTGGACCTGATTCACAAGGGACACTAATATTGAGGGTGATGAGAAGGGAAGCCCAAATCAGTGCAGATCCCACGGTGTGGACACTGAGGAAGGGAAGAGACATGGGTTGGCTCCTCGCTAGGGCCTGAAGGAACAGGGGATGAGCTGCCTTTCATGAGGAGGGGAGGGGACACATTTCCTTGTCTTTCTTTTTGTGGTCTTGGGTGCACCGCTCGGCATTGCTCATCCATCCTCTGTGTCTCCATTTCAGGGGGGCAGGGTCAAAGGACTCGTGGGTCTGGATGCACAGGGTTAATCTGCTGATTAGTCTTTTTTATTTTCTAGTGTGGACCCTGTTCAGGTATCTTCACAGTAGCAAACATTATCAAAAAAATACATCCAGTAAGAACTTAAAAATACATTTCCAGAGAAAACGGACACCAATCTCTAATCGGTGCATTTAGAGCTACAAACTACTGTTCTTGACAATAAGGCAAAGTTAAGGTACAATAAAAAAATGCAGATCTACACCTTGTCAGGGAGGGATTTTATAATTATTATCTTGAGATCATTTTCCCATAAAACAGTTCAACATTGGATATATCTGCTTGTGTCAGGGAACAGTCACTGTGGAAATATGTGTACTTATCAGAGTGAAGAGTTCACATGCAGACATGTTTGTCTGAGACAAGAGTCCACATGAGGAAATGTCATTACCAGAGGAAAGAGTAAATGTAAGGACATACGTGGTGGTCTGAGAAAAGAGTCCATGTGGGGACATATGTGTTTGTCTGAGGGAAGAATCCACGTGAGTAAAGGTGTGTTTGTCTGACGGAAGAGTCCCCATGTTGACAGGTGTGTGTACCCATCTGTGGGTAAATGCCCATTCAGGGACAGTGTGTGCCTGAACTGAGCTGAAGTTTGGGGAAAATCTTTATCAACCAAGGAAAGAAAAGAATTATCTGGGTTATTTGCTTGTCAGGAAGAAAAAACCTGGGTCACGTTGAAAATTGATTTTTTTAAATTAAAGGTCTTTAGTGAATGGTAACATCTTACATGCAAATGAGGAAAATTACTTCATTCTTTTTTGCATGCATCTCATGATATCCCCACCCTCACCAAATAAGTTATTAGATAACTTTATACAGTCTGCATTTAATCCTGGGTTTAATGAACTGCTAAATACTTTTTACAAAAATTGTATATATTTAGGTTTATATTTTCCATCACACAATTATGAGCTTAGAAAAATTAACTGCATCGTGTCTCAACCATTTTATAGCACTAAAAATAATTTTACTATTCTTAAACAGTGCCATTTTTACTTATTTAATACTCATTCTCTAAATTCCTTGAATATCCTCTATCTGTTTACTTGACTATAGTTTTGGTTTATACCGAATTTCAAATAAATGATATTATATGGTGTAATTGAAATGACTTCACTGAAGAAAGTAGAAAATGAAGTTGCTAGTCTAATTAACTTTGAAAATGAGGAAATTCTGTATGTTTAAAATGTAAAGAAACTACACATAGCACTCTATTCTAGTAGATAAACATATTTCCAATGAGCTTTACATTTCTGATACCGCTATGCATGTGTCCTAAAATTGTGCAACCAGGTAATAATAAGGCAATTGGTGGGATAGGATTCCTCACTTTAAAGTGGATGGTTATGGACAGTCAAGGAAGGAAGGCTAGAAAGGTCCACGTGGTAGCATAGTTGGGTCAGGAGACCAGTGTGTTCTCATTTTTAATATAATAAAGTTACAGAAGATTAGGTACATAAGTAGTTTTGATGCGTCCATAAACATGGGTTCATATAAACATGCACGTCTGCTAGGCCAGTAGGTTGAGAGGTCCTAGAAGTAATTATACACGGTATCACAGTTTTTTTTATTTTACTGCTATTCGTTAACGTTAGAAACAAGCAAGCTTTAGAAAAATGGCTAATTCTATGTACAAAAGAGGTAATATAGAAAATGAACTTAGAATTTGTTGTAATACAAGGAAACAGGGAAGTGTTCAAAAACAAAAGGATGAGGTGCACTGTAAGGATACAGGATCCAAACTAAATGAGCTCCCAGGACCTAATAAATCTGTGGTGATTTGAACGATAAAATGAGTAATATAGCATGGATCTTCTTCAGAGTATGAAATATATATTCATAAACCAATACACATATTAATAGATGATTATGAAAATAAATATTGGGAAGACGAACACATCTCCTTACAGAAGTATTCCAAATATCTGAGGTGAATAGTCCTCCAATCAAGTAGGTGAAGTTTAAACACTCATGAGTTGATTGTGGCCTGAGGTTAGACACATAGAAAAAATAACCACTATTTGGTATTCTATAATGAGACTTCAGATATAATGTCAAAAACATCATCTATGAATGAATACAATTTTACATGTTTTTGAATCTAAATTTGTACAAACACACACATACACACACAGACACATGCACACACACACGTATGTTTCTGCAATACACACTGATAAGGGAGTAAAGACAGCCACAGACTTGGAAAAAATACTTCCAAGTCACATATTTGTTAAATGAATTCTTTTAATTTGTTAAATGACTTTTATAAACAATATGCAAGTAAACTTACAATGAATCAAAACAAAGCAATGCATTTAAAATGAACCAAATATCAGGAGAGGCATCTCAACAAAAGTTATTGGAAAATTGTTAAATATGAACTTTTTGAGGGACATGTGCATTTAAATAAAAATTAGATCCCATTACTCACCTACTAGATTGGTTAAAACACACAACTCTCATAAGGATACATGGCAATATGAATGTGGAAAACCAAGAACTATCATGCATTGAGGGTGGGAATTCAAAATGCTACACGCACAAAAGGAGATTTTTTTGGCATTTTTAATAGATATAAATGCAGACTTAAAATGTGATTTTGTGTCTGTATTCCAAAATACTTACAGCACTGATTAAGAAATTAATGTTTACAGAGATACCTTCAGAGGAAGTTCTATATTAGTTTCATTAATTTGATTCATTCTCTAATCATTGAAATTTGTTTACAGAATAAATGTTGTATGAAAAATCTCTCAAATAATTAAAATTTCTCAAATACACATTAATATTGTTCCTTTTCTTTAATGACTTAATGTCATTTTCTAAGCAAATCTTTAATCTAATAATCTTTGTCATCTCCTCTGTGTCAGCACAGGTGTCTCCTTCCTGGGGTTTCTGACACTCTCAGGATGTGGGTTTTTGCACTGTGTCTCTCACACAGTAATACATGACCATGTCTTCAGATCTCAGGTTGCTCAGCTCCATGTAGGCTGTGCTCATGGACCTGTCACTGGTAATGGTGACTCTGCCCCAGAACGTCTGTGCATAGTGTGTGTTATCATTGTAAGGGTTGATTCATCCCATCCACTATGCCCTTGTCCAGGGCTTTGTCACACCCACCGTGTAAAGTATTTGGTGAAGGTGTATCTGGAAGCCTGGCAGGAGACCTTCACTGAGGACCCAGGCTTCTTCACCTCAGCCCCAGGCTGCAACAGCTGAACCTGGGAATGGACACCTGTGAGGAGAATGGAGGAGTTGATAAAAGCCCCCTTGACTGAACTCAATCCCCTCCTCATCACTGGTACTTGGGAGCCCCTTACCTGTGGCAGCTGCCACCAAGAAGTGGATCCCCCAGGTACAGTCCATGGTGAGGAGCTGTGTTCTCAGGGGCTTCTATAGAGGAGGGATGTGGTTGTTGGGTGATGCTCTCAGGGCACAGACATCCAAATTTACCTCAGTGGATCTCAGGTTATTTGCATATTCATGACATAGCATTTCATAGAAGAAAGCCTGGTTAATAATAAGAAAGGGAAGATAAATGACACATCAGATTTACAAGAGTGAGATGCTGATGGTCCAAGCCCTATTCCTGTTTGAGGAAATGCATGCCCTGCTCCATTTATGAACATTCATGAACAGAGGTCCTTTCACAGAAGAACAATCCCCCTCAGGACACGCTCCTCACTGTGAACCTACATTTTATAAGCACAGAGACCACCTGGATAATTTCTGGAACCATCACTCTCCATGACACTGAGCAGGTGCCGTGGTTCTGTCCTGGATCCATCAGTCACCAGCACAGCTGACTGATGACTGAGGAAGTTACTGCTCATGTCCCACGTGAGTGACCAGCAGGTCATTCTGAGATCTGCTGGGCACTCCTGAAACAGTGTCTCCAGCACCTGCCTGGTGTTCAGATCCCCCAGGATCTTCAATAGAAACACTCTTGTTTACAGATTTGCTCTGTGATGTGTGATTAGAGATGATTTTCTCATCTCAGGAACCATAAGAATCAGAAGCTGAAACGGTAGTTTCAAATTCTTTATGAACTCATTGCTCCCAAAATATTTGTCAAGGAATTTGTGTTTTGAATAATTTGGGGTTAATTTTGGACTCAATTTATTGGAATTTTTTGAAGTATTTATGTATTTTCAATTAATATCCATAGGTCCTCATCTTTACATATTGATATCTAACTCACCTGGTCTGTGCCCCCAACAGCCCAGACCCTGCCTTGCAAAGAGGTTCCTGCTGGGACTTACAAATCATTTCCCCCAAGCTTCTCTAGCCCAGCATGAAATGGCTGTGTCCTGGTTTATCACACTCCTTCAGTGACACCATATGCTACTGACACCATCTCTTGAAACAACTGATTAGCCTTACTAAACCTATTGAACTCTGCAAGGAGACCCAGAGCAAGGATTCAATGACACAGAAGGGAGCCCCTTCTCTGAAGCTCCAGATTCACTTCATTAGTGGAACCAAAATGAAGACAAAAACTTACAGGAGATTTGGGAGTGCCGTGTTTCTTCACTGGGCTCTTGCAGTTGAATGTTGCATCTGAGAATACCAGCAGGTGCAGATACATTCAGATGAAAGCCCACTCCATATCCACTATTCCAATAACACACATTTTCCCTTCTTCCTAATATGTAGCTTTTAGGAAGTGCCTCCTATGCTGACACTAGGCCCAGTTATCTGACTTTCTTCTCCTAGAGATTTAAAGCAAACAGGATACAGGTGGAGACTTGGGAAGTGCATGCAGGTTGTTATTTTCACTTTCTCAGCTAGGAAACCAGCAAAGTCCCCATAATAAAAGAAGCTGAGATCTATGATGGCATTTACAAGATGTTGGTCTTAAAAATCATGATGTCAGAGGCTTCACATTGCTGTACTGCCTTTGTCTCACCCTCTGTCATTGTCTTAGTGTTTCTGTATTCTCCTCAGATAGAGTCTGT
The DNA here is from genome assembly GCF_000001405.40 of Homo sapiens. NCBI lineage: Eukaryota > Metazoa > Chordata > Mammalia > Primates > Hominidae > Homo > Homo sapiens. Next base: position 1,155,952 of record NT_187383.1, on the reverse strand, counting down.
GCATTGCCACACTTTCATCTTTAATCCATAGTCATCATCCTAGTTAGAATGGATTGTGCAGTGCAGGTAAGCACTGCCTGTTCTTCCAATGGAAACCTAGAGATTCGATAGGCTTCCTCTTCTGGGCTGTGACCTTGAAAAAGCATCTCCAGGGGAAAAGCTCATTTTTGGCTGTTACTCCCTTTTGTGGTTTTGGCTTCCCTGGACTATTTACGTACATCTTACCCCTTTTGGCTAACTTTACTCATTCATATAATAATGGAAGAATGGGAGAGAATCTGGAATGGGAGATTTGTCTTCCTTCACATAGGATAAGGTTCTGGAAAAGTCATTCCCTTTAGAAGCTTTTGAAGTAGGCTCCTGGTATAGTTTTCTGTAATTAATCATCTTCATTTCATCTTCAATTCTGACCCACAGGAAATTTATTTGGATTGTATATTTTAGAATCTGGAGGTTTCTGGAGAGAAAGTCCAGAAACCTTAGAAGTATAAGACCCTCTGGAATGGTCACATTTACCGAGTCCACATTTGTCTTTCAGACGTCTATAGTGGTTACCATATAAGTGCCTTCAACAGCTTGTGGCTTCTGCAGCTTCTGCAGTTTCTGCACCAGTTAAGCAAGTGCTAACTGCAATTCTGGACATGCCCATCTCTCCAGCTTTTGGAGTGGGTAATATTTCTTGCAATTTCAGTTATTTAGTAGATTCCAAAATGTATTGACATTCAGATTATGCAGATTTATTTTGACATAAAATATGACGGTGATGAAATTTATAATCAATATTTTGGAGCATAAACCAAAAGTACAATCAAAGGTCACCTTTGATGTGTTACTGGAGGCAGAATTCTGACCTTATTACATGTAGGTGGCACATCTGACATAAATAAACAGGCAAGAAAACAGAGAAAGGACCTGGCACAACACTGTGCCATGGCACAACTCTGGTTGCCCTTAAAACTTTCTCCTTCATTTCAACCTTGGTGAATCTGACAATTATGTGTCTTAGGGTTGCTCTTCTCAGCGAGTATCTTTGTGGTGTTCTCTGTATTTCCGGAATTTGAATGTTTACTTTCCTTGCTAGGTTGCAGAGGTTCTCCTGGATACTATCATGAAGAGTGTTTTCCAACTTGGTTCCATTCTCCCTATCACTTTCAGGTATACCAATCAAACTTAGATTTTTCTTTTCACATAGTCCCATATTCCTTGGAGGCTTTGTTTGTTCTTCTTACTCTTTTTTTGTCTAAACTTGTCTTCTATTTTTATTTCATTAATTTGATCTTCAATCACTGATATCCTTTCTTCCACTTGATCAAATCAGCTGTTGAAGCTCATGCATGCATCACAAAATTATTGTGCCATAGTTTTCAGCTCCCTCAGGTCATTTAAAGTCTTCTCTACACTGTTTATTATAGTTAGCCATTCATCTAACCTTTTTTCAAGGTTTTAGCTTGCTCGTGATGGATTAGAACATGCTCCTTTAGCTTGGAGAAATTTGTTATTACTGACCTTCTGAAGCCTACTTCTATCAACTCGTCAAAGTCATTCCCATCCAGCTTTGTTCTGTTGCTGGTGAGGAGCTGTGATCCTTTGGAGGAGAAGAGATGCTCTGTTTTTTAGAATTTTCAGCATTTCTGCTCTGGTTTCTCCCCATCTTTGTGGTTTTATCTAAGCTTTGTCTTTGATGATGGTGACCTACAGATGGGGTTTTGGTATGGATGCCCTTTTTGTTGATGTTGATGCTATTCCTTTCTTTTTTTTTTTTTTTTTTTTTTTTTTGAGACAGAGTCTTGCTCTTGCCCAGGCTGGAGTGCAGTGGCGCGATCTTGGCTCACTGCAAGCTCCGCTTCCTGGGTTCACGCCACTCTCCTGCCTCAGCCTCCCGAGTAGCTGGGACTACAGGCACCCGCCACCACGCCCGGCTAATTGTTTTTTGTATTTTTAGTAGAGATGGGGTTTCACTGTGTTAGCCAGGATGGTCTCGATCTCCTGACCTTGTGATCCACCCGCCTCAGCCTCCCAAAGTGCTGGGATTACAGGCATGAGCCACTGTGCCTGGCCATGCTATTCCTTTGTATTTGTTCATTTTCCTTCTAACAGTCAGGTCCCTCAGCTGCAGGTCTGTTGGAGTTTGCTGGAGGTCCACTCCAGACCCTGTTTGCCTGGGTATAACCAGCAGAGGCTGCAGAACAGCAAATATTGCAGAACAGCAAATATTGTTGCCTGATCCTTCCTCTGGGAGCTTTGTCCCAGAGGGGCACCCACCTGTATGAGGTGTCTGTTGGCCCCTACTGGGAGGTGTTTCCCAGTTAGGCTACACGGGGGTCAGAGACCCACTTGAGGAGGCAGTCTGTCCATTTTCAGAGCTCAAATGCCATGCTGGCAGAACCACTGCTCTGTTCAGAGTTGTTGGACAGGGACGTTTAAGTCTGCAGAAGTTTCTGCTGCCTTTTGTTCAGCTATGACCTGCCCACAGAGCTGGAGTCTGTAGAGAGAGTAGGCCTTGCTGAGCTGAGGTGGGCTCTGCCCAGTTCAAGCTTCCCAATGCAGTGGCTCATGCCTGTAATCCCAGCAATTTGGGAGGCCAAGGCCCAGGTAACAACAGTGAAACTCCGTCAAAAAAAAAAAAAAAGCTGAGGGGATTGAGGGGATTTCTATGCAAAGTGTGGATGGTGTGTTTTAATTTCTCCTTGCTTAATATAGTATAATGTGAGAGGAGATTGATAAAGAGGAAACTATTGGAAAATGTGGAATCAGGTATTTTATAAATAAAGAAGGTTCTCCCATCTTCTGGAAACCCCATAATCTTTTTAAAAATGAAGGAATTTTAAGATTTATTTCTACATTCTAGATACATGCCTAATATAAACTTGGATTTAAGTGCAAACAGAGATACATAGAAGATGAAAATTCTGCAGCAGATCATTTGCCAAATAGGCAGTTTTATATCAGTTTGTAATTTTACCTAAGATTCAAAAGATAAATGACAGACAGATCCAAATAATAAATTATAACATTTCAATGCTAGACAACTGGTTGAGAGGCGCTTGAACTGACATTATTCTGATGAATCATACCTCAATAATAAAACTGTATTGAATGGTGTACCTGTTCAAGAGGCTGCTTGAGTAAATAGTTTCTACCTCCCCTACTTAGGAGTCCTGCCACAACCCAACATGCTCTAAAACCTGGGGGCCACTAAGAACAAAGACAGAAGTTTGAATATTATGAAGTTATTATGAAGTTTTTGAGAGATCCACAATCACTGATGGGGTGATTGGTGAGGGTTTTCTCTAAGGGCCTAGGCTTGGAAGAGTATGGCTGTTTGTTATGATGAACAAAGAGCTGTTTTTTTTGATGAGTAGATGGCAGCAAAGACCATCAAGGAAAATGAAGAAATGGGGAAATATGGTCCAAACAGAGGGACAACATAAAGGTCCAGAAACTGGCATCAATGAATATAAAAGCATATGGATTTCTTGGCAGAAAATTTAAATATTACAATCTTGTTTAATAAGCTAGTGGCAGCATGCAAGAACACTGTGAGAATTTTAAGAGATAAAAAAATTTAAAAGAGAACTAAAAAAATTTGGTGTTGAAGAATACAATAAGTCAGCCAAAAATTTTTAGACAGCACACTGTAGGAGAGGCTCAGGCTTTCCTTTCCCCTACAGGAGGTAGCCCTGCAATTTCCTTAGACGTGAATCACTGTTTCCTCCCACCCACCTTCTAGATTCTCTTCAGAGATTCTCCCGACTCCAGAGCTCATGTTCTCACATGTTGTGCGACTTTGGGTTAAAACACACCTGAAACATTTAATGGCTGTTGTCCTTGATCATTTGATCATCATCTGCATTTTAGTTGATGTGATTTTTTTAAACCTCAGTTTGAAGGAAAGAAAAAAAAAATCTATAGACTCTATCTAGGCCAGAATTACTTCTCTCTCTTTCCCTTGGTAGCTGCGAATGTAGCCCCAAATATGATAGGAATCAATAAACACTGCAGCTGTTACAACACTTTCTTGGTCAGCTGTTCCAACAGTATGAGAACCACGGCAGCACAATTATTTTATGGGACTAATTCTGTTCCTACTGGAGACACATTTATTCTTATGTACCAGGACCTCCAGTCCATCGCAGCCTATGATTATGGAGAAGGAAAGAAACATTCTTCAAATTTTCATCATACATGTGGCAAGAGAAACCGATATTTCTGTCCACTGCTTTCTAGACCCAGGTATTGTAGCTCCTGGCCATGGGACACTGTAGTGCTCTCTGTTTGGGGGCATTTAAGCATCCTAGAGAATAGTATTATCCCCAAAATGGCCCTTCTTTATTAAATTTCCTACTATAAAACGGAAGCATAAACTACCTGCTGTTTATCTCACATCAGACTGTGGAGACCTAAGTCAATGTTTCCATTGTTCTGCTGGGGCCTTGTTTCTGGTCAACTGTGAGGGAGAAAGAACTGCTGGATCACAGACTCTTGTTCCCGTGATCACATCTCCTGTCCCTTAACTATATCTACATCCCCTCGTGTCAGAACATATTGTGCAGTGTCTCATTCTAGGAATAAGATATTCAGTAACTTGGACAGTGACTCTAGTAGCTTCTCTATGATTAAGAAAAATACATGTGAAGATAAGAGTTAATTCTTCTAAGTATAAATGACTACCTATCAGGTTTGGGCTTTGACTAAATTTTTTAAATTGTCTCCTTATGACTGGTGGGTATCCTTACAGGGTGTAATGATTTTGTTAGACAAATGTGATATCTATCACTATCAGCTCAGGCACTCGGTGAGAGGTGCTGGTCAGTCTGGTTGGCGGTATCTGTGCTCAGTCTTTATTGTACGTTAGGGAATGTGCTGATATAAAGAGAGAGGATGCTATCACTTGTGTGGCAATAATGATTAAACTGCAGAAAATCATCGTATTATGAGGTCTCCATACCCTCCTATGCAGCAGAAGAGATTTCCCTTGCTTTCAGCTGCTGGTTTCCTTACATTAAAATTTATTGCATTTCCTTTTACTGCACATTTTTTTTAAATTCTAAGATATTGTCTGCTTATTTAATTAAAGTAAGCACCAATAAATTTTAAAATTATCAATTACCTGTATAAGAAACATAAAATGGGTGTGGTGAAGATGCCGAGTAGAGATACCAGAAAACAAAACTAATAAAGAAACACATTGTGTAAGTTTAGAGTCATCACTGAGCACTGAAACCATGAGGAGCTTGTGTTGACTTTTATATTATTGAAAGTCTATTATATTTGACATCCAGAAGGCTGATCACACCAGTGAGAAAAATCTGTAGAGTGGTCCACACAGATCAGAAATTAGAAAGTGATAAAGTCACAAACTTGCACAACCTGCAGACATTCAGTGTAGTCAGCATTCAGCTCTTCCCATTTCTTCAGTGAAATAGATGGGTTACATCTGCATGGAAAATGGGACAAGTATTTTGTAAGCTGATTCTCCTGGGAAGTTGCTAATGAAATCAGTCAAGTGATGCTCTGACACAGGATTGTGAAGAGGACGTTGACCCCTGGTGGTCGCTGTCATCAACACGGGATGCTCAACGCTGGTGGGTGTCTTTGTTACTGTTTTGTTCACAAGAGATTTTAAGCTGTCATGTGCTGCATGCAGGTGAGTTTTTAAGCCTCAGATGAGGAAAATAACATGACTACACAGTAGATGAGAAAATTGAAGACCTCACTTCATCAACCACATTCCACTGATGAGACCTGTTCACACAGAGAGCCAGGGATGAGCTGGGAAGAGGAAGGGGCTGGGGAAGATCATCCATAGATGGACCCATCCAGCCTGCTTGAACTCCCTGTGGAAGGAGGGTGTAAATGTTTGTCCTCAACTGATAGCGAGTATTTCAAGACCTTCACAAGCTTTCAGAAAAACAGTTTTCATGAACAAGTGCCCATACGTTACTCAGAGGTGTACTTGTCATCATTTATCCTTCCTCTCTAGGCAGCACCACAGTAGCATGTTCTCAGAATTCTCCCTGATCCTCTGTGAGTTCCTGGTGCAGCTCCTGGAGGAAAAGCCTGCATGAGGGAGGGAGCCCTCCTCAATTGCAGCCCTGAGGCTGTCCCCAAAGTGCCATCAGCTCTCCTACATCCCTCTCGAGCCTCTGCTCTCTCTCCCTTCCACCCCCACCCCTTGGACAAGCAACATCTGAAAGTCTTCCCTGCCCTCGGCTCCCAGAGCTCTCTGGCGGTGGCCTGCACTCTCCCTCAAAGCGGCCCTCCCCCAGGTCACTGTCTTCCCTTCGATGACATCACGCGCCCACCCTGCGCTCCTGCTGGGCTGAGGCCCTCGGAGCCTACTTCACCGGGTCCTCTTCTCTCTTCTCTCAAAGGCCATGGGGTTTGCCTGCGGTCCAGCTGGGTTGGCCCTCTTCCCCCTGTCCTGGGTCCTTGAGTGGCCCCGCTTATTTAGGCCATCTATGAGTCACTTCTCTAACGCCCCTGTCTCCAGACCAGCTTCAGTCAAAGGCTGGGCCAGAGAAGACCCTAGTGAGAAACTTCTGATGAGCAGTGTGACCTTGCCACCTCAAGGGTACCCGCCCACCGCCCCTGGTCTAAGCACAGGTGACACCGCCTGTCTCCCCCAACCACACACACCCCTTGAGGCTCCTCCTCCAAGCCTGGGTAGGGACACTGCCCCTCCCTCACCCAGGAAGCTCAGTCTGGCTTGGGCCAGAACTGCTTTTCTTCCTAAAGCTGGAGGGATGGCCGAGGGCTTAGCTTAACGGGATGAGCCATCTGGGGACTGCAGTGTCCACGATCAGATCAGGGAGCTTGAAGTTGAGGGGGGCACACTTTACCTCCCAGGCCAGGAGAATGACCACTTCCTTCCCCACCCCACCCCCAGGCTACTCTTGCCCTAGAAAATTCTAACCAAGCTGCTCAGCTGGTGGCGGAGAGGCAGCCCAACAAGCTGGCTCTTGCTGGGTAGGCCTGGGGGTCCTGGGGAGAGGAACACGGGGTGGGTGGGGGGCGGGCAGCCAGGACCTCAGACCTGAGGCCTTTGGGGAAGGGTCTGTGCACCCGCCAGGCACCAGGGGGCAGCCTTGCCTTATTCCCGCTCCAGTCCCCTCAAGTCCGAAGCCCCTACCCACTCTCATGCCAGGCAGGGGTGGGGGCCACCGGGGTCATTTACCCGGGCCCCTTCTCTGCCTTGGTGACAAAGTGGAGCCTTGCTCATCAGTCAGGCAGGCTCCCCTCTGGCCACTGTGGAGACACAGAGGCCTGTCACCTGAAGAGCTGGTCCCAGCCTCCAGCTTCCAGGGTAGCCGGGAAGCTCTAGCCCCCAGTGGGCAGCGGTGGACAGAGCTCAAGGAAGGAGCGAGCACCGGGAGGAGACGGCTGCAGCCTGCCAGGAGCGGGGAGAAAGGGAGAGAAGGGGAGGCGGAGGGCTGAGGGGGCCCGGGGGACGTCTTCCTAGGGCTGGGAGGGGCAGGCCGGGAAGCCTGGGCCACACTAGGAGCGGGCGACCCTGGGGTGAGGGGCGGCCCGGAGCCCTGCGGGAGGAGCTGGCGGCCGCCCCAGGTAGCAACCATCCTGCCTCCCGCTGGAGCGGCGACTCCTCCCCGGGAGGAGGGCAGGGACAAGGGGGGCGGACTGTGACGAGCAGGGCGGGAGGGAGAGGGGGGCCGGCCAGCCGTGGGGGTGGGGCGATAGTGACATCATCCCGGAGTCGGTTTTTAAGCGGCTGCCGGCCGGGAACCGGGAAGAGAGGAACAGTCGGAACGCGGTGGCGAGTCGCTGAGCCCGCCGCGGCCCCGAGAGCGGCTGCAGCCGCCGCCGCCCAGAAGGAGAGGGCGAGGCGCGCCTGAGCTGCCGCCGCCGCCAACGGAGTCTCGGGTGAGCCGGGCAGCCGCCGCGGGCCCCGGCCGGGGCCGGGGGCGCGGGCCACAGGCCCCTGCTCCAGCCGCCGCTTGCAGACTGCGGGCGCCGATATCGCCCGCGCCCCGCTAGGCTGAGCCTCGGGTCGGCCGAGGAGCCGTGGCAGCCGCCACCGCCCGAGCCGCGGGCAAGAGCCTCGGAACCGCTGCCGCGGACGCCTGGCCGGGCCCCGCCGACGCCCGCGCGCCCCCGGGCCCCTGACACACAGGAGATTCTTCAGGCTCACTTTCAAGTGCTTCGTGGACTGCTTCTGACTGCGCCGCCTGTGACCCGCACCCCGCCGCCCTCCCGCCGCCCCGTCCCCCGGCCCGGCCGCCCCCCGGCCCCCGGCCGGCCCGCGCCCTCGGGGCCCTCCCCGGTGCCGCCGGTGCCCCGCGCCTGACCGCAGCCCCCCGCAGGGTGCCGCGACCCCAGCCCGGCCGTGAGGCCCGCAGGGGCCATGGCGAAGAAGAGCGCCGAGAACGGCATCTGTAGCGTGTCCGGCGACCAGAAGAAGGGCCCCCTCATCGCGCCCGGGCCTGACGGGGCCCGGGCCAAGGGCGACGGCCCCGCGGGCCTGGGGACACCCGGCGGTGGCCTGGCCGTGCCGGCGCGCGCGATAGACCTGGACGCGCCAGATGGACTTCATCATGTCGTGTGTGGGCTTCGCCGTGGATCTGGGCAACGTGTGGCGCTTCCCCTACCTGTGCTACAAGAATGGCGGAGGTGAGCTCCCCCGCCCCCCGCGGCCCCCTCCCCCAGCAGGCCGCCGGCCCCTGACGCCCGACCCCCAATCCCCGGAGCCGCCGCGGAGGGGTGAAGTCCGGGCAGCGGTTGGCCCCTGGGCACGCGGGGTCGGGGCCGCCCCTGGTCCACCGCTGCTGCTCGGTGGCTGGGCCGTCCGCCTCCACCCCTCTCGCAGTCATGTGCCTGGCAGGGTGAGGGGCGGGGGCCGGCGATGCCCGCGAGGCTGCCCCCCAGACTCCTGGGCTGGAAGGAGCGATTGGCCGCCGAGGTGGGAAAGCAGGCCTGCGCCTTGGGGTCTCCTCGAGGTAAGGAGCCCTGGCTGCCCCTGCGGGTCGGGCACACAAGCGGCACATTGTGTGGGCCCCCCACGTGTGCACACACACGAACACACACACACACAATGGGCCACTCTGTCCCTCTCCCTGCCCTCCCCTCGCAGCCCTCCCGCTCCTCCCCTCTGGCCCGGGCCTGGAACACTGGGTACCTGAGCCAGGCTTGGGAAGCCTGTGGCCTGGCCCGCCTGGCGCCGCCACTGGAAACACTGCATGCACGTCCCATGCCCGTCCGCCTGCCCGGGCCCAGCTTAGCAAGAGCGATGGGCACGCGTGTGTCCTGTGACTACAAAACAGCACTGGGGTTTCTGGAAGCCGAAGTGACCCAGTGATGGGTGGGAAACAGAGGTCCAGAGCAAAGGCCTTTGCCCAAAGTTAGGAGAAGGATGCTGGGACCTGGAGTCAGGCAAGTTGCAGCCAAGCTCGGCCTCTGAGTAGTGGAGCGAGCCCAGCCAGGGCAAGGGTAGGAGGCCCAGAGAGGAGAAGGGGGTAGTGGCACCCAGCTCTCCCTGCCCTTTTGCCACCCCCACCCCAGCCTGCTGGCCAGGGCCTGTGCCATGCCCTGCCTATCTCCTGTAGAGCCTGACTCCCTGGGCTTGCTAAGGCCGGCCTGGCCCCTCTTCCCGCACCTGTATCCCTCTGTCCTTGCACGTGGCCATCCCACCAGCAGGGGACTGTGACCCATCCGCCCTCTGCCTTGGACCTCACACTTGCAGGCAAGCGTCCAAGTGCAGGACAGTCGCGCTCCCTGCCTTTGGATGAGCCCCTCAGGCCTGATCACCCAGCCTTGGCGCACATGCACACACGCACGTGCCCTCACTGTGCTGCCTGAAACAGGGAATTGCGGCACTAGGGACAGGCTGCGTGTCTGAGCGTGCGTGTCCTCCATGGCCATCACCCCAAGTGACCGTGGGGGTGGAAGCCCTGTGGGCCTAGCGCCTCTCTGCCACCCAGGGAATAGGACTTCAATGGCCCAGGGGCTACTGTAGCACCTCTTCAACACACTGAACCCAGCCCCTCAAGACCCTACGTGGCCACCCCTACACTGACTCACCCAGTGGGAAGTTGTGATGGGGCCTTTGGAGTCTGGGCTGGCCCGCTGGGCCTGGGCAGCCTGGCTGGGGGCCACCCTGAGTCCACCCTGTGCCTCCACCCCCAGGTGTGTTCCTTATTCCCTGCATCCTGATAGCCCTGGTCGGAGGAATCCCCATTTTCTTCTTGGAGATCTCGCTGGGCCAGTTCATGAAGGCCGGCAGCATCAATGTCTGGAACATCTGTCCCTTGTTCAAAGGTGAGCAGCCCTTGGCCAGCCTCAGGGACTGCCCCCTTTTCCCAGCTGGCTCCCACTTGAGAAATCTTTTCCTGTCCTGAGCACCAGGCCTGGGGCCACGTGATGGCATCCCAGTCTCGAGGGGGGAGCCTGGAGGAGATGTTCAGGCCGCACAGTGAACTTGGGGAAGCAGGGACTAGAGGGGGCATAGGCAGCTCCACAAGGCAAGGACAGGCCAGGCATAGCCGGGCTGGGGATGGGACCTGCCCAGCACACTTGGCTCTCTAGGTAGGTCCTACTATTACTGTCCCCAAGGACGCTGGGGCACAGACAGGTGGAGCGACGTACTGAGGTTGCCCACTACGGGGGCAACTGTCTCCAACACTACCTCAGGCTACTAGAAACTCCCCCCCTCCCCACCACCACCACCACCAGCTGCTGAGGACTGGAGCTACTGGGTGGCCAGGTGGAGGCTTGGACCTCCTGGAACCGCCATGGTGGCAGTGGGACCCACAGAAGGGGCCAGGTGTGTAAGGCTGGAGACTCAACAGCACTTGGTCAGATGGGGACAGGAGGAGAGGGGCTCGCTCTGCCTTGGGTCTAGGGGGCGGCTGGAGGAGAGGAGAGAGGCTGGGGAGTCAGCCCAGTGTTGGGGCTCACACAAGGGGGAGTCCAGGGGAGTCAGGAGCACCACAAACAAGGCTCCAGAAGGACAGACGGTGGGAGCACTGCCAGCCTGGGTGGGGAGATAAAGGGGTGGCAGGGGAGGTGGCCAGGAAAGAATCTACATGGCAAGGACTTCCCGGCCCCAGGCCTGGGCTATGCCTCCATGGTGATCGTCTTCTACTGCAACACCTACTACATCATGGTGCTGGCCTGGGGCTTCTATTACCTGGTCAAGTCCTTTACCACCACGCTGCCCTGGGCCACATGTGGCCACACCTGGAACACTCCCGACTGTGTGGAGATCTTCCGCCATGAAGACTGTGCCAGTGCCAGCCTGGCCAACCTCACTTGTGACCAGCTTGCTGACCGCCGGTCCCCTGTCATCGAGTTCTGGGAGTGAGTCCAGCACCTCTGGGCCAAGCCCATCCCATCCCCCAGGTCTCCCTCATGTTGCCCGGCTCCAGGGGAATGGCCCTGAGAGGGGACCAGGGTGTTTCTTGGCAGTCCCTCCTGGACCCTGCCTGCCCTTGTCTGCCCTCGGAGAGTCCTGGGGCCAGCCCCAGGGGCTGCGCCAGGTCAGCCTTGCTCCTGGGTTCGGCAGCCTATCACTGTCCTGGTCACTCCCGCCTGATGGGGGAGCTGGGGCTGCATGTGGGGTGGGATGGGAGTGGCCTCCCAAAGGCCAGGGGCTCGTGGGCTCCAGGCCCAGCCCAGATGGACAAGAGGGCCCACTGAACCCTGGGCTGTGGGAGAGAAGGGAGCCACGACTCCTGGGGGTGGACCCTGTGGCTCCATCCTCTGCTGGCACAGGCCTCATGGGACCTCCCTCCCTCCCCTAGGAACAAAGTCTTGAGGCTGTCTGGGGGACTGGAGGTGCCAGGGGCCCTCAACTGGGAGGTGACCCTTTGTCTGCTGGCCTGCTGGGTGCTGGTCTACTTCTGTGTCTGAAAGGGGGTCAAATCCATGGGAAAGGTACCACTAGAGGCATGCAGGGGGGAGGGTGGCTCAGCCCTGGGAGCTGGATGTCTGTGCCAGGCACACCCGTGGCAACGGGAGGTGACCAGACAGAGTCTAGCCCTAAGGAAGGGGGAGGTACTGAAAGCCAAGCAACACTCCCCACCCTGCAAATCCAGGGCCCAGCAGCCTTTGCTCCTGTGGGGAGAGGCCCCAGCAGGCACTGTCCCTTCCCTGTGCCCATCACCCCCACCGGTGCCCTCCTGCCAGTCTCTGACTCTTGTGACAGTCTGCTGGACCTGGTCTGGCCATCTGTTACCTGCCTATCTTGCCTTGGGGACACAGAGCAGAGTCTGGCCACATCCCTTGGGGGCTCCTGGTCAGGCTGGGGAGTCACCTGAACAAAGAAGACAATGTCCAGAGCTGTGGGACATGGCCAGCTCCCTGGGGGACAAGGTCCCCAGAGCAGCATGTGGGAAGAGGGGGCAGACAGTGTGGCAGCCGCATCTTGCCTGCCTCTGCCTGGCCCAGTTCCACTCTTCACCTGCTCAGCCCCGACCTCTCTCCAGAAGAGGAGGGGGGCCCGGCCCTGATCCAATATCCCGCTCCCTGCCTGGGCCTCCCATGCGTGCACTGCCCACACACTCACACAGCTCTCACTCCCCACATGCTCCATGCCTCCTGTCCCCACTGAGGAGAGCTCCCAGAGGCCCGCCCGCTCCCCACTGACATGCATCCCTGCAGACAAACGAGGCGCCCAGAGAGCTTCCCCACTGCACTTGCCAGGGCTGCCGGGGCCCAGCCTTGCCCCTAGCTTCCTCTGGCGGGAGCTATGGCTCGGAGGAGAATGGGGACCTCTGAACATACCTGCCCGCAAGGGGGACCGGAGGTGCTCGGAGTGGGCTTGTGAGGGAGGTGGTGCCGCAGTCCCCGCTGAGCAGCCTGGCCCCCCAGATCGTGTACTTCACTGCTACATTCCCCTACGTGGTCCTGGTCGTGCTGCTTGTGCTTGGAGTGCTGCTGCCTGGCACCCTGGACAGCATCATTTACTATCTCAAGCCTGACTGGTCAAAGCTGGGGTCCCCTCAGGTGAGGTGGAGGTGGGGAGGCTGCAGCAGGATGTTGTGGGGGAGCCCTGCAGGCCCCTCATGCCTGCGCTCTCCAGCCCTCCTCTAGGTATGGATAGATGTGGGGACCCAGATTTTCTTTTCTTATGCCATTGGCCTGGGGGCCCTCACAGCCCTGGGCAGCTACAACCGCTTCAACAACAACTGCTACAAGTAAGCACTGCTGCCCTGCCACCCGTGCCCTGTCCCGCCCTGCCCTGCCCAGCAGCCTAACCCATCCACTCTGGCCCCTCCACCCCTCCAGGACGCCATCATCCTGGCTGTCATCAACAGTGGGACCAGCTTCTTTGCTGGCTTCGTGGTCTTCTCCATCCTGGGCTTCATGGCTGCAGAGCAGGGCATGCACATCTCCAAGGTGGCAGAGTCAGGTAGGGCCCTACCCCCAGCCCCGCCGCCAGAGCAGCAACTGCCACCCAGATGCATGATGTACAAGAACACGCAATAGAAATGCTGAAAAGTGATGAGGATTCAAACAGAACTTCTCAGATTGTGGGCCTGTGGGGGCAGGTCCTGGGATTTTTCAATGTTGACAGAGACAGGACCTCCCAGCCCCTGCTGCATGACCCAGGGTTGACAGCACCTCAGAGGCAGGCATGGGCATGGGCGTGAGTGTTGCAGGCAGGGCTCAGGGTGCGCGCAGGGCAGGACATCGGCTGCAAGGTCTAGAGCCTGCACCTTTCCCACAGGGCCGGGCCTGGCCTTCATCGCCTACCCACAGGCTGTCACACTGATGCCAGTGGCCCCACTCTGGGCTGCCCTGTTCTTCTTCATGCTGTTGCTGCTTGGTCTCGACAGCCAGATTTGCATGGGGCTCTGGGACAGGGAGCCAGGAGAGGGGCGGAGTGAGGGCTGCGGGCAAGGAAAGGGGTGGAGGGTGGTGCGGGGCTCGGCCTGAGCTGGCCTGGCCACAGTTTGTAGGTGTGGAGGGCTTCATCACCGGCCTCCTCAACCTCCTCCCAGCCTCCTACTACTTCTGTTTCCAAAGGGAGATCTCTGTGGCCCTCTGTTGTGCCCTCCGCTTTGTCATTGATCTCTCCATGGTGACTGATGTGAGTGGGGTGGGGGGTCTGCCTGTGACCTCTGGTGGCCGTCTGCCATCCTCCCTGACTGGGCTCTGTCCCCCAGGGTGGGATGTATGTCTTCCAGCTGTTTGACTACTACTCAGCCAGCGGCACCACCCTGCTCTGGCAGGCCTTTTGGGAGTGCGTGGTGGTGGCCTGGGTGTATGGTAGGTCATGGCTGAGGGCTGGGCTGGGGCATGGTGGCGGGGAAGGCAGGTCTCCAGCTTGGCCCTCCCGCCTCGCCTTGCCACAGGAGCTGACCGCTTCACGGACGACATTGCCTGTATGATCGGGTACCGACCTTGCCCCTGGATGAAATGGTGCTGGTCCTTCTTCACCCCGCTGGTTTGCATGGTAAGGGCTGGGGGAGGTGGGGCGGGGTGGGGGGGGCGGGGCGGGGTGGGGGCCCCATTAACCACGGCATTCTGGTCTGTAGGGCATCTTCATCTTCAACGTTGTGTACTACGAGCCGCTGGTCTACAACAACACCAACGTGTACCCGTGGTGGGGTGAGGCCATGGGCTGGGCCTTCGTGCTGTCCTCCATGCTGTGCATGCCACTGCACCTCCTGGGCTGCCTCCTCAGGGCCAAGGGCACCATGGCTGAGGTAAGGCTCCCTCCCGGCCTGCCCTCCCCTCCCCTGCTATGAACATTCAACCCAGCCTGCTTCCTAGCCAAGGAGTGGCCCTGACTAGGGTGGCAGGCAGCAGGAGCTGGAGAGAGGCAGAGGAAGTCACCATGGGGATGAGCAGGTGACTCTGGGGGCTTCAACATGTCCTCTCCTGCAGTGCTGGAAGCACCTGACCCAGACCATCTGGGGCCTCCACCACTTGGAGTACCGAGCTCAGGATGCAGATGTCAGGGGCCTGACCACCCTGACCCCAGTGTCCGAGAGCAGCAAGGTCGTCGTGGTGGAGAGTGTCATGGGACAGCTCAGCTCACATCACCAGCTCACCTCTGGTAGCCATAGCAGCCCCTGCTTCATCCCCACCCCACCCCTCCAGGGGGCCTGCCTTTCCCTGACGCTTTTGGGGTCTGCCTGGGAGAGGAGGGGAGAAAGCACCATGAGTGCTCACTAAAACAACTTTTTCCATTTTTAATAAAACGCCAAAAATATCACAACCCACCAAAAATAGATGCCTCTCCCCCTCCAGTCCTAGCCCAGCTGGTCCTAGGCCCCGCCTAGTGCCCCACCCCCACCCACAGTGCTGCACTCCTCCTGCCCCTGCCACGCCCACCCCCTGCCCACCTCTCCAGGCTCTGCTCTGTAGCACACCCTTGGGTGACCCCTCACCCCAGAAGCAGCAGTGGCAGCTTGGGAAATGTGAGGAAGGGAAGGAGGGAGAGACGGGAGGGAGGAGAGAGAGGAGAAGGGAGGCAAGGGAGGGGCAGCAGAACCAAGACAAATATTTCAGCTGGGCTATACCCCTCTCCCCATCCCTGTTATAGAAGCTTAGAGAGCCAGCCAGCAGTGGAACCTTCTGGTTCCTGCGCCAATCACCACCAATATCAATTGTGTGAGCTTGGGTGCGAGTGCACGCGTGCGTGAGCACGTAGAGTATATATAGATCTCTATCTCTTAGCAAAGGTGAATACCAGATGTAAATGGTGCCTCTAGGCAAAGGAGGCTTGTATTTTGCACATTTTATAAAAACTTGAGAGAATGAGATTTCTGCTTGTATATTTCTAAAAAGAGGAAGGAGCCCAAACCATCCTCTCCTTACCACTCCCATTCCTGTGAGCCCTACCTTACCCCTCTGCCCCTAGCCTAGGAGTGTGAATTTATAGATCTAACTTTCAGAGGCAAAACAAAAGCTTCGAGCTGTTGCATGTGCGAGTCTGTTGTGTGGATGTGTGTGTGTGGTCCCCAGACCCAGAATGGATTGGAAAAGTGCATGGTGGGGGCCTCGGGGCTGTCCCCACACTGTCCCTTTGCCCACAGGTCTGTGGGGCAAGAGGCTGCAATATTCCATCCTGGGTGTCTGGGCTGCTAACCTGGCCTGCTCAGGCTTCCCACCCTGTGCCCTGGGCTGGGCACACCCCCGGGAAGGGACCCCGGACACGGCTCCCACATCCAGGCTCAAGGCGGATGCACTTCCTGCACCTCCAGTCTTCTGTGTAGCGGCTTTAACCCACGTATGTCTGTCACGTCCAGTCCCGAGACGGCTGAGTGACCCCAAGAAAGGCTTCCCTGACACCCGGACAGAGGCTGGAGGGCTGGGGCTGCGTGAGGGTGGTGGGCCTGCGGGGACATTCTTACTGTGCTAAAAAGCCACTGCAAACATAGCAATAAAAACCTGTCATTTTCCAAAGCAGGCCTCTGCTTCTGCCTCTGCTGCTCTAAGGGGTCGAGGTGCAGGAAGTAGGGGGAACCTCCTCCAGCTGGAGCTGCTGTGGTGGGCAAGGCTCTACTCTGGAGGCCTCTGAGGCCGGCACCCTTCTGGGGACTGGGAAGGGAGCAGGGAAGGCAGCAGCCCAGGGAAAACCTTGTCCCCCTGGAGCCGAGGCACCTGGGGAGAGCAGGATGAGAGAGCTGGAGAGCAGCCACACCCACGGGGAAGGATGGGTGTAAAGCCATGGGTGCTGAAATTTTCAAAATGTTACCCCAAGAATTTGTCACTGAACAGGTGCCTTGTGTCACTTGGGCCAGGCTGATAGCAGCAGAGGGGATAACTCTTTGCATCAGGGATCAATTTTGAAGGTGGAGCCAGTAGGGGTTGTGCATGACCAGGATGCAGGGCTCAAAGAGGAGTTAAGGACAACAGATTTGGCCTGAGCAAGAGGAAAGATGGAGCTGCCAGGTCCTGCAATGGGGAGGCAAGGAGAGAATGGTCCGGAGTCAGCCTTGGGTGTGTCATGCAGGAAGTGTCATCCAAGTGGAGATGTCTAGTTGGCAGGTGGACACAGGAGTTCCAGAAAGTACTGGAGATGGAACTTTGCAAGTTCTTACCACATAGAGATGACACTGAAAGCCCTGAACCTGGGTGAGCTCACAGGGACGCCGCAAGTCCGGGGACACAATGAGAGGGGCAGAGGGAAGATGTGGCAGCAATGGGGGAGGATGCCTGAGAGCTCCTGGTGGGGTCCTGCAACCTGAGCCAGTGAGGACCCCTCACAGGTCAGGGAGGAGCAGTGGCTGGCTCCATCTGTCCAGTGCTGCTGCTGCTGCTGCTGCTGGTGAAGGACAGTGACCTGCAAATGCTCACTGAGTCTGGCAAGGGTCACAGGGGCCTGGTGAGGGTGGCTTGCATGAGGGGTTGCGTGTGAAAGGCTGGTTGGTGTGCGATTGAGAAAAGGAGTGGCGGCAGCCCATTGTCATCTGCAGACGAAGGGAGAGACAACAACATAGTTTACCCAGACAAGGAAATATGAGCCGGCCTGGAAAGGGAAGGCACTCCAACACACGACACAACATGGCTGACCCCTGGAGGGCATTTCTGTGAAATGATCCATCATAAAGAGACACTTGCTATAGGGTTCTGCTCCTGAGAGAGAGACAGGGCCTTACATGAGAGGAGGGAGATCCACAGAGACAGAGGGCAAGGGTGGGTGCCAGGGGCTGGGGACAGGGTGGGGAGTGTTGAGTGGGGACAGAGTGTCAGTTTGAGAAAATAAATTCTAGAGGTGGACGGAAGTGGTGGCTGCGCAACACTGTGGCTGCACTTAATGCCACTGAATTGCACACTTAACGATGGTGAAAATGGCTCATTACATATACATTGATGACACTATATATATGTGTGATATACATGCGTTTTACCATGAGAAGAGGCGGAGAGGAATTGAAGACAGTGAGTACAGACAGGTCCTTCAAGGGGCGGGACCCATGCACAAGATGAGCATGTGGCACCCCACCCTGAAAGGGCTGGGCACCATGGCAGGGCACAGCAGGCAATGCAGTGGGTGGCTCAGGCAAGCACAGAGAGCATCAGGGATTGGAGCCTGTGAAGGGGGAGCAGGTGACCCCTCAGAGCAAAGTGACAGCTTGGGCTGCTCCCTTTGCGTCCTGCCCAGGACTGCTATCGTGCTATGGGAGAACCCCCAGAGGCCCTGCTCCTCAGCAGGCAGCACCCCCTATGGAGGGGCTTTACCCCTAAACTTCTGGAGCCAGGAGAGGGACCTGGCTTAGAATACGGCCAACCAAGAGCCTGGGTGAGAAATACATGGACCAGACAGGGAGCAGAGAAAGGAGTGGCAGCGCAGTCCCACCCTAGCTCAGCTGGGGGCTCTGGAGCCTGCTCTGGCCCCCATCTCTTCGGCAACCACTGTTTCTAGTTTTCTTTTTCTCCCCGAGAAGCCTGTCCTCTCACCATGCCTGCGCCTTCAAGAACCCCACCTGGCTGGCAGCTCCCAGATCTCCAGCCTGGCCCTCCTTAGCTGCAAAGGTGCTTCCCAACGTCGGCAAGACCTCTCCCTAGGGTGCCCCAGGCCTTCACACAGCCCCTGTCCCCAACCGACTCCAACTGTCCTGCAGCCCACGGTCACCCTCAGGACCCCTGAGCTCAGGCCAACTGCTTTATACACTGTCAGCCAGGTCTCTGCCTGGATGACAATCACCCTCTGCTAATTGTTCTCCACACCTCCAGGCCAAATGCCCTCCAAGCCACCTCATGCACCACAATGACACCAAACACACAGAAAAAAGACATTGAAAAAAGGAAACTTCACAGAAGCATGTCATTTAAAGTGGGTTCTGAAATGGAGACACCATTACCTCAGGACTTAGCTCCCGCATGAGGGGTTAGGACACAGAGATCAACAAGCAGCAGGCTTTGCCCTCAAGCAGCTCACAGTCTAGTGGAAGATGGGTAAGAAAACAGATCAGGATGCCCACGGGTGCAGATGCCCTGGAACAGAAGCTGATCCAGGAAAGCGCAAGCCTGCAGGCCGCCCTCCAGTCTAGGCTGGGCAAGCGCCTCAATTTTCATCTCTAAGAGCCTGTGCCCACACCCCCTGCCCCAATGTTGTTCCATCACTCCACTAGAAAGGGCGCTCCAGAAGCTGGCCTCGTGCAGCTTTCTGTCTGCTGCTAGCCTAGGCAGAACAGTGGAAGAAGCCATCAGGGCTGGTGAGGGAAGCACCCATTTGGACTTTAGCCTTTCAAAGCTCAGAGAAGGGTGAGCTCAGGGAGGCCCAAGGTAGCCGAGAACACTTCCTGGAGAAGTGGTATCAGCCTTCGGCCTTGGCACAGCAACCAGAGGGTATTGCCCACGTGTCCCCTACTCCCTCAGACACCACCTCTCAGACCGCCTGGAAAGGGACAGAACTTGTCACGAGGCAGCTGTGCTCTGAGCACAAGGGAAGGGCGACAGGATGCTAGAGAAGGGAACCACTGGCCTGGGCCTGGGCAGGGCAGGCAGAAGCAAGCATGCACAGCAGGCCATCAGCTACCCTGCCAGCATCAACATCCTTCAGGGGTCCCCCCAGTTCCAGGAGACACACCTCTAACCTGCTCCCCTGACCCTTCCGCCCAGTCCTCATGCAGACACCAGGCATGGCAGAGGCCCTGCAGGGTGGGAGCACTGTGCTGCGGGCGGGGACTGCCTTCCTCATGTGCTACTGGAGAGCAGCACAGTGCAGGGGCCTGGGCACTGGCGCCAGGCAGGAAGCCTCGGTTCTGGCCTGGCTTGCTGTGGGCCTGGAAGACACAGCTTTGAGGGAGCCACGGGAGGGACGCCCTGGAGCCAGCACCAGCACAGCGCTCTGGTGGCAGGCACACACCCAGCACGTTCTCAGGGCCAAGGGCCCCAGCCCCTTTCTGCCTAGCTCTGCCCTGGGCCAGCTCCAGGTCACTGCCAAGGACAAGTCTCCTCTCCCAGCTGGCATTAGTCAGAGGTCATCCTGCAAACCTTCAGGAGGGGGTGGGGCAGGGAGTGACTAGTGGCATTCTGCCACGTTCTGTCTGTCCCAAATGTGACGAACGGGAACCCAGAGAAGGCAAGCGAGTCCTCTACCCAGAAGCCCTGCCGGTTTACTGAGCCTCCCAAGCTGCCCACACCCAGGGAGGCAGACAGGACACACACTCAGTGGGTGGCCCTGAAGCGAGGCCTGGCCCAGCCCGGGGAGCAAGAGGACAGAGAGGGCAGGGCCTTTGAGAACAGGTGTGAGCCTGGCCTTCAGTGGTGGAAACAGGTTGAAGGCCTGTGGCCCCTTGGGGGCTCCAGGCAGGAAAGAAAGCAGAGCCCTCTCCATGGCCACAGTCACACACCGCACCACATACACACCATGACAACTTTTATTGCCCTCAAGAGAAACTCCAGTCCACCTGCTCCACCCACCCTCCTGCGGGACCAAAGAAAACACCCAGAGGGCAAAACAAAAAAGGGCTCAAACCAACAGGAAGTCAGCCCCACCGCAAGCCAAACTACAACTAACTCGTGTCCTCCACGCTCAGGCGTGGAAGCCAGGGCTGTGCCAGGCCTGGCCAGGCCAAGCAGGATAACAGCAAATGCATTCTGAACGTGTAGCAATCAGGTACCCTGTAATGTGCTTGGAGAGTGTGGACAAGGGCCAAGATGACGAGCTATGAGCTGTGGAAGGGAATGGGGGAAGTGAAGGGCACAAACAGAAGTACTGGAGGGAGAGGCTGGGCTCTCAGGAAGCAGCAGGCACGTGCCAGGTGGAAGCCAGCTGCAGGCCAGGGAGGAAGGAGGCCCTTACTCTTTCTTCTTGTCCATGGGACCAACTACTGTAGCCTGGAAAGGGACAGAAATCCCACAGCAGTAGGTTGGCCAGGTCCACTCTTCCCCTGCCATCTCCAGCCCCCTGCCCCAGAGGTCCAGCTCGGTTCCCCTCTCTCCTAATGAGAGCTATTCAAGTGAGCAAGGGGCCCCCTCCCCGGCTACACCCAAAGGCCTGCCAGGGTAGGAGCATCAGCCCTGGCCCACGCTCTAAGGAAAGCCCTGGACCTAACGCCAGCCAGGGAGGACTGCCAGGACCTCACTGGGGGCTGAGTCCTGGCTGCAGGGAACAGCAAGGTATCCAGTACCCTTCAAGACCTGATCAGGCCCTTCCCAACTCTGCACACCTTTGACAGGTGCCCTCGAAGCCCAAGTCCCGTCTGCCAAGCCTGCCCTATACAGAGGGCATGGGTGCCCTCTTTGAGGCTGGACCCTTCCTCCCCACCTGCTGTGGTGCCCAAACTTGGGCCACCAAGCACTGAGGCCAGCTGTCCAAAGTTAGGAGTATTTATGTGGCCCTCACTCCCAACGTCAAGACCGCCTGGCTTCCAAATGTGGCCTGGTGCACCCAAGCTAGTCTGAGGACTTGGATCAGGCCTAGGGCAGCAGGTGATGGCCACAACTAGTGCCTGCTAGGGGAGGTGCCTTTTTGACACCTTGTGCCCTTACTTGCCCAGGGATCTTTGCCCTATGTCACCCCCCAGCACTCTAGGAAAGAAGGCCAGCAGTGGGTCCCAGAGTTTCACCTGCTTCTTTGTTCTTGACTGGGCCCCAAACCATGGAATGAGCCTGAGCACGAAGATAGGAAGGCTTAGAGCCTAGTGAGCCAGTGCCACTCCTGAGGGCTGCCTCGGCAAGTGTCTACATCTGCTGCCAGGCCACCCCTCTCCTGCCCGGTGAATGGTCCCACTCGGTAGGGCAGAGGTGGCCAGGGGGAGTGGGGGAGAGGGCAGCCGGCCCCTGGGCCCCTGGAAGGTTCCCTCCGCACCCGCAGGGGCTGCCTCATCCTGCTCTGCTTTCCTGCCCTGGGCGCAGCGATACGTGAGGGCTGACCTGCAGCTTTGCGTGCTCCTACTGCAAGCGGTCGTACTCCTTGGTGAGGCCCTCAGACTGCTTCTGCATGGCCAGAACCTGGTTTTCAGCTTTCTCTAGTTCTTGAAATGATGTAAATGACCAAGAAAACAGAAATGAAAAGACAGGAATCGGGGGTAAAAACCCAGCTTCTACAGACACCAGAAACTGGCCCAAATCTATCTCAAACGAGGTTATACAGGAGCCTACTTCTCAAAATAAAACCGCTCTGCTTTTGCAGGCCCCCAAAGTAGAGGGAAAGGCTGACAAAAAAGCTCAAGATAAAGCAAAAGAAATACAGAGGACATCCCCCAGTCCCTTTAATGGAGGGGAACTCTAGTGGCTCTCGGCAAGGGTAACCTCCAGGGAGGCTGAGAGTGGGAGACAGGGAACAAGATCCCAGCCTGAAAGCGAGACCCAATGACAACCATGCCTTGCAGACAGCAGCAGCAGGCGAGGCCTGTGGTATTGTGGGAAAACGCCCCAGACTTAAGTCTATGCATGGGAGACCAAAGACAGGCAGGCCGCCTGGGAGCTGCCCACTCCGCTCCTGAACACCACTCCCACACTCCCCTCATTCTAAGCCCCCAGGCAGGCTGGGGCTACCGTGCCACACTCTGGATGGGAAAGCCCCAGCGTGCACTGCTCTAGCGCAGGGCAATCGAGTCCCACCAACTGCAGCCTGGTTCCTCCTGAGCCCCATTCAAACCACTTAGTCTCACTGGCCTGCCGGCTAAGCATGGCTGCATTGGGGTTGGAGGCATAGGGTGCTATTTGTTTGTTTTCACACAGCCCTTGAGCATGCGTGCAAGGCTTGTTACTAGTACTTTGGCACAAAATGGGCAGCAGCGGGCAGAGGACGCTCCTCTGGACTTCCCTGCGGGGAAGGACATGAGGTCAAGCCTCACTTTGCTTAGTGCTGGCCAGCTCATCCTTTAGCTTCTGCAGCTCAGCCTTCAGGCTCCTGTTCTCTTCCTCCAACTTCACCTCAGCATTCCCGACATCCAACTTGCCTCCGTCAACAGCAGCTCACTGGGAAAAGTGCCAAAGGTCAGGGTTACTCAGGAGGGAGGGAGGGAGAGGTTCCAGCCCCATCCTCCCCACCAAGCTGCGGTTCCTCAAGCTGCCCTGGCCACTCGCCTCTTCGGAAATGTCAACGCGGAACAGAGCCACCACTTGCTCCCAGCTCTTAGGCAAAGGCCAGGGCGTGGCTGCCCGCCAAGGGGAAGAGAAGCGCCAGTGGGGCCACCTGCTGCAGCTCGCCGGGCACGCCTTGCCTGCCCTGGCCCCTGGCCCTGCCTCCTTCCCGAGCAGCAGGGCTCAGCAGCTCCATGGTGCTCACCAACCCCTCCGCGGATGGCGGTGCCTTGTGCTCTCTACACGGTGCCACTCACTGCAGTCAGGGGCCCCCAGTCGGCCTGGCCAGCTCTATCCCACCTCTGCATCCACATCCCTCCGAGCTTGCCTTGCAGCTCACCTCCTGACAGGACTTCTAAGACTGGCCAACTACCCTGGCCCCACCTCCTCTCCAGCACTGAGGGATGCCACAGACCCCGAGTTCCAGAGGGGGTGCGGCAATCTTGCAGGGAACAATGGCCTAGCTGAGGGCTTTCGGTTCACAGCAGAGGGCCTGGCTCACTGAGGGGCCATTTTTCTCAGGGAAGGGTCTGACTGGAAGCAATGGATGGAAACGTGAGCAGCAACACCCTCCTCCTCACCAGGACCCCCACACACAGACGTCTCCAGCAGGCATACTCTCCCCACTGAGGACTTCCCCTCTGTGCCTCCACCCAACTCTGGCTTTTCAGGCACATTTCCCAGGGTGATAGGCTAGCAGTGGCCACTGAGGCCCTAAAGAATATGGCTCCTGCAGTATAACACCAGGACGCCCCATGGTGGGTCGAGAAACTGGACTCACCTTCTTGAGCTGGTCATTCTCCGTGTACTTCTTGGCCGCCTCACTAGCACTCTCCATCTGCTTTTTAAAGGCTTCATTGGAGGCCAACAGTGTGGCCTGCTGCAAGATGAGAGTCACCAGGCATCTAAGCAGGCGTGATTATTTACAAAAAGAAGGGAGAAGTGAGAAAAAGTGCATGAAGGGCTGGCAGGAGCACCTCCTGGTTGCTGCCACTCAACACCTGGCTCCAGCCTGGACCTGCCCTCTTGCCAAGGCAGCTGAGCGAGAAGCCGCCAACCTGGTGCTGGCAGCGTGAGGGAAAAGGTGGAGCCCAGGAGCTGTCCTCTGCCGCTGTGCCCAACGGCCACCCTCAGCTCTGGGAGGGGCTGGAAGCAGGAGCCTGGGGGCTGGGAAGAGCCTCGATACAGCATGAGGTCCCGGAACGTGGCACTTTCCGGGTCGGGGCCTAGACGTGCCAGACAAGCCACAGCACCACCTTCCTCCCCTCAAGGCTGGGCTTGCCTTGGTAAGGTAACGAGAGAAGCTAATTAATCTGAGCACTTCCAACATGCCAGGCCGCATCCTCACATCTACCTGATGAGGAAGTTACTATCACTGCCCCAGCTTATAGAGAAGGAAACTGAAGTTCAGCAGCGTAAATCAATGTACCCAAGGCCAAAAACCAGAAACGGACATGGCTGGAATTCCAAATTATGTCTGCCTGACTCCAGAACCTGAGCTTGGAACCACTCTACTCTCTAAACTAACAGGGAACGGCTCCCAGGTCCCAACGTAAGATAGAACTCTCTTCTCTGGCCAGCCTCCTTCCCAACCCGTCATTCAGGCTGCACTGGAACACATCCGTTATGTAACAGCACCCCAAACGAGGTCTTCTTGGGCTGGAGGGTGTACAGGAATCAGGACACAGGCACA
The DNA here is from genome assembly GCF_000001405.40 of Homo sapiens. NCBI lineage: Eukaryota > Metazoa > Chordata > Mammalia > Primates > Hominidae > Homo > Homo sapiens. Next base: position 1,131,312 of record NT_187383.1, on the reverse strand, counting down.
CGCTGCCTATCTGAAGAAGCCAGGAGAGACAGGCAAACACGTGGCAGCTGGAGGCAGATGCTAGTCCCCAAACAGAGATTGGAATGGCCACTTCATTTCCCTTGGTTCACCCTTGCCCCGAGATGTTAGCTGGCAGGAACAGAGGAGGGAAGGACTTGTTCAAACAGTCAAAACAAGGCAGGGGTTCCTTTCTCACACACCTCAGAAGGCAAGGGTCACACAGGGCCTGGGGGAAGGAAGAGACAAATCTGCTTAGTCCAGGGTGCTTCAACAACAGCTTACTCAGAAGAGTCGAAGTGGCCTCCTGCCCCAGCCAGGCCTTCACACTTCGCAGCCTCTGCTCATGGCCAGGGGCAGCCCGGAAGGGCTGGAGAAAGTAGAGAGCAGACAAGGTGAGCTACCTCCCTGGCCCAAGCCATGGCTGTCCAGGGCCTCGGAAGAGCCCCTTTCGAGATGTACTCAGGACAGAAAGTACCCACCCAGGCCAGGAGACACCCCTGAGGTTCCCGGTTTGGGGAGAGGCTCCCAGGGGCCCCTGGCATCACCAGAAGAGCCAGGCCATTGATTCCTGGCAGAGAAGGAGAGTTTCCAGTGACATGTGCTTTCTAAAATTAGTGGCCCAGGACCTCGTGGCCTAGGGCTCAAGTTTCCCTGCCTCAACCCCCAGCTGCCGACCAGCCTGCCCCCGACTGGGCTACAGCCTGAAGGTGGAGGAAGCTACTGAGCGCCCTAGGAGCCAGAGAGAAAGAACGCATCTGACTCACATCGGCATGGCCAGAAGTCACTGGAGAGGCCTAGAAAGAAAGGCAAGTCTGACTAAGACCCAACCCCCGGCAAGGAGCTGCCCAGCCCCAGAGCAGATCCCAGTGATGTAGAGAGGAAGAGGACCGCTACTCCTAACTGGAATTGAGGGGTGGGGGTCATGCCACCTGGTGGTAGAGAGAGGACCAAGCAAGACTGAAGGCTATAATCCCCGCCACCAGGCCAGGCAAGCGGCTGCTGGTGAGTGCCCATGGCTGTCACCCCAGTACCCAGGGAAATAGCTAACACAAATGCTTCCATGGCAGTGCAGCAGAGGCCCAGCTCTTTTCGGACCGTTCCAGGCCTTTCCCGGCTATTGAGAACCAGGGCTTCCAAGATACGCCAGGGCATACACAAAGTCCAGCGCAAGATCCACGCCGTGTCTGTCAGAAAGCCTGACCCTGCTCAGCCCCAGCCCAGGCCTTTAGTTCCCAGCCTTCAGACAGTCTGGGGCTCCCCTCTGCCAGGCCCTGGTTCCCCTTCCTCTTGCCAACCCTCAGAGGTGCTCCCCACCCCCACAGCACCCTAGGCATACTCCTCCCACTGCACCCCCAGCCTGATAGTTCTTTTTCACACCTTCTAGGTCCTCTCTCTTCCTGCTGGATGACCCGGGATCATTCTCCCCCCAGGAACCTCACCTTCAACTGCTTCCTTCCTGGAGTCACCCTGCCCAAGCCCCTGGTCTTTTCCCTCACATGTATTCCTCAATCTAGGCTGGCCAAAGCCTGCCCTTCCAAGCCAGTAGCAGGGCCACCAGTGGCCTCCTAACCACCCAGGCAGGCGGTTACCCTGAGCTCCTTGCTCTGCTGCTAAGTTACCCTCCTGAGGTCCCCTCACAACACCCTCCTCCCACTGTTATTCTGCTCCCTCTGGGATCTGCACTCTTCAGCTGACACCCTATACCTTCTTCCCAGCCACTCTTATCCCTGAAAGGGTTTTCTCTGCGGCCCAGACTCACACCTAACCTCCTGCTAAACATTGGCTCCTGGATGTCCCCAGAGACATTCTAGACTCAGCTTGTCCAAAATGGGCCTTCCCTTGTCCTGCCTGACCTGACCACCTCGTGTAGCCCCTGCTGTAGTCGTGGGCAGGCAAACCACCTTAGACTCGGCCCTCTTGGCCCCCTAGCCCAGGCCACAACCCAGCGCTTTCCATGTCAACTGCAAACATACCCGCCATCATCCCCACTGCTGGCGCCTCCTCCCTATCTGCCACCATACGGCTTTCCCATCCACCTCCCAGAGCAAGGCAAATCCGACCACGTCAGCCCTCTGCTTAAGCCACCTGCTGCCAGCACGCATGCCCTCAGTGAGCTCTCCTCCCTCACTAACCACGTGGCCCCCTTCTCTAGTAACACCTAACCCCTCACCATTCCTGGGACACACCTGGCTCTGTGTGGCAGTCCTCCAGGCCGTAATGTCCTCTCGACCCAGCTCAATCCTCACCTCCCCCCCAGAAACCCTTTCAGATCTCCCACCCCATCAGAGGGACGCCTTCTGGGGGCTCCTGCAGCAGCCCCCTAGGCACCTGCATGTAACTACCTCATTCTCGGTTCTCTGCGTGGCTGCCATCCATTTATATGGCTGCCCTACCAGGCTATGAAGGTCTTTAGTCTGGGCACTGTGCCTTCATCTCTGCACTCCCATACCTGGCACACTGAAAAGGGGTCTTGCACCCACTCCAGCAAGTATAGCTAAAAAAAGGGGGGCGGGGGGCGGGACTGGGCTTCCAGATGACCAGATCCCACTCCCAGGAGAGGAAGTGCTCCCTGATAGGTACAGATTTGAGGCTGCATGTAAGGCTGGACAGAATCTCCCTGGGCCTAGATTGCACCTGTGTTCACCTGGGAGCCTGGCACCAAGAGTGGCAGAGACAGACACAGAGCTGCTCAGTCTAGCAACAGAGGAGACAGAAGACAGGGGTGGGAAGGCGCCATCTCAGACCCGTGCTGATGGGCAAGCCAGGCTCATGGCTGCAGGGAGAAAAAACATTCAATGCCACGACCTGAAGGCACAACCCAGAGCTCCAGCCTCTGCATCCTCACACCCTCAGCCCCCACCCAGGGCCCAAGCAATGCAGACCAGGTCCTCTCTGATCACTGGCATTTTTCAGCCTGGGAGCCAGCCTTCTAGAACATTTTCCTGCTCCCTCACATTGGGTCACTCAGGCACATTAACTTGCGCTTCTGTCTGTTCCCTTGTAGCTTCCCAGGCCCCCAGGACAGGGCACAGAACATGGTCTTTAGCTTCTGCCTCTGCTGAATCTCCCAAGTAATCTTACCCGAATCACTGTTCTTAGCTATTCATTTCCAGAAAACAGGAAAGAACCTACGAGGCAGGGTGGTCACCAATAGAATGGCCTGGGGTCCAAAAAAAGGCCAGTGAATGAAACTTAACAGAATCCAGATGTGGCCTTGGCAGACACACGGCAGCCCCAAATGCCTCAGTCTGACTGGGCTTCCTTGATAGAATGTTGTTGGACACTGAGCGGGGCTGTCGTGCTTTTATAAAGGGTTGAGTAAACCAGAGAAGACAGGAGAAACAGATCCTCTCCACAGACTCTAGAGAAACAGGGCCAACCATATCAAGTGGGGAGAGCCACGGCTCATAAGCACTTTTCGGCAGCCCTGTCTTCCCCCATGAGCAAGGGGAAGAGGACATGGGCTTAATAGGAAATGGGGAAGAAGCAAGTCCCGACCAAAAGATTCCATGCTGTGGCCACCCTCGGCCCGCCCTGCTGACCTGACAGGTTTCAGGTGAGTCAAGTCATTCAACCCCCAGCCCCTGTATATACATGGCGTTCACACAAGCTCACTCCTCTGCCCCCAGCCAGCAGAAAGCTGGTGTCCCAGCGCCACCTGCTGACTTTCCAGGCCTACCGCAGGGTGGCCAGTGGACTCTGCGTGAACATGCCCCAACTGTGGAAGAAAAAAATGAGGCAGCGCCCAGGCAAGGAAGCAAGTCAGGTGATGCCTCAGGAAGGCTTCAGTGAAGAATGACTAACACCAGGGCTTCTACTGCCCTGAGCGACTCTTACCCACAAGTCTGGAATCAGGAAAACAGGTTACAACTGGGAGAGTCACCTAGAGCAGACCCGAGAAGGCTGCCCCAAAGGGCTGCCCCAAGTCCATTTTGGTACAGCTGCGTTGCCTTCCTTGTAGCCTCCCAGCACACAGACACTGGAGAAGATGGGAAGAGGAGGGCTAGAGCTGGGGGAAATGGAGGCCGTTTCAAATGAGAACATGCCTTGTGGCAGCTCCAGCCCATGACCCAGATGGAGCTCGCCCATCCTGAGGACAGTGCAGTAAGCACAGGGCAAAGGGGCAGGTGTGGGTCTCGCCTGTCCTCCCTTCTTCTTGAGAACAAGTGACAGACCAGCTGGGTTTCTGGGGTTTTGCTGTGTATCTTTTTTAAAACCAGCTATCTGAGCGGTTTGGGGTAAGCTGGAGGGTAGAGAGCAACCGAGTGAGGTAAGACAACTTAGGCAAAGGTAGTCTGTGATTAGATGACTCAACCTAAAAAAGAAGAAAAAGCAGCTCAGCAGAGAAGCACGGGCAGCTCCATCTGGGCTAATGACAGCGATGGGATTCTACCCTGGAGGGGTAAGGAGGAAACAAAAGATGCCTGTGGATCAAGTTCAGATCAGCAAAAATTCAGGGGGCTTCCACACAAACAGGGGCCCTCCTGTGACTGGCTGCTAACCAGCACTTTGGGCCTAACCTTGACCACCATTTAAGCTGAATAAGGCAGAGAAAGCAGTGCAGGTCCTCTGAACACACAAACCCCAGCCCAGAGGGAGCTGCTGTCCCCAACACACTCCAAGACTCAAGAGGGCCTCTCGCTAGCTGTCCCCCTGAAGTGCAAGGTTGGCAGGAAGGGAACAGGAGCGACTGCCGGAGTTTTCCACAAGCGGAAACCAGTGGCTCATCCAGTGTGGTCCCCTGGAGGTGGCCCCGATGCATCCATCTTCACAAACTCTCATAGCTCCTAAGACCTGAAAAGCTGGGCTGCTTGTCTAAAAAGCCCGACAAGTTCAACCCAGACATGCACCTAAAGCTGTCGCCGTCAGCCCGGGACAGCCCATTCAGTCACCAAAGGTTTCAGTGGCCCTTCATATGTGCCAGGCCCTTGGCACTGAGCTTAACAGTCTAAAGGGGAAGAGCCCAGGTTTTCCATGATGGGCAACCCTGTCAAGTGCCACGCCTCAGAGCTGCATATGCAGGCTGCCCTGGGACCTGAGGACAGCACTATGGGTCAGCCAGGGACATGGTGTGGGCCCCTCGGAACAGGCTCCACAGGGAAGCCTCAGAGATTCATGAAGAGGAGGTTCTGGCTGGGCCGGCAGCTGGAGGGGGTGTTCCGCACAGAGACCCCCAAAATGCTCAGAGAATTGAGTTGGGGGAGAGCATGTATTACGTGAGGCTCTCCCATGAGACCCACATGGCTGCTTCGTGACAGGGGGAGGCCGAAGCAGAGACTGTGGGGGAGCCGCGTCCTGGAGGATCCATGTGATAGCAAGCCACTGGAAGTGGGGTGCACAAGCCAAAGGGGGGAAGGCAGGTGGCAGGGAGCCCACTTGGTCTATATGGGATGGTGGTGGCCCCACCACAGCAGTGGTCCCAAGGGTTGTGAGAGAGAGGCTTAGGAGGCGACATCTACAGGCTCTTTCATGGGTGGAGTCCAGCTCTGCAGGCTGAAGACTTCTTGAGGTTGGCTACCTGAAAACGTGAAAGTGCCTCACCCTGCTGGGCCACACACTGAGAAATGGCCATGATGGTTGGGCAGTCACATGGGACAAGAAGAAAGGGCAGATCAGCCCCAGGCTTCTGGGTCAAGTGATAGGACTGAGACAGTAGTGGCAGAGGCAGGACAAAAGCTCAGAAGGCTTTGGCTGGGAAGCTGGAACTCTCCCACTGCTATCCAGGCAGCAGCAGAAGACTATGGGGGCCAAGGGTACTGGCTTGCTTCTAGGTGTGATGTTTCCTTTCAGGCCAGGCCCCCTTTCCCAATTACAAGGGCTACTCAGGGGTTCTCAGGCTAACCTCCTATGTGTCCTAAGCCCAGTCCCACTGAAAACTTGTGCTAAGCACCAGGCTTTCTCCGGAACATGCTCCCCTCCTTGGCCACTAACCTGCTCACATCCTCCTTCTTGATCTTGCCTCCCTCTTCCTTCTGCTCCCCGATCTTCTATCGCTCTGCTGGAGGCTGGAATCCATCCTGTCATCACATTCCCTCTGTCCCAGCCTCAATACCTCTGTGAAGCCAGCAACCCAAGCTCAACTGCCCGGAAGCACCCTATCCTGATCATCTGCTAGGCCTCCCCTGCTCAACCCTGCTCTCCCTGTCCCCTCCTTTCCTTGCTGTCCCCAGGCCTGGCCAGAAGTCCCACTCTGCAACCAGCCCTCACACCTAGCACGATAGTGTTACTCCATGGGCAGCCAGAGCTCCCTTTCCAGCAGGGGGCTGCGTCCTGGCATTCCGAAAGCCCAGAGCAGAACCAAGATCATCTCAGACTCCCAGAGACTGGAAAAGCCTGCTGATTCAACTCCACGTGGGCCTCTCAGCTCTGTCCCCTCAACCCCACTTCTGCTACCAGTGCCCCAGTTCAGGTTCCCAGCAAGTCTCACTGACAACCTCCAACTTGGTCTCCCCACTTCAGGCTCTCCTGCTCCACTCCATCCCATACACCCTTGCAAAATATTAATCCACACAGGTGACTGCATCCCAGCAGTACTGGAATACCCACTAGGCAGGCTCTCTACCACTCAGAAAAGTTGCATACGAAGTCTGGAGCCCTTAACTCCTAACCATCTAACCTGCTCAGGCCATGAGTACCTGCTCACGCCATGAGTACCTGCTCGCATTCAAGAACTGAGCCTCTCCGTGGGACATAAAGAATGTGGAAAGAAAGGGGGTGGGTGTGGTGGCTCATGCCTGTACTCTCAGCACTTTGGGAGGCCGAGGTGGGCGGATCACATGAGGACAGGAGTAGGAGATGACCAGCCTGGCCAACATGGCGAAACCCTCTCTCTACTAAAAATACAAAAATTAGCCAGGCGTGGTGGCATGTGACTGTAGTCCCAGCTACTTGGGAGGCTGAGACATGAGAACTGCTTGAACCCAGGAAGCGGAGGCTGCAGTAAGCCGAGATTGTGCCACTGCCCTCCGGCCTCGGCGACACAGAGAGACTGTGTCTCAAAAAAAAAAAAAAAAAAAAAAAAAGAAAAAAAAGAAAAAGAAAAAAGAAAAAAAATCAACAACAACAACAAAGAAACAGACAGATAATAGGAGTGGCACGGGTGCTCCAAGAGGATCAGGAGGCCCAAAGAAAACGGACTAGCTGAGGCCACTGTTTATGACGTCAGAAACAGAGCTGCAGTCTCGACATCCACCATTGAGGAATTGGGTAGACACTCAGGAACACTCAAGAACGCTGGAGAGGCCAGGCACAGTGGCTCATGCCTGTAATCCTAGCACTTTGGGAGGATGAGGTGGGAGGATTTCTTGAGCCCAGCAGTTTGAGATCAGCTTGGGCAACAGAGCAAGACTCTGTCTCCACAAAAAATTTAAAAATTAGGACGTGGTGGCACGTGCCTATAGTCCCAGCTACTCGGGAGGCTGAGGCAAAAGGGCAGGGCTGCAGTGAGCCATGGTCACACCAATGCACTCCAGCCTGGGTGATGGAGTGAGAACTTGTCTCAAAAATAAGTAAATAAATAAATAAATAAATAAATAAATAAATAAATATGTTGGAAACAGGTCAGTTGTCCCAGAAAAACATTCATGATAAACTGAGTAGAACATTCAAGTCACCAAGGGGCATTTAAAGCATGTGGTGCTTTAAAGCCCCATGGTTAACTTTTTTTAAACATGGGAATGTTTTTGAAAAGCATGTGGAGGCTGGGCGTGGTGGCTCAGGTGCCACACCCTCCCATGTTCCCATCCAGTAGCCTGATCCAAAAAAGCCATGAGGTTGGTCTTGGGTGACTTCTTAGAAAAGGAAATGGTGATCCCAGGGATCAGTGTGGATTCACCAGTTGCCCATAAGCGATCTAGTTAATCATTTCTGGAATTTTGCCAGAAATATATACTCCTTGCTAGTCTAAGAGTTAAGGCTAGAACCAAGACAGGGGCAAAGGCCGGGGCAGATCTAGGGCACAAGCAGGGCAGGCTAGGGCAGGGCAATGGCAAGACCAGGCCATGGCAGGGCCAGCCCAGGATAGAACAGGGCACAGGCAGGGCAGGGCCAGGGCCATGGCTGGGGCAGGACAAGGACCAGGACCGGGGTCCAGGCCAGGGCAAGGGTATGGCCAGGGTAGAGGTAGGGCCAGAGCCAGGGTCTGGGCAGGACCAAGGCAGGTCCATTGCAGGGCCAGGGTTCAGACCAGGGCCAGAGCAGGGCTGGGACAAGGCCAGTGCCAGGACCAGGAAAGGGCAATGTCAGGACAAGGGCAATGGCAGGACCAGCAATGGGGCTAGGGCCAGGACAGGGACAGGGACAGGGTCAGGGCTAGGGCCAGAATAGCATGCCGGGGTAGAGCCAGGCCAAAGTAGGGCCAGGACAGGGTCAGGACCAGGGCTGGGCCAGGGTATGGCCTTAAGTAGCAAAGGGCCAGGGCCAGGGTCCATGCCAGTGCCAGCGCCAGTCCAGGGCAGAGGCAGGGCCATGGCCAGGTCTAGGACAAGGCTAGGGCAGGGCCAAGGTCTGGGTCAGGGTCAGCACAAGACCAGGACAGAGCCAAGGGAGGGACAGGGCCATGGTAGGGCCAGGTTAAATCAAGGACAACACACCTGCAAATCCACTTCAGGGCCAGGGTCAGGGTAGGGCCAGTTCAGGGCCAGGGCCAAGACAGGGCGAGGGCCAGGGCTGTCAGGGTCATTGGCAGGGCCAGGGCCATGGCAGGACCAGGGTCAGGAGCAGGGGTCAATGCCAGGCCAAGGCCACAGATAGGACCAGGTCTGTGCTAGGGCCAGTGTGAGGGCCAAGGCGGGGTCAGGGCAGGGCCAAAGGGAGGGCAGGGCCAGGGCAGGGTGGAGCAGGCCCAGGGTAGCACAGGGTTAAGGTAGGGCACGACCAACCAGGGCAGGTCTATGGATGGGGCCGGGACAGGGCCAGGGCCGGGGCAGGGCCAGAGCCAGGGCAGGGCCAAGACAGTGGCAGCTCCAGGGCAGGGCCAGGGTTAGGACCATGGACATGTCCAAGGCCAGTGCCAGGGCAAGGGCAAGGGCAGGGGCAGGGCCAGGGTCATCTAAGAACCAGGGACAAAGCCAGGCCCAGAGCAGGGCCAGGACAGGTACCTGGCAGGGCTAGGGTCTGGGACAGGGTCATGGCAGGGCCAGGGCCACAACCAGGTCTGTGTTATGGCCAGGTCCAACACAGTGCCCAGGTAAGGCTAGGGTGAAGGCCAAGGTAGGGCCAGGGCAGGGCCAAAGCCAGCCTAGGGCCAAGGCAGGGCCAGGGCCGGCAAGGCAGGGCCAGGAAAGAATAGGGCCAAGGCAGGGCAGGGCCAGGCCAGTGCCAGGACCTGGGCAGGGCCAGGGAACAGCCAGAGCAGGGCCAGGGCCAGGGCCATGGCCATGGCCTGGGCAGGACCAGGTTCAGGGCAGGAGCAAAACAAGGGCAAGGACAGTGCAGGTTCTTGGCACAGCCAGGGTCCAGGACAGTGTCAGGGCATGGCCAAGGCAGGGTCTGGGCCATGGTAAGACCAGCAACAGGGCTGGGGCTAGGCCAGTGACAGTGACAGGACCAGAGTCAGGGCAAGCGCCAGAGCAGTGCAAGGCCAGGGTAAGGGCCAGGCATTTCAGGGTCAGGGCCAGAGGAGAACCAGGGCAAGGTCTCAAGCGGGGAAGGGCCAGGGCCAGGACAGGTCCAGGGCAGGGCCATGACAGGGCCAGGGGCTGCATTAGGGTAAGGGCAGGGCCAGAGCAAGGTAAGGGTCAGGGCCAAGGCCAGGGTAGGGACAGGGCAAGAAATATGGCAGGACTAGGGGCAATGCCAAGGCCAAGGCTGGGCCAGGGCTGAGTCAGGGCTGAGTCAGGGCAGCGCAGGAGAGGGCATGGTATGGCCAGTGCAGGACAGGACAAGAGCCGGTCCACAGAGAGAGCAGGGCTGATGCCAAGAAAGAGCCAGGCTAGTGCCAAGGCTGAGGCAGTGTCAGAGCATGTCCAGGGCAGGGCTGGGGCCAGGACCAGAACTGAGCCAGGGCACAGCCAAGGCAGGGTACGGCAGGGAAATAGTATGGCCGGGTCAGTACTGGGACAGGGCAGAGCAGGGCAAGGTGATGGTAGGGGCAGGGCAGGGACAGACCAATGCAGAGCCATGTTATGCTGGGGCCAGGACACCTCCAAGTCCACTTCAGGGCCAGGGCTATGGCAGGACAAAGACCAGGGCCAGGGTCAGGGCCAGGTCTGTGCTAGGGCCAGCTCCAGAGCAGGGCCTAGCGAAGACTAAGGTGAGGGTCAAGGTAAGGCCAGGGCAGGGTCAAAGGCAGAGTAGGGCCAGGGCAGGGTGATGACACATCCAGAGCACAGCAGGGCAGGGTGATGGCAAGACCAGGGACAGACCACTGCCAGCTCAGGGCCAGGGAAAGGCCAGTGCTGAGCCAGGAAAGGGTCTGGGTCTGGGTCAGGGCCAGGACAAAGGCAGAGGAGGGCCAGGGCCATGGCAGAGTCAGGGCAGGTCCTTGACAGGACCAGGTTCCAGGCCAGAGCCAGGGCAGCAGCAGGGGCAGGGCCTGGATAAGGGCAGGGCCAGGGATATGGCAGGACCAGGGCTAGGGCCAGGGCCAGGCCATAGTGAGGGCAGGGCAAAAGCCAAGGCAGGGTCAGGTCAGGTCCAGGGAGTGGCCAGCACCAAGCGGGGCCAAGGCACAACCAGCGCAGGGTAAGGCAGGACAATGGCACCACTGGGCCATGACAGGGCAAGGTCAGTGTCAGGAGAGGGCAGAACAGGAAGGCCCATGGTGGGGCCAGGGCAGGGACAGGCCAAAGCAAGGCCAGGACATGTCCAAGGCCCGGTCAGGGACAGAACAGGAGCAGGACCATGACCATTGGCAGGGCCAGCGCCATGACAGGACCAGGGTCAGGACAAGAGGCAGGGCCAGAGCCAGGGCCAGAGCCAAGGTCAGGCCAGTGCAGGTTCAGGGCAGGGCCAGTGCCAGGGCAAGACCAGGGCAGGGACAGGGTAGCACAGGGCCAAGACAGTGTCAGGATGGGACCAGAGCAGGACAGGGCCTAGAGTCCAGGTAACAGTAGGGCAGGTACAGGGCAAGGCAGGGCAGTAAAGGGCCAGATCCATGGCAGGGGCAGGGCAAAGACAGGCCCATTGCCAATGCACCAGCCCTCCCTACAAAGCTCCTACGGCCTGGCCACTGCTGCAGCCCATCCATCGCTGTAAGCCTGACCCCCAACCCTGGCTGCAGCCGCCTGCCCTCCTAGCACAGCCGCTCTCCTACCGCTCTGGTGCACTGCAGTCTCCGTCGCTGCCACCCACTCGCAGCGAGGCGAGCTGTGGTGTCGCAGGCTCTGGGTGTCTCCTCCTCCTCCTGGCATGGAGCAGCTGGGCGGGCAAAACCAGAAAAGCCTAGAGGAAGATGTGAGGGGTGGAAGGGTTAGAGCCTCAACTTGTCATGCTGGCCACTGGGTGGCAGGGGCCAGTTTCAGCAAAGGCACTCACATCCACCCTCCAAAGTCCAGCCTCTCCTTTTGGCCCAAGCTGGCCGGGAACTGGGGTCTGGGGTGGGTGCTGGAGACACCACAGCACCCAGCTCCCCACTCCACAGAAACCACTGGGCCCACCGGGTCTGCACTCCTTGGGGAGCAGGAGAAGCAGAAAAATTCAGACCCAGCCAGCCCTCCACACGCAGGTGCCAACTCCTGTTCCGAACGCCTCCACACACAGTGCCCTGTCTCCCGTGGTGTCCCCAGGGGTGCCTGGCAGCCTCTGAGGCACAGACCCAGAGTGCACAGGCCCAGGAACCACGGTGGGTGTGGGGGCTCTGCTGTGCTCAGGATTCCCATGCAAACGCTGTGCGCCTGCCGCACTCCAGTATGACCCAGTGTGGGTCGCCCTCTGGAGTGTGGAGTCAGGGAGAGGAGAACCACTCCTTCCTTGGATGCCAACTCTGCTGACCGCTGCCAGCAGTACAGCCCCTGATAGCACCAAGCTCACCCCCCCACAGCTAGTCCTGCCCTCAATAGCACCCCCCACCTCCATCCCCCAATGCCGCCAGTAGCGTATACCAAATAGTGCCCTAACCTGTCCTCCTCCACGGGCATTGCAGCCCCAGAAAGCACCCATAACCCACCCTCTCTGCCGTGGGCAGTGCAGCCCTGTACAGTGCTACCAACCAGTACCCCTAATGCAGGCAATGACACCCTGGATAGCGTCCCCAACCTACCCTACACTGTGACCTAAGGTGCAGCCCTGGATAGCCCCTGTCCTGCCACTCTGGTCGTGCTGCACATCAGCCATCCAAGAGTGAGATGCTAATGCTCCAAGTCCTAATCTCACTTGAGGAAATGCATGCCCTGCTCCACTTCCAAACACTTTGTAGACAGAGGTCCTTTCACTGAAGAACAAGCACCCACAGGACATGCTCCTCACAGTGAACCCACATTTGATTAGCATGGAGACAATTGGGATCATTTCTGGGACCATTACTGTCTATGACACTGAGCAGATGCCTTTGCCTCATCCTGGTTTCATCAGGCACTAGCACAGCCCACTGGGGGCTCTGATGAAGTGACCGCTGGATGTCCCATGTGAGTATCCAGCAGGCCCCATGGACAAGCTCTGAGATCTTCTGGGTGCTACTGAGACAGTGTCTTCAGCATCTGCCTGAGATCCTAAGATCTTCAATAGAAGACTCTTGGTTTACTGATTTGGCTTGTGATGTGTGATTGGTGCTGATTTTCTCATAGACTGACAATGGCAATGAGGTGTTGGAATAATAATTTGGAGTTCTTCATGAACTCCCAGCTCTCAAAATAATTTCCAAGGAATTGGTGTTTTGAGTAAGTTTGGGTTTTATTTCTCATTCTATTTAAAATAATTTTGTGACATATTTATATCAGGAAACACAAGACACTCCAATGAGAAAGCTGTTTTTATGTGAGGTACAAAGCACTGGAGAGATGGAGATGTCCTTGAATTCTCAGAATTGCTAGAACTTGAATACCAAGGTCACCTCTGAATGGCAGTAGTCTGTCTGTGAGGACATCAATCAGCTCTGCCTTTAGGAATTTTTGAATGTGTGGACAAGATCAAGAGTGTGATTTATTTTTATCCATCCTGGTTAGAGGGAAACTTCCAGTCCCAGGAAGTGGGTGATTTTAACTGAAACACCTGAGAGCTGCCATTCTGAGCAGTTTTGAACCCTGAGATCTATTGAAGATCTTTGGAGAAAGCAGTGGGGCCTATCTGCATTCTCCTCAACGTGTGATCCTGAGGATGTGGCCTAATTTCTGTACACTTTCATGTTAAAAGATGTAGATGGCAGACTGAAGTGACAATTTCATATGCAAACTCTATAATAGGTCATAACTGGAGAATAGTCTCATCACCAAGATTACTTCACTTACTTTCCTGGGAACCAGGGAGAACCTCCGTGAGCCCTCCCATCTGAGCACACAAAGAACTCTGCTCCTGCCCTGACAGATCACACCTGTGACACGGGTACTTGAGGACAACAAGAATCAAGTCTATTGTCCTCATTCATATATTGACCAATCTAGCTTGATCCTTCTGTCTCTGAAAGGCCTCTCCTCCACTGAATTGCATGAACATACCTTCTGGTGAGGGGCATTGCAACTTTGGTATTTGATATTAGTTTAGTGAATTACATAATAAATATGCATCCATGGATTTTGGTAACAGGAGAGTCATCAGAAGCTGGGTGAGTCATATAATCAGGACAAACCTGGGCTCTCTTCTTAGTACCTGGAAAGAGTGGGCTGACCTTCTGTGGGGCAACAGAGGGGAAGAGACAGACCAAACTTCCAGAACCAGGTGAGCTCCTCACTTTCCAGGTGGTCTCTGAGCCTTTTGTTTGAACCCATGCAGAAGGACCTGTCCTCGCCTTCAGTGAAATGGCAAAGTTGCAGAAAAGATCACAGTGACCAATAATTTTTACTTACAGAGATAAAAGTGTCATAGACCTGTAAACATCAATGTGGGTGTGTATACGGTTTGCTAGGGTGTTCTCATACACCCACAAAAAATGAAATTATATTTTCTGGAAAGAAAACCAAAGGGCTTCTGAATTTGTAGGTTTTGTTATTCTCATATATGCCAGCTCCCATTTTAGGATGCTGCTCCCTAGGAACCAGGACATCGGCCCTCTGACCCTGATGACAGAACGAGCTGCTGAGGCTCAGTTCTGGACAAGAGCTACTGATAAGAGACTCACTTCCTCCACACAGCCCCACTCATGGCTGGAGGCTCTTCCCTGGGTGCAGCACCACAGAGGACATTGGGTCCCTGGTTCACAGCCCTGCTCCTGTGGCAGAGAGTCCACCCCAGCAAGAACTGCTTGCTGATAAAGTGGGAAACTTCTCCCCAACCCTCCGCTGAGCAGTCAGAGCCTATGCTGAGGGAGGAAAAAGCTCATCTGTCTCCATCTGCAGAAACTTACTTAGGAGCTCTGTCCCAGGAAAGAGGGGCTGCTGTAATTTAGCCATAATATAGAATCTTGAATCTGGTCTTAAACTACCTACATTCGTTTACAATAGAATGTGGAAAAGTTCAAAGCTTGAGTGTGCTCTCCAAAATATTGGAGGCTGTGGTGAAAGGAAGGCCCTTGGAAAGAAACAGGTGGATGCATGGGAGACAATGGCTAAACTGCAGGCCTGCTGGCTGGCTGGCTGGAGAAAACCAAGGAGGGAGAGACCTGGAGTTCTTCTGGGGTCAGAACAAATATCAGACACTCTTCAAACAAGCCCAGTTTTGTCTGTATTAGTCTGTGATGCAATTCAAACCTTAGTGCTTTGTTAAAAAGAACAGAATTTTCAATCTGCAAGTGGTGGAATTCAACATCTGGGCCTGGTCAGGAAAGAGACAGAGAAAGCTCAGCCCATACAACTGATATCTGAGAATGGCAGTGTTTCTTACAACTATGTCCCTTTGGTCGTTGAGACTGGCTTCTCTCAATTAGCGTAATGTCTGGAGTTCACTTGTAATAGTTTGTGTATCGGTCATTTGTTAGTTTTTATGCTGATGGTATTCAATGTATAGATGGGGCCTACCTTCTTTGCCCATTCGAATTTTCATACATTCATGTTATTTTTAGTTTCTAACACATGCACACACACACACACACACACACACACACACACACACACACTATGTTGAATATTTGCATAGAGGTTTTGTTTGAATATAAAATTATATTTCTCTGAAGCAAATATTCAGGAGGGGGATTTTTAGGTAATGTGTTAAGGGCATATATAATTTTACAAGAAACTAAGAATTATTTTCCTGTGTAGCTGTTTCTATTTCCATTCCCATTAGCAATGTTTTAGACTCTGGAAACCTGGTATGCTCACCAGCATTGGTGTGATCCATCTTTCTTCTTAATTTCAGCCATTCTAAAAAGGGTGTTTGGGTATCTTATAGTGGTCTTGATTTGAATTTCTCTGATGAAAAATCCTGTTGAGATCCTGTTTATATGCCTATGTGTAATCTGTACATCTTCTTTAATGAAATGCCTGCACAAAACTTTGCCTATTTTATCCACGGGTTGCCTCTTCTTTTATTCACTGTTGAGTTTTGAAGTTTCTTACTATAATTACACAGGTGGTGATATGATTTGCAAATCTTCTCATCTAAAACTTGACATTCATTCTCTTAAAATCACTTGAGTACAAAAGGATTTTAAGTTAAATGAAGTTCAACTGATATTAATTTCATTTATTGATCATGATTTAAACTTTAATTTTCAAGATCTTTGGTCAACTATTTTTTATTTATTTATTTATTTATTTTTATTATTATACTTTAAGTTTTAGGGTACATGTGCGCATTGTGCAGGTTAGTTACATATGTATACATGTGCCATGCTGGTGCGCTGCACCATCTTGTCATCTAGCATTAGGTGTATCTCCCAATGCTTAATAATTTTATATTTTCAATTGTAATTGCTTTTATCTTTATTTGTATAAATTTAAGGGCTATGGGTGCACCTTTGTTACACAGAAATATTACAGTGGTATTGGCTTTAGTGTACCCAACACCCAAGTAACGTACATTGTACCCATTAGGTGATTTTTCATCATGCTCCCAACTCCTACCCTCCCATTCTGCTAAGTCTCCAATGTCCATAATCCCTCTCTCCATATCCTTGTGTACACACTGTTTTCCTCCCACTTATAAGTAATAATGTGTGATATGTGGCTTTCTGTTTGTGAGTTAGCTCACTAATTATAATGTCCCCCAGTTCTAGGCATCTTGCTGCAAAAGACACAGTTTCATTCCTTATTGTGGCTGACTAGTATTAAATTGTGCATATATGCTATATTCTTTTATAAAATCATCTGTCGGTGGACACTCAGGTTGTCATATATGCTATTGAGAATAGATTTGTGGTAAACATAGAAGTGTGGGTATCTTTTTGAAATCATGATTTCTTTGTCTTTGGGTAGTTACCCAGTAGTGGGATTGGTAGAATAAAGGCCAGTACTGTTTCTCATTTTTTGGAAAGTCTCCATACTGTTTCCCCTCTCTCTCTCTCTTTTTTCCTTTTTTAACTATACTTTAAGTTCTGGGATACATGTGCAGAATGTGCAGGTTTGTCACATAGGTATACATAGGCCATAGTGGTTTGCTGCACCCACCAACTCATCATCTACAATAGGTATTTCTCCTAATGCTAACCCCTCCAGCCCCCCACTCCCCAACAGTCTCCGGTGTGTGATGTTTGTTCCCCTCCCTGTGTCCTTGTGTTCTCATTGTTCAACTCCCACTTGTGAGTGAGAACATGTGGTGTTTGGTTTTATGTTCTTGTGATAGTTTGCTGAGAATGATGGTTTCCAGCTTCATCCATGTCCATGCAAAGCACATGAACTCATCCTTTTTATGGCTGCATAGTATTCCATGGTGTATATGTGCCACATTTTCTTTATCCAGCCTATCATTGATGGGCATTTGGGTTGGTTCCAAGTCTTTGCTATTGTCAACAGTGCTGCAATAAAAATATGTGTGCATGTGTCTTTATAGCAGAATGATTTATAATCCTTTGGGTATATACCAAACAATGAGATTGCTGGGACAAATGGTATTTCTAGTTCTATCTAGATCCTTGAATAATCACCACACTGTCTCCCACAATGGTTGAAGTAATTTACACTACCAACCACAGTGTAAAAACGTTCCTATTTCTCCACATCCTCTCCAGCAGCTTTTGTTTCCTGACTTTTTAGTCATCACTATTCTAACTGGCATGGGATGGCATCTCTTTGTGGTTTTGATTTGCATTTCTCGAATGACCAATGATGATGAACTTTATTTTATATGTTTGTTGGCTGAATAAACATCTTCTTTTGAGATGTGTCTGTTCATAACCTTCCCTCAATTTTTGATGGGGTTGTTTGTTTTTTTATTGTAAGTTTGTTTAAGTTCCTTGTAGATTCTAGATATTGGCCTATTGTCAGATGGATAGATTGCAAACAATTGCTCCCATTCTGTAGGCTGCCCATTCACTCTGAAGATAGTTTCTTTTGCTGTGCAGAAGCTCTTTAGTTTACTTAGATCTCATTTGTCAATTTTGACTTTTGTTGCAATTGCTTTTGGTGTTTTAGTCATGAAGTGAAGTCCTTGCACATGCCTATGTACTGAATCGTATTGCCTAGGTTTTCTTCTAGGACTTTTATGGTTTTAGGTCTCACATTTAAGTCTTTAACCCACCATGAGTTAATTTTTGTATAAGGTGTAAGGAAGGGATCTAGTTTCAGTTTTCTGAATATGGTTAGCTAGTTTTCCCAACACCATTTATTAAATAGGGGATCATTTTCCCCATTGCTTCTGTCAGGTTTTTCAAAGATCAGATGGGTGTAGATGTGTGGCATTATTTCTGGGACCTCTATTCTGTTCCATTGGTCTATATATCTGTTTTGGTACCAGTACCATGCTGTCTTGGTTACTGTAGCCTTGTAGTATAGTTTGAAGTCAGGTAGCATGATGCCTCCAGCTTTGTTCTTTTTCCTTAGGATTGTCTAGGCTATATGGGCTCTTTTTTGGTTCCATATGAAATTTAAGGTAGTTTTTTTCTAATTCTGTGAAGGAAGTCAATGGTAGCTTGATGGGGATAGCATTGAATCTATAAATTACTTCGGGCAATATGGCCATTTTCATGATATTAATTCTTCCTATCTATGAACATGGAATGTTTTTCCATTTGTTTCTGCCCTCTCTTATTTCCTTGGGCAGTGGTTTGTAGTTCTCTTGAAGAGGTCCTTCACATCCTTTGTAAGTTGTATTCCTAGGTATTTTATTTTCTTTGTAGCAATTGTAAATGAGAGTTCACTCATGATTTGGCTCTCTGTCTTTCTATTATTGGTGTATAGGAATGTTTGTGATTTTTCCACATTGATTTTGTATCCTTAGACTTTGCTGAAGTTGCTTATCAGCTTAAGGAGATTTGGGGCTGAGATGATGGGGTTTTCTAAATATATAATCATGTCATCTACAAACAGACACAGTTTGACTTCCTCTTTTCCTATTTGAATACCCTTTATTTATTTCTCTTGCCTGATTTCCCTGGCCAGAACTTCCAATACTATGTTGAATGGGAGTGGTGAGACAGGGCATCCTTGTCTTGTGCCGGTTTCCAAATCCACCATGATCAAGTTGGCGTCATACCTGGGATGCAAGGCTGGTTCAACATATGCAAATCAATAAACATAATCCATCACATAAACAGAACCAATGGAAAAAAAAACATTATTATCTCAATAGATGCAGAAAAGGCCTTCAATAAAATTCAACACCGATTCATACTAAAACCGCTCATTAACTAGGTATTGATGGAATGTATCTCAAAATAATAAGAGCTGTTTATGAGAAATGCATAGTCAATATCATACTCAATCCATACTGTTTTCTATAGAGGTCGTACTCGTCCACATTCTCATCAACAGTGTCTAAGAGTTCACTTTACATTTCATCCTCTCCAACATCTGTTATTTTTGACTTTTTAATAATAGCCATTGTGAACGGTATGATATCTCACTACAGTTTTAATTTGCATTTCCCTGATGATTAGTGATGCTGAGCATTTTTTATGTATCTATTGTCCATTTTTATGTGTTATTTACAAAAATGTCTACTCAAGTTGTTTGCTCATTTTAATGGGGTTATTTGGTTCTTGTTTTCTTTCGTAGTTGTTTGAGTTTCTTGTTAATTCTGCATATTAGTACTCCGTCAGAGGCACAGTGTGCAAATATTTTCTATCATTCTGCACTTTGTCTGTTCACTCTGTTGCTGTGAAGAAACTTGTTAGATTCATTAAGTCCCATTTGTCTATTATTTGCTTTTTGTCTTTTGGTTTTTGGCTTGTGCTTTTGAGTTCTTAGTCGTAAATTATTTACCTAGGCCAGTGTCCAGAAGAGTTGTCCTGGTGTTTTATTTGAATACGTTTACAGTTTGAGGTCTTACATTTAAACCTTTAATCTATTTTCTGTTAATTATTTACATGTTGAGGGTGGGTGTCCAGTTTAATTCATGTGCATATAGCTATCCAATTTCCCCAGCACCCTTTATTGAATGAGGTGTCCTTTCCCTGGTGTATACGTTGGTTAATTTTTGTTAACTTTGTCAAAGATCACTTGGCCATAGATTATGTGGCTCAATTCTGGGTTCTGCAAAATGTACCCAAGAGCCTTGATTTTCCTGGGGCCTCAATACTGATCTGCTCACTGCTTGAACTCCGTTGACTCAGTGATGCTCCTATCATTGTAGTGGTTTGTTGTCATGCGATGGCTTTCCTAAAATTGTGGACAATTCTGTTTTCTTTTTTTTTTTTTAATTATTATACTTTAAGTTTTAGGGTACATGTGTACAATGTGCAGGTTAGTTACATATGTATCCATGAGCCATGTTGGTGTGCTGCACCCATTAACTCATCATTTAGCATTAGGTATATCTCCTAATGCTGTCCCTCCCCCCTCCCCCCACCCCACAACAGTCCCCAGAGTGTGATCCCCTTCCTGTGTCCATGTGGTCTCATTGTTCAATTCCCACCTATGAGTGAGAACATGTGGTGTTCGGTTTTTTGTCCTTGTGATAGTTTACTGAGAATGATGGTTTCCAGTTTCATCCATGTCTCTACAAAGGACATGAATTCATCATTTTTTATGGCTGCATAGTATTCCATGGTGTATATGTGCCACATTTTCTTAATCCAGTCTATCATTGTTGGACATTTGGGTTGGTTCCAAGTCTTTGGTATTGTGAATAGTGCCGCAATAAACATACGTGTGCATGTGTCTTTATAGCAGCATGATTTATAGTCCTGTTCAAACTTGAGCTAGGAATTTCATAAGAAAAGTGTTGTCGAATTTTTCATTTCTTTTCCACATTGCTCCTCAGACTTACTGAGATGGGTTTCTGATGTCAAGCTGAGGCATTTTACTTTCCAAGTGTTGGATTTTATACTTACCTGGGTATTTAATCACCCCCTGTGTGGAAATCAGCCTCATCTATCACACCTTCCCTATAAAATTTCTAGAAATTTATTTGTGCACTGCAAGTGAGACACTCCATGATGAGGACACATTCTGTCTTTCTTGTTGTTTCATAAAATTACTTTATTAGTGTAAATTTGTCTCTGCAAGAAAAGATGGTATCTGGATTTTAATTAATCATCCTGCTCTTTTATCTCCACATTCTTCTCCAACACTATTTCCTGCAGTTTAAGAATGTCATATGTTATAGATATTTGTATTCAGACCCTTGGAAGGATATGAGCTCAAGAAATAAGTGGCCACATATCAGTGATGCATGTGGCCGAGGTAATGGGACTCTTAGATGCTCAATCTTTGTCAAACAGGATACAGCCTCTGCTTACATGGATCACTAACAGGGAGCATGACATTTAATAATACAGAATAGGAAAACAGACAGGGCTCTGAGTCTGGTTGGTATAGGAAACACAAGCCCTGGCAGGAAATGGCATCTCAGTCACACTTTCCTGTTCTGCAGAGGTAGGGAGGGAGCACCACTGAGACGCAGCCTGGGTTCTTGTACAGGAGGCATCCTGGGCTGTGTCTCTGTGCTCTCCATGCACAGTAATACGTGGCTGTGTCCACAGGGTCCATGTTGGTCATGGTAAGGACCACCTGGCTTTTGGAGGTGTCCTTGGAGATGATGAGCCTGTTCTTCAGAGACGTGCTGTAGGATTTTTTGTCATTCAAAAAAATGTGAGCAAGCCACTCCAGGGCCTTCCCTGGGGGCTGACGGATCCAGCTCATACCCATTCCAGAAGTGCTGAGTGAGAACCCAGAGAGAGTGCAGGTCAGCGTGAGGGTCTCTGTGGGTTTCACCAGCGCAGGACCAGACTCCTTCAAGGTGACCTGGGACAAGACCCCTGTGGAGAAGACATAAGAAGATGAAGCCCACAAAGGAGAGAACTGATGTTTCACTTCTGAGGAAGTCCCTGACCACAACACTCACAGGAAGGGGTGGTCAGCAGCAGGAGTGTGGAGCAAAACGTGTCCATAGTGGGGGACAGGAGTCACTGAGCGAGGCCCCATTCTCGGCTTTTGAACCCAGAGGAGGGTGGAGCTGGTGGAGATTTGCATCCCCTCATCTGAGTCCTACTCTATGGGGTGCACTCAGGTCTCAGGACTCAGTAGGGGAGTGCATCTGTGGTGAAGAGCAGTGAGCCCTCAGGTGTGGACTTCCACGTGTGCTCTCCATGGGGGACTCCATCTCATTTCAGGACCATGCCTTTCAGCCAAGGCTCTGAGATTCCTGCTCCTACAGACAGGGTCTTCTCTAAGTCTCACCCAGGCAGCATGCAGCTTTCTGGTTTTAGTCCTAGAGGATGAGAGGAGAAATCAATAGAGATGGTTTTCTTTCTTCCTTCAGGAGAAATGAGGGTGGGAATCTGGTAGAGCAAGGGGCTTCCCATAAGTTTCTGATAAAAATCCTCTTTGTTTAGGGGGAAAGTGATGATTTTTTTAAATGATAGAGAATACATCAACAAAACATTTAAAAATGTATTGTGTAAAGAAGTGTAAATAGCATTTCAGCCATTTACACACTGCAAGACACACTGCTTATTAGTGTGTCTGCACATAGGTGCATTCCTGTAGGAATGTTCCATGGATAATCAATCTTGTCTTTATGCCCTGTCAGCCCTTTAGGAAGAGTAGACTGCATCTCTGACATCCCTCTTCCAGCGCATGAGTGAGCAGAGGCTTTAAACAGGGTAATTGGAGGAATCCCAGGGGAGCAGCTGGCTTTTTGATCCCGCCGCCGCGGCTTTTTGCGGCTTTTGGCCGCCGCCGCAGGTTTTTGCCGCCGCCGCAGGTTTCTCCCGCCCCGGCTTTATGCCCCCCGCCGACGCAGCTTTTTGCCGCTGCGGCTTTTTGTCCCCGCCGCCGCGGCTTTTTGCGGCTTTCTACCTCCGCCGCCGCGGCTTTTTGCCCCCGCCGCCGTGGCTTTCTCTGCCGCGGCTTTTTGACCCCGTCGCCGCGGCTCTTTGCCCCCGCCGCCGCGGCTTTCGGCCTCGTCGCGGCGGCTTTCTGCCCCCGCCCCCGTTGCTTTTTGCTCCCGCCGGCACGGCTTTTTGCCTCCGCCGCCGCGGCTTTTTGCCCCCGAAGCCACGGCTTTTTGCGGTTTTTTGCCCCCGCCGCCACGACTTTTTGCCCTGCCACAGCGGCTTTTTGTGGCTTTTGGCCCCCGCCGCCCCGGCTTTTTGCCCCCGCCGCCACAGGTTGTTCCCACCGCGGCTTTTTGCCTCCGCCGCCTCGGCTTTCTACACCCGCCGCCGCAGCTTTCTGCCTTTGCGGCTTTTTGCACCCGCCCCCCCATGCCACTTTTTGCCCCCGCCGCCGCGGCTCTGACTGCAGGATCCGCCAACTAGGCTGCCAGCTCTACCGGCGTCCTGGCTCGGGCAGCGCCGAGGGGCGCTCCTCGTCCAGCTCTCCCGGCTCAGGGGTTCCTTGCCTAGACGCCCGCACCCCTAGCTCCCCGCCTTGACCGCTGCAGCCTGCATAGAGTGGCGCTGCGCCCGGCTGCGATGGGAGAGAAGAAGGAGGGCGGTGGCGGGGGTGATGCGGTGGCGCAGAGGGAGGCGCAGGGGCCGCCGCTAGCCGGGTGCTGCAGGAGTGCGGGCAGCTCCAGAAGTTCATAGGCATTTCCATCGGCAGCCTGCTCGGGCTGCGCACCCAGTGCGCTGTGTCCAACGACCTCACCCAGCAGGAAATACGGACGATGGAGGTAAGGGGGTCCGGGACCCCGGCTGGGCTCGAGGAGCGGCCCGGACACCTCCCTTGGGGCCCCAGTTCACTCCTGGCCGAGTTGCATCCTTGAGCCCGCATGGCCCCCTTGGAGGCTTCTCCTCCCTCCTGCACTAGCTGATGCGGCAGCCAGAGGACCCCGGACTAGCCCTCACCTTGGGCAGGATTTGTGGGGCGGGTGCGTGATGGGAACTTGGATGGAGGCTCGAGGGGCCCGTGGGCAGGGTGGGCTGCGCGCAGACATCCCCTTACAACCCGAATTTCCATCTGGTCCAGCCCTCTCATCTTGTAGGTGAGGAAACCGAAGGCCTGAGGGAGAACTGACTTGCCAGGAACCTCTCTTAAAGAGAATTAACAAAGTGTGGTTATTAAAGGAGAAATGAGTTGGGAGTCAGACCTGGAAGCCCACACCCTTGGTTAAGACATTATACCACCTTGAGTCTGGCCTGTTGACTGAGGGTGAGCCACTCCATCCTCGTCTGATTGTGGGGTCTTGACCTCAAGGGGTTTCCTGCAGGAAGAAGCAAATGGGTTTGCTTTCCTAGCTCTGTCCACTACCTTAGGGACCCTGAGGACTGGAGAGATTCTTGGAGAGCTATCTAGTGTATGTCATGGGTGGGTCTTTTTTGAAGGTCAGTCTGCCCAGTGGGCTGGCTCAGCCCGAATGAACTCTCTTGAATCTTTGGAGTTGTCTGTGTACTTTTAAGGGCTTCTCATCCTTGCACCAAAAGATCCCCTGGAAATTAGGTGGGAAAACCTTAA
The DNA here is from genome assembly GCF_000001405.40 of Homo sapiens. NCBI lineage: Eukaryota > Metazoa > Chordata > Mammalia > Primates > Hominidae > Homo > Homo sapiens. The sequence continues at coordinate 1,107,292 of NT_187383.1, read as the reverse complement.
CTTTCATGGGGCCTTTTTCATGCACATGGCCAGGTGTGGTGGCTCACACCTGTTATCCTTTCCTGGATCCCTTGAGTCAAGGAGTTTGAGACCAACCTGGACAATATAGTGAGACCATGTCTCTACAAAAAATAAAATGTTAGCCAGGAGTGGTTGTGCGCATCTGTAGTCCCAGCTACTACTGTGGCTGAGGCAGGCGGAGCACTTGAGCCTGCACTGAGCTGTGATCTCACCAGTGTGCTCCAGCCTGGGCCACTGAGCAAGACCTTGACTCAAAAAAAAAAAAAATTTTCTTGAAGATTTTGCATTCTGTCCCACTATCCATTGGTTTTCATGTCAAGATAATGTCAGAAATTCTTTACAATTGCTTCCAGAAGGAGTAGCCTTTTGATCTAGTGCACAGGTGTCCAGTCTTTTGGCTTCTCAGGGCCACATTGGAAGAAGAATTCTCCTGGGCCACACATAAAATACACTATTGCTAACGACAGCTGATGAGCTTATAAAAAAAAAAAGGTTTGTGCATAATTTTCATGATACCCACCACCACAGATAGGCGGAAAAGTCCTTTTAGTCAAAGGGTTGGACACGGCTGATCTAGTGTCTTGTCATCAGTTTTGGCTTTCTCCCTGATTCCAGAATGCAGGTAGAGATGTAGATACGTGCTCTCAGGACAGCTGTTGAGATAAAAAAATTCATTGTCATTTATTCCCAAGCACAGCTGTTTGTCATTTGCATTAAAAAAGTCTCCAAACCGCTGTCACATATAAAACCTGTTTATATAAGTCTGTATTTTTCTGTTGTCATGACATTTGTGGGCAGTAGTGTGTTTTAACTGAGCAAACTGTCCTTCAAATAATGAAGCCGAAGTCAGCCTACCTGCTTGCCATGTTTCTTCCCCTTCCATTTTTCTAACCTCAGGATAATTGTAAGAATGAATTAAGATTTGTGTTTAAGGCCAGGCGCAGTGTCTCAGGCCTGTAGTCTTAGCACTTTGGGAGGGGGAGACGGATGTATCGCTTGAGCTCAGGAGTTGAAGACCAGCCTGGGCAACATACTAAGACTCCGTTTTGTACAATTAAATTAAAATTTAAAAAAAGAAGAGGAAAAGACTTGTATTTCAAATTTTAAAAAAGCGGGGGGAAAGGTAATGCAAAATGTGGACTATGCCAGCTATGATTAAGAAAAATAATTTTTCCTACAGCATTATCTGTAGACTTGTATTAGCAGCATACTGGTCATAAGCGTTTTGCTTTCCTCAAATATGATGAGGTAAGCTACTTTAAAGTGTGGTGGGGCTTTCTTCTGCGTGGCTCCTGGAGGTGTTCAGTCCCAATTTAGCCAATTAATTTGGGTTTGGTTTTGATATGGATAAGGGAGACGAGCTTCATTCATGGTACACACACAGTTTTGCCAATAAGGAAAAAATAAAGCAACCTGAATGTTCCTACTCATTAGATGCTATCTGGAGAGCTCCTACCCCACCCCCACCAAGGCCCGGGCCCTTAAAAAGACTCAATGCAGCCTTTCTGTATCTCATACTGTATTCTGCAAGATGCTCCTGTGAAAGAAAGTTGTGCTGCATCAGCCATCTCCCTCCTGAAGATCCCTGTGGATGAGGATTTGCGTTTAAAAGGTTCTGAGAACTCCTGCAACAACAGTTCTCAAACTTATTTGTCCAGGGGATCTTTTCTTCCACTGAACATAGTTGGGGAGACACGGCCTTAAGCCTTGAGCAGAGAAAGAGACAAGAAACAGTTGGCTCACTTACAACCAAGTGTTGTGTTTATGTTTTAGGTTTTTATGAAACTGAGGTGCTGTTTGAAGTTCTAAATGAAATTGGGTGGTTGAAGAGAGGCTGGTATCCCTGTAGACTTAGCCAGCCATGTGAGGTTGCCTTTTGTTGAAGGAGGTGTTTTACAAAGGGAAATAGGGTGTCTCCTGGGCATCACATTAGCACTTAAATGCATGTATCACTGAAATGAAATGAAATGATGAAATGATGAAATGAAATGAAATGATGAAATGAAATGATGAAACAAAATGATGAAATGAAGAAATGAAACGATGAAATGATGAAATGAAATGATGAGATGAAATGAAATGGTGAAATGTTGAAATGAAATGACATGAAATTAAATGATGAAATGATGCAATGAAATGATGCAATGATGAAATGGAATGATGAAATGAAATGATGAAATGATGAAATGAAATGAAATGAAATGATGAAATGATGAAATGAAAAGATGAAATGATGAAATGAAGAAATGGGATGAAATGATGAAATGAAATGAAATGATGAAATGAAGTGAAATGATGAAATGATGAAATGATGAAATAATGAAATGAGGGGTGGAGCCAAGATGGCCGAACAGGAACAGCTCTGGTCTACAGCTCCCAGCATGAGCAACTCAGAAGACAGGCGATTTCTGCATTTCCATCTGAGGTACCGCGTTCATCTCACTAGGGAGTGCCCAACAGTGGGTGCAGGACAGTGGGTGCAGCGCACCATGTGCAAGCTGAAGCACAGCGAGGCATTGCCTCACTCGGGAAGTGCAAAGGGTCAGGGAGTTGTCTTTCCTAGTCAAAGAAAGGGGTGACAGACGGCACCTGGAAAATCAGGTCACTCTCACCCTAATACTGTGCTTTTCCAATGGGCTTGGAAAAGAGCACACCAGGAGATTGTGTCCTGCACCTGGCTTGGAGGGTCCTACGCCCACAGAGTCTCGCAGATTGCTAGCACAGCAGTCTGAGATCAAACTGCAAGGCGGCAGTGAGGCTGGGGGAGGGGTACGCACCATTGCCCAGGCTTGCTTAGGTAAACAAAGCAGCCAGGCAGCTGGAACTGGGTGGAGCCCACCACAGCTCCAGGAGGCCTGCCTGCCTCTGTAGGCTCCACCTCTGGGGGCAGGGCACAGACAAACAAAAAGTCAGCAGAAACCTCTGCAGACTTAAATGTCCCTGTCTGACAGCTTTGAAGAGAGTAGTGGTTCTCCCAGCACGCAGCTGGAGATCTGAGAACGGGCAGACTGCCTCCTAAAGTGGGTCACTGACCCCCGAGCAGCCTAACTGGGAGGCACCCCTCAGTAGGGACAGACTGACACCTCACTCGGCCGGGTAGTCCTCTGAGACCAAACTTCCAGAGGAACGATCAGACAGCTGAATTTGTGGTTCACGAAAATCTGCTGTTCTGCAGCCACCGCTACTGATACCCAGGCAAACAGGGTCTGGAGTGGACCTCTAGGAAACTCCCACAGATCTGCAGCTGAGGGTCCTGTCTTTTAGAAGGAAAACTAACAAACAGAAGGACACCCACACCAAAAGCCCATCTGTACATCACCATCATCAAAGACCAAAAGTTGATAAAACCACAAAGATAGGGAGATAACAGAGCAGAAAAACTGGAAACTCTAAAAAGCAGCGCGCCCCTCCTTCTCCTAAGGAACGCAGTTCCTCACCAGCAATGGAACAAAGCTGGACGGAGAATGACTTTGACGAGTTGAGAGAAGAAGGCTTCAGACGATCAAACTACTCCGAGCTACAGGAGGAAATTCAAACCAATAGCAAAGAAGTTATAAACTTTGAAAAACAATTAGATGAATGTATAACTGGAATAATCAATGCAGAGAAGTGCTTAAAGGAGCTGATGGAGCTGAAAGCCAAGGCTCAAGAACTACATGAAGAATGCAGAAGCCTCAGGAGCGGATGCAATCAACTGGAAGAAAGAGTACCAGGGATGGAAGATGAAATGAATGAAATGAAGCAAGAAGGGAAGTTTAGAGAAAAAAGAATAAAAAGAAATGAACAAAGCCTCCAAGAAATATGGGACTATGTGAAAAGACCAAATCTACGTCTGATTAGTGTACCTGAAAGTGACGGGGAGAATGGAACCAAGTTGGAAAACACTCTGCAAGATATTATCCAGGAGAACTTCCCCAATCTAGCAAGGCAGGCCAACATTCAGATTTAGGAAATACAGAGAACGCCACAAAGATACTCCTCAAGAAGAGCAACTCCAAGACGCATAATTGTCAGATTCACCAAAGTTGAAATGAAGGAAAAAATGTTAAGGGCAGCCAGAGAGAAAGGTCGGGTTACCCACAAAGGGAAGCCCATCAGACTAACAGCTGATCTCTCAGCAGAAACTCTACAAGCCAGAAGAGAGTGGGGGTCAATATTCAACATGCTTAAAGAAAATAATTTTCAACCCAGAATTTCATATCCAGCCAAACTAAGCTTCATAAGTGAAGGAGAAATAAAATACTTTACAGACAAACAAATGCTGAGAGATTTTGTCACCACCAGGCCTGCCCTAAAAGAGCTCCTGAAGGAAGCAGTAAACATGGAAAGGAACAACCGGTACCAGCCACTGCAAAAACATGCCAAATTGTAAAGACCATTGAGACTAGGAAGAAACTGCATCAACTAACGAGCAAAATAACCAGCTAACATCATAATGACAGGATCAAATTCACACATAACAATATTAACTTTAAATGTAAATGGGCTAAATGCTCCAATTAAAAGACACAGACTGGCAAATTGGAGAAGGAGACAAGACCCATCAGTGTGCTGTATTCAGGAAACCCATCTCACGTGTAGAGACACACATAGACTCAAAATAAAGGGATGGAGGAAGGTCTACCAAGCAAATGGAAAACAAAAAAAGGCAGGGGTTGCAATCCTAGTCTGTGATAAAATAGACTTTAAACCAACAAAGATCAAAAGAGACAAAGAAGGCCTTTACATAATGGTAAAGGGATCAATTCAACAAGAAGAGCTAACTATCCTAAATATATATGCACCCAATACAGGAGCACCCAGATTCATAAAGCAAGTCCTTAGTGACCTACAAAGAGACTTAGACTCCCCCACAATCATAATGGGAGATTTTAGCATGCCACTGTCAACATTAGACAGATCAATGAGACAGAAAGTTAGCAAGCACACCCAGGAATTGAACTCAGCTCTGCACCAAGCACACCTAATAGACATCTACGGAACTCTCCACCCCAAATCAACAGAATATACATTTTTTTCAGCACCACACCACACCCATTCCAAACTTGATCACATAGTTGGAAGTAAAGCTCTCCTCAGCAAATGTAAAAGAACAGAAATTATAACAAACTGTCTCTGAGACCACAGTGCAATCAAACTAGAACTCAGGATTAAGAAACTCACTGAAAACCGCTCAACTACATGGAAAATGAACAACCTGCTCCGGAATGACCACTGGGTACATAATAAAATAAAGGCAGAAATAAAGATGTTCTTTGAAACCAACGAGAACAAAGACAAAACATACCAGAATCTCTGGGACACAGTCAAAGCAGTGTGTAGAGGGAAATTTATAGCACTAAATGCCCACAAGAGAAAGCAGGAAAGATCCAAAATTGACACCCTAACATCACAATTAAAAGAACTTGAAAAGCAAGAGCAAACACATTCAAAAGCTAGCAGAAGGCAAGAAATAACTAAAATCAGAGGAGAACTGAAGGAAATAGAGACACAAAAAACCTTTCAAAAAATTAATGAATCCAGCAGCTGGTTTTTTGAACAGATCAACAAAATTGATAGACCACTAGCAAGACTAATAAAGAAGAAAAGAGAGAAGAATCAAATAGATGCAACAAAAAATGATAAAGGGGTAATCACCACCGATCCCACAGAAATACAATCTACCATCACAGAAAACTACAAACACCTCTATGCAAATAAACTAGAAAATCTAGAAGAAATGGATAAATTCCTCGACACATACACTCTCCCAAGACTAAACCAGGAAGAAGTTGAATCTCTGAATAGACCAATAACAGGCTCCGAAATTATGGCAATAATCAATAGCTTACCAACCAAAAAGAGTCCAGGACCAGATGGATTCACAGCAGAATTCTACCAGAGGTACAAGGAGGAACTGGTACCATTCCTTCTGAAACTATTCCCATCAATAGAAAAAGAGGGATTCCTCTCTAACTAATTTTATGAGGCCAGCATCATCCTGATACCAAAGCCGGGCAGAGACACAACAAAAAAAGAGAATTTTAGACCAATATCCTTGATGAACATTGATGCAAAAATCCTCAATAAAATACTGGCAAACCGAATCCAGCAGCACATCAAAAAGCTTATCCACCATGATCAAGTGGGCTTCATCCCTGGGATGCAAGGCTGGTTCAACATATGCAAATCAATAAACATAATCCAGCATATAAACCTAACCAAGGACAAAAACCACATGATTATCTCAATAGATGAAGAAAAGGCCTTTGACAAAATTCAACAGCCCTTCATGCTAAAAATTCTCAATAAATTAGGTATTGATGGGACGTATCTCAAAATAATAAGAGCTATCTATGACAAACCCACAGCCAATATCATACTGAATGGGCAAAAACTGGAGGCATTCCTTTTGAAAACTGGCACACGACAGGGATGTCCTGTCTCACCACTCCTATTCAACATAGTGTTGGGAGTTCTGGCCAGGGCAATCAGGCAGGAGAAGGAAACAAACGGTATTCAATTAGGAAAAGAGGAAGTCAAATTGTCCCCGTTTGCAGATGACATGGTTGTATATCTAGAAAACCCCATTGTCTCAGCCCAAAATCTCCTTAAGCTGATAAGCAACTTAAGCAAAGTCTCAGGATACAAAATCAATGTACAAAATTCACAAGCATTCTTGTACACCAATAACAGACAAACAGAGTGCCCAATCATGAGGGAACTCCCATTCACAATTGCTTCAAAGAGAATAAAATACCTAGGAACCCAACTTACAAGGGACATGAAGGACATCTTCAAGGAGAACTGCAAACCACTGCTCAATGAAATAAAAGAGGATACAAACAAATGGAAGAACATTCCACGCTCTTGGGTTGGAAGTATCAATATCGTGAAAATGGCCATACTGCCCAAGGTAATTTATAGATTCAATGCCATCCCCATCAAGCTACCAATGACTTTCTTCACAGAATTGGAAAAAACGACTTTAAAGTACATATGGAACCAAAAAAGAGCCCGCATCGCCAAGTCAATCCTAAGCCAAAAGAACAAAGCTGGAGGCATCACGCTACCTGACTTCAAACTATACTACAAGGCTACAGTAACCAAAACAGCATGGTACTGTTACCAAAACACAGACATAGATCAATGGAACAGGACAGAGCCCTCAGAAATAATGCCGCATAGCTACAACTGTCTGATCTTTGACAAACCTGACAAAAACAAGCAATGGGGAAAGGATTCCCTATTTAATAAATGGTGCTGGGAAAACTGGCTATCCATATGTAGAAAGCTGAAACTGGATCCCTTCCTTACACCTTATACAAAAATTAATTCAAGTTGGATCAAAGACTTACATGTTAGACCTAAAATCATAAAAACCCTAGAAGAAAACCTAGGCAATACCATTCAGGACATAGGCCTGGGCAAGGACTTCATGTCTAAAACACCAAAAGAAATGGGAACAAAAGCCAAAATTGACAAAGGGGATCTAATTAAACTAAAGAGCTTCTGCACAGCAAAAGAAACTACCATCAGAGTGAACAGGCAACCTACAAAATGGGAGAAAATTTTTGCAACCTACTCATCTGACCAGTAAGCTCTCACAAGGACAAAAAACCAAACACCACATGTTATCATTCATATGTGGGTATTGAACAATGAGAACACATGGACACAGGAAGGGGAACATCACACTTCGGGGACTGTTGTGGGGTGGGGTGAGTGGGGAGGGATAGCATTAGGAGATATACCTAATGCTAAATGACGAGTTAATGGGTGCAGCACACCAACATGGCACATGAACACTTATGTTACAAACCTGCACATGGTGCACATGTATCCTAAAACTTAAGGTATAATAATAAAATAAAATAGAATAAAATAACAAAATATACACTAATACAGATTAACCAACTAAAAAAAATTGTAGAGAAAGGTCATTTAAAAAATATGAAGGATAGAGTAATAATCTAACACGTTGAAATCTAAGAAGGAGAAAACAGCTTGTCTGAACAGCATTTTAAGTGGCAATGTTTGAGGTTTTATCAAAATTGGCCAATAATATTAAACGACAGGTTCAGGAGGCTTTTCAAAGCAAAGGAAAACACACACAGAGGACACATCTAGAAACATAATGGGACAATTTCTGAAAAGTAAAAGAAAAATGTAAAGAGCACTTGATAAAAAAATTGGGCTAACTACAAAGAGAAAGAGTTGACTGATAACAACTTTCTCAAATGAAACAACGAAAGCCAACAAGTGAGGTATTGATATCTTTCAAGTCCTGAAATAAAATAAGTGCTGACCTAGAACTGTCTACTTGGTGGACATATCCATCAAATGCAAAGATACAATAAAGAATTTCTCCCAAGCAGACCCACAGGAAAAGAAATACTAAAGATTATTCTTCAGGTAGAAGAGCCATGATCCCTGATGAAAGTTTGCAGTTAGAAGAACAATTTTTTAATGAAAGAAATAAACATTGAGAGAAATTTAATTGGATATTGACTGTATAACAGAATGCTATCTCATAAAGTTTAACATGTATCTTCCATACAACGGCAGAAGCATATAAGTTGTGAGTTGGATAAATTAATTTTAAAATATTGTCGTTTTTTTTTTTTTTTGCAAATAGAGAGATGTACCAATTATATTAGACCCTGAATTCAAGAATGCACGTTGTATCAAACCAGGTAAAACATTACCAGGCCAGATTTTTTAAATGGACTCTCTTAAAGTTTTTATAATTTATATTCATATTTCACATATGTTGAAAGTAAATAATGGAAAAGCATGCAATGCAAATATTAACCAAAATATAACTTTAGTTGTACTTATATTCACATTTTAAAAGTTGGACACAGTTAAGTCTCAGGGATTTTTTTACACAACGAAGGCAACCTGTGCAGTTATAACTAGTATTATATTATGCTCTTGGCCTGATTACAGAAGGGAAACGGGAGATCATACCAGACAATGGCAGAATGAAGCAAGAAGGAGTAGAGTTACAGAACATGATGCTGTAACTGGGACTGGAGTTACACTTTTAGAGTTAAAGAATAGTAAACTGGACAAAATATATGAAACATTTTTTTGAAGTACTGAACATCAGGCAGCACAGGACTGTGCTCGGCAAGAGAAGAGAAGGAGCCAGAATGAGTCCTGCTTTATTCCCAGATTCTCCGTGACAGCAGTAGAGAGGAATCCCAGAGACAGCAGACATTGTCATTGCACTGAGGAACCAGATAAAAATCAAAAAAGGTTAAGCAGCTGGAATGTGTAGTAGAAGAGAACGTTTACAGAAAAAGGAACCAAGAATCAGCCTAAGGATTCTCCCAAGTCCCTAAGCCAAATGTACATAGGATGAAATTCTAAGGAGCTCAGCAAAGGACTCTACCAGGGAGTTGGAAGAAGAACATTTCCCTGGCATCACATGACAGGAAGACACGTTAGCTCTGACCAGCCAGAGAAGGGAATCCCCTCTGTACCTCCAGGATATTCAGTAAAGACCACTGGAGGTTCATGCCCTAGTGACAGTGCTCATTTAGCTCCAAATTACAGATGGCTCTAGAATAACTCAACAAAGTTTAAAGAAAACATTTAAAACAACAACAGAAAAATACTCATCCTGAAGTTACTGAACTGCCTGCCACAACATTGTTCAAAGGTAGCCAATCAAATCTAGATATTCAATAGCATAACACCAAAATACCCCCCCCCAAAAAAACTCTGACATGCAAAGAAGCCGTAAGATATATATAATTAAGACATATATTAACAGGATAAAAATAAGTCATTTATAAATGACAGAAAAGAAGGAAATTTCAAGGTCCTTAAAGTAAATATATTTTATAAATACATATAAATAAATACATATATATGTCAAGGTACTTAAATGAAAATTGAACATAGGAGAAAAATAGAAGCTATAAAGTAAAAAATGTGACATGTATACATGAAAAATAAATATTTGAAATAAAAATTCCATGAGATAGAATGAGTAATCGATTTTACCCTAACATCAGAAAATTTATAGAACAAAATAGAAGCTTTACAAACTAAAGGACAAAGGGTAAACTAAAATAAGAAAGCCAGAAACTCACAGATACGTCAGACAATATGCAGCAGTGTAACATACATGTAATCAATATCTCAAAAAGGATGGATGGGGGAATTATAGGTGAATAAAGAATGGTACACTCATTCCTGAGGGCACCGAGGAGGGAGGATAGCTTTAGATTCCTAAGGGAGGGTATTATCCATTCATGAAGGTCCAACCCCCATGAACAAACACCTCCCAGTGAGCCCCACCTGCAACATTGGGGATCAAATTTTAACATGAGATTGGAAGGGGCAAGCATTCAAACCATAGCAAGAGTTAAATTTCCTTTTTTAAAAAAAATCACTGATATGATTCAATTTCGCCATAGATAAAAGCTAGTATTTCAGCCTACCGTTGAGTGTACTTATAGCTCACCAAAAGGGCACTCTGTCTCGGGAATACAGATTTGCCTAGAGGTATCCTATTGCAGTCAAAGAAAGAGCAATGAGGGATGGAAAAGGTTAGTGATGGAGACACCAGCGCTGCATTTTGCAACAAACAATGTAAAAACTTTACGGATTGGTTCTGCTAACTTACTACAGTTTACATGCCTCTCAGGTGGGAGAATTGTTGCGTTTTTTCTTAAGATAGAAAAGCAATTCAGATAATCTGAAATCTCCACAAGAAGGATAAGAAGCACAGCAGAAACTATTCTAGGCAGGAAGTCAATCCTTTCAACTGTCTGTGCTCCATAGAAACAATTGTCTGCACTGGGAGTCATATGAGGTACAGACCACAGCCAGACCTCTGATCCTCTCATTAGTGATTTCAGAAGAAATTACCAGTCAACTGAGTAATTCACTGAGTAAAGTAAACATTTGGACTGAAAGAGGTTAGACGGATAACTATTTGTATCACCATATTCATGAAGCTGGAATATGTTCCATTACTCGTATGACATCCGAATGGAAGATGTTGAAAGGTCTCTCATCTTGTAAGATGGATATGAAAGAACATTTTCTGAGAAATGAAATTATTAACACACCTGCGAGGTGGATGGAAGAGAAAAAAAAGAATAATCAGCTTGAGTTCTTCTCCTTGATAAGACAACTCACTAAAAACATAAAGAGAAAAATACAAGTTTAAAATAATTAACCAGAAGAAGACGACTCTAGAGATTTTAAATTGCTGATAAGATTTTAATTTGCTCCAAGTTGAAAATAATTATATTGCTTGTGTTTTAAGGCACATAATGAGCAATTATATCACACATGATAGTTTCAGCAGTAAAATATGATCCGTTAACAGCTGGAACTCATAGAAGCATAGCACAATATGAAGATGGAATTTGCTAAAATAAACCATCTGCTGAAAACTAATATTCTGCAAATTTAAAAATAAAGTTTAAATGTTATTTGTCTTATTTAATAGGTCTGTGAAAAAAATGCGATATTTGAAAAGTAGGTGCTACCTTAATTAGTTCTTTATGTTAGACGGCTGGTTACAGTAATGCACAGTAAGGTGCTACATAGATATATTGCTAATTTTCTGCATAAACTATGTATTTTGCTTAAATTATTTGAAATTTTATAGTTAAAGTAACAAATGTATACTTAAATGTTTTGACACAAATTGCAAATATACCTTTAAAAAGCATCTTACACTCTAAATATTATTTGTCACCTATATAGTTGTCTTTTCTCTATAGGAAAGTTTCAATTTTTCCCTTGAAGCTTTAATTATTTGAGTCTATAAAATAAACTGATAATGTACAAATTAACAGGAAAAAAGGTTTACAGATATGTGCACAAGTATGCACTTGGAGTTTACATAATATATATAATATATCTATACAAATATTTGTATATTATAAAGAGATATACAAATATATACTATATATATAAAAACTCCAGGAAAGGCAAGGTAGTCAACACGCCTATACTGTCTTGAGGTTACAGAAAACACAGAGCTGTAGGTTGGTAAATCAGGCTTTGCGGAAGACAGGTGACGACAAGGAAGAAAGAGGAGCCTGGCAGCAGAGGTGGTCTTGTTACATGGATGAAACCTCACAGGGAGCAGCCCTCCTCTTGGGAAGTATAGATAGGAAATGGTTTTTAGAAATGTAAACGTGCCAGACTCAGTTAATCTTTCCTAAACCCAGACAAGGGAGTATCTCAGGGAAAGCCTGTCTATATCAATGCAGATTTCCTCTACAAATACAAATCTCCCCAACAAACACAGCTTTTCAGCTATTTTTGTAGAAGAAGCTATCTCCAGTCTTCCGAGTAGCCATCTTGAAATATGTCAAAAAGCTGGCCAGGCGCACGCCTGTAATCCCAACACTTTGGGAGGCTGAAGTGGGTAGATCGCCAGAAGTCAGGAGTTGGAGACCAGCCTGACCTACATGGTGAAACCCCGTCTCTACTAAATGCAAAAAATTAGCCGAGTGTGGTGGTGCATGCCTGTAATCTCAGCTACTTGGGAGGCTGAGCTAGGAGAATTACTTGACCCTGGGAGGCTGAGGTTGCAGTGAGCCAAGATTGTGCCATTGCACTCTAGCCTGGGCAATAAAAGCAAAACTCCATCTCAAAAAAAATGCATTTTTGGGTAATATTTTGAGTATCTTTACCTCCATATGTACAATAAATAATATTGTGATTTTTAATCTTTGCTCTTCTGTGGAAAAAAACACAGTTGTGATTTCTAGTGTAGCTGAACATCGTTTATTTGACAATATTGCAGTTGTGTGTGGGTGTGCGCCTGTGTAGCTACTCTTTAATTTTGTTCTCACATAATGATTAGATATTAACAATTAATTCAGTAAAATGTATGTTTCGCAATATTTCTCCATGTTATTATGCTTTAAATTAGTTTAATCATGCCCCTATGATGTGTACATTTTAATCTTTGACTATAGGTCTCAATCTTGCTTTGGATCCTGTATTTCAATTTATGCTAATAAAGTCCTACAGCTAAAAAAGATTATATAAACTTAGCTACATTTTACTAGTATTCTGGTGTCATTTTAAATTATGTAATGAAATCAAATTTTAATTTGGATTATTGTTATCTGAGTTAAGGATCTAAATTTTTAATTTTCTTATAAATATTACATAATTATTTCTGAACCATATATTGACTAATCTGCCCTTTATATGATGTGCTTTATAAGAGCTTGGGATAGTTTCATTTGCAAAGATGAATGCTTGAGAAATAGATATTTAATCATAACATTTCAAAATCTACTGGATAACCTAGAATTGAAAAATAGCCTATAGGTTGAAAAACTCCTGTAGTGAAGAAAGAAAATAACTAATATACAGTGACAGTATAAATATTGTAAGTATTTATTTTATTAACGCCCTGAAATTTGATAATACAAACATGTAATATCTACATATCATCCATATATCAGGTCATAAAAAATCAATACATTCTTCAAAAATTTAGCATAACAGAAAATGCACTCTCTCTCCTTGATGGAATTAAGTTACAAATAAAAGTAAAAATAAGTAGATAAGTAGATGGAAGTAGATGTTTAAAAACAAAGAAAAATATTTGTTTTGGATAACATAAAATCTCAATTGACAATTCCAATATTTCCAGAACTTTGCCTGTCAACTGGTAGAGAGTTTTCCCCAGGAGACATTTGTCAATGTCTAGGGTTATTGTGGGCATGTCAAGACTGGTGGAGGTGTGAAATTTAGAGGTCAAATGAAACACCTAGCATTGCTAGGGCAGCCTCCCACAACAAAGAATCCTCTGGTCCTAAAGGTAAGTAGCACCAAGGTTCAGAAACCATAATCTAGACAGGAAACACTACGTAGCTATTCCAAGTGCTCAGGAAAACACATCAGTGCCCTCGAGGGGAAAAGTGTAAACATTTTAATTGCTGTATATGGTGACACAAATCCATGTTGTTAATCTAAGTGGAAGGGGCTGAAGCACAAAACGTAATTCAAAGAGTTTACTTGAGCCACAATGAGGACAGCTGCCTGGAAGAAACAGACCCAAGTATCCTTGGATATGAACTCCCTTTGGAGCTTTGCAACAAGCAGTTTCTTAAAGGCAAAAAGGGGTCCAGAAGTGGGATGATGCAAAGAGATTTGTCACAAATTCCCATTGGCTTATGGAAATAACATTTATCAGTGACTGGCTATACACTGTTACACTATTATCGGGTGTGGATTATAGTGTCTGGTGTGGCGTTATTGGTTAATTTATAGCTATAACTACTATGGCAACAGCAAGCAGCCTAGGTGAACATACAGCTCAAAGAGGAGAAGGACAGAACTGCTGTCTCATTTGAATATCTCTCTGGGCCTGATTATTTAAAGGGACTTGCATTTCTCACATGAAAGTTATTTTCTTTTCTCAATGTCCATAAATGAGAATAAATAGACGTAAAATAGATCTTTTCAAGGATGAAGTAAATGGAATGAAAAACAAAACCCAAGCTGACCAGAAATCATAGAGGGAAGAAAAGGATATAAATATATGGATTTTTCAAAGTGATTTTAAGCTATTAGGAATCAGTTAAATGTTGGGAGATTTTGTCTGAGAATGAGCTAAAGGAGAATGTCCCTTTTGCCTAATGAATTTTCCCTGAAAATCACTAATAGGAGGCAGATAAATAGTAGAAAAGGCATACAGGTTTCTGCAATGTGTGTACACTGGAGCCCTTAGAACGAAGACCCAGACACACGATGCGTGCAGAAGCTTATCTACCACATGAAGTGTACAAAAAGAATGGGGTCTTGGATCACAGGGAAAAGAAAGAAAAAGGTTATGTGAGAAAACGACCCTGGCTAGCAACAGTGGACTTATTACCTAGGTGGAACTTCACTGGGAGCAGTCCTCAGAGAGAATAGACAGAAAATGTTTCTTTCAGACCTTTGGAGACCTGAGACTCTCAGTTAAACTTTCCTAGATCCAGACAAGGGGGCAGACCTCAGAGAAAGCCTGGCTGCATCAAGGCATATTCTCTACCGATGCAAATCTCCCCAAGACAGCTTTGCAGCTAACTTTGCATTTCCAGCCCTTCTCAATAGCCATTTTGAAATATATCAAGGAAATATATTTAGGGGTAAAATATATTAGTTTCCCTCATACAGCTATAAAACATACAGGAATAATTTTTGTCAATGTCTACTACAAATCCAATATAACAATAATTATACAACCCACCAGATATTGAAGAAAAAATATGTAGAGTTCCTCAATTACAAATGTTGATACTAAAATGCCAAATAAAATAAAAATAATATCCAACAATATTTGAAACAGTAAGACAAGAAACTGGCAAAAAAAAAAAATAAAACTAATATGCACCTTGGGGATGAAAGTGTGTTTCCAAATTTGGTAATCCAATAATATTAATAATCATATTGATTAGCCCAAATTAAAAATAAATAGGGGATTCTCAGTACATGCTAAAGTATATTTGTTAAAAGGCAATATTCATGTCTTTAAAGATTTTAAATGCTATAAAGAGTCTGATATTCTATATGCAAACATGTGTATGTCCATTAGAAGAGAGGCCTGATTTTCATATGTCACTACAAAGAGATAGAGAAGTGGATAGATTAATTAGCATATGCATAGAGAGAGCATAACATAGAAATTTACTATCATATTAAAGGAATTTTAATTCAACAATAAAATAATTCAAAGGTAAAATTTTAAATATTTTTAACAGGTACATTATTATTAGATAATATTTATACTAATTGTGAAAATATTCAATGCTAAAATAAGATACAATGTCTAAACATCAGTATTAAAACTAGTATAACATTTGCTTGTTTATACAAGGAAAATTCAAGCTCGACCTAAAATTATATGGGAAATAAAAGAAAAATTTTAAGGGAGCTCTTTAATAACATAATAATATGTATATATACACACACACATATAACATGTATATATGTTATATGGGATAGATATAGATTTAACATGTTATATCTATATTTGTATCTATAACTACAGCTGTATGTATCTACATTTCTATATATTTACTCAGTGATATAAATATAGACTGGAATAAATATAAAGACACATATGATTCTTGGGTAAAAAAGATTTAGTATCATAAAGACAAATTCTTTCCAAATTCACTTATGAATTCACAACAATGTACAGTTTCATTAGTATAATTTAAAATTTTTAAATAAATTCCAAGATTCATTTAAAGGAATATACATGTATACAAGCAGTCAAGAAAGAAGCAAGAGTGCACTAAACTAACTTGCTATTAAAATACCTTTTTAAACTTAGTCACTAAAACTGAGCAGTACTGATTTGGAGTACTGGAATTTAGGTATATGGGATCTCAAAAGCACAGAGCTCAAAGGAGACCCCTGTATGCACCAGAGCTTAAGATGTGCTTTGGAAGGCATTACAAAACCACGGGCAAAGTTCCTTTAGTGTCTTAGTCTTACCAGGTTTGAAAAGCCAGAGAAAAGACTCAAGAACACCATATAAGAGCAAAACAAAAGGACAGGGAAATAACGTGAAGATACTGAAACATTTTACATAAAGTTGTATAAAACATCCTTTAAAGAAAATATTAAGTTTAGGATATACATCAAAATCAGCAGAGCCACTATATAAATAAATAGGCATTGTAAAATAACAAGAGAAAATTTAAATGGATTTCTAAAAAATATTGACACCTATGATTTTCAAAATATGTTTAAGGAATCCCGTATTTCACAGGGCAGCCTTTCACAACACAGATACGTTAGGACATAAAGGTCCTTCTGTTTTTAATTTACTAGTGTTTATAGGGTTACAAATGTCTTCTACCCTTGTCTTTTGTCTGATGGTGCAAAAAATTTTCATAAGCATGTACTTCTGAATGCCTGATGGATTGACATATATAATAAGCTGCTAGTATTAAAATATGTGACATAAAACGCATCCAATCTTCTCACTGTTTACATAAATTCTAGGTTTCTCCTATTTACCTCAAGCACGTATGTAGCGAATTCGTACCTTTTAATATTGCCATGGCATTCACATTGAACATAAGTTGAACTCTCTCATATGGTAGCTGGGTTCGGATTCCCTTGACAATTTCCAGTTCTAACCCTCACAGTTCCTCAGTGTGGCTGGCCCAGATATTGACCCTACACAGTTGCCTCCTCCTGGTGACTACCAGCTATGGAAGCGTTGGATACAACCTACCTGACTCACCCCACAGACCTCACAGTGCACATGGACAGCCCCCACACGCCAGAGTGACCTGCTCGATTGCAGCAGGAGTCAAGAAGTGTGCCTGCTGGCACTCACCCCACCGACTAGTGCCCCGTGGAAAACTTATTTGGATAATGTTCTGGGCCCAATAAAGGCTGGAGTCCCACAGACCCCTTTTCTCTCTCCTGCTCCCCACTCATCTTCCCCATTTTGTTCAGCCCTATGAGGTGTGCTACTGTATTAGTCCATTTTCACACCGCCGGTAAAGACATGCCCAAGACTGGGTAATTTCCAGAAGAAAGAGGTTTAATAGACGCACAGTTCCACATGGCTGGGTAGGCCTCACAATCATGGCACAAGCTGAAAGGCACATCTCACCTGGCAGCAGACAAGACAAGAGAGCTTGTGCAGGAAACTCGCCTTTATAAAAACATCAGATCTTGTGAGACTTATTCACTATCAGAAGAACAGCATGGGAAAGACCTGCCCTCGTGATTCAATTACCTCCCAGCTGTTCCCTCCCACAACATGTGGGAATTCAAGATGAGATTTGGCTGGGGACACAGCTAAACCCTCTTCTCAGCTACCCTCTTCTCTCTGGATCTGTGAGTAATAAACCTACTTCTGTGATTTCCCATGTTTGGTTCTG
The DNA here is from genome assembly GCF_000001405.40 of Homo sapiens. Taxonomy (NCBI): domain Eukaryota; kingdom Metazoa; phylum Chordata; class Mammalia; order Primates; family Hominidae; genus Homo; species Homo sapiens. The sequence goes on along the minus strand of NT_187383.1, from coordinate 1,089,401 downwards.
TGGCCTCCATGTGTCTGAGCTGACCTACACTGGAACCTAACTCTCTTCCTGGCCAGGGTCTCTGAGAGTGGCTCTTGTCAGAAATACACAGGACACAGGTCAGGCAACAGTCACCAGGCATCTCCTAGTCTCAACAGATGTTCTGTGAGAGGGAGGCCTGGTCGTGGGATGCACACCTGGCCACTGCTGGGGTAAGGAAGTGTCCTGTGAAAGGCACATGTTAAGCATCCACAACCCCCTGACCAGAACCCCAGAAAGGCAGGGCTGCAATTGTCAGTCACTCTCCAGAGACAAACCTCAAGCCCTAACTGGAGGAAAAGAAAACAATGTAAAAAGTTGAATTTATCTTACTATTTCAATGATCCAGTAAAGACATTCTATGCCTGTACACCACATATTTTCTTCAATTGTGGATTTATTTTAGATAGAATTTTAGGTCTGGCTTTCACTTTAGCCTGGTCCCTACCTCAAGCATAAGGTAAAGTTTTTCCATGCGTTCTTTTCTGGTACTACTACCTGCCAGTGTGGGGTCATGTCCTAGTCTATCTTGAGGGAATCCCCCTGTTCATTATTGTCAGAGTGAGACTGTTAAGTCTTGATTTCCCTGGACAACTTCACTGCATGACTTTTAATATGATTTTTAATATACCCTTTACTGGACAATAAATTATATTTATTACGGAATTATGGGTGATTTCCTTCAATCTGCATCATATCAAGTTGAGGTTCATATTGATGAAAAGTAAAGCATACGTTGAAAATATCAGTAAGGATGTTTTCCCCTCCTTTTGTGCTTGTGATACAAGCACATTTTAATGCAATTGTGGACTCATGCTTTGATCATTCCTATGATGAAAATAACAATTTTAGATAAAGTATCTGAGTTTTATGAGGCCTTTAGTATGTGATGTGATAGAATATCAGAAGACCATACTTTTTTCTAGGTTTCTGTGCAATTGTGTCATTATTTCATCTTTACTCCTACCAGAGTAATTTTGCAAAATGGATATCTTGTCATTCTTCCTGTTGTTATCAGTAAATAAGTGAAATGAAAAGCTAGATTATATAATTTATCTAGAAAAAGAAAGTGGAATTGAATCTATATTCATTAATGAGACTAACCCGTCAATTACACAGATAGGCATTTTACATTTTGAAGATCATATGGACCCATTGTCAGAAATATTATTATTTATGTCTATATGGACATCACCTGGGCATATTTACATAGAAATCAATGAGAGCTGATTTTTATTTTTATTATATATATTTTTTGAGATAGGGTCTTGCTTCATTGCCCAGGCTGGAGTGCAGTGTTGCAATCACTACTCACTGCAGCCTCAGCCTCCCAAGCTCTAGCAATCCTTCCACCTTGGCCTCCCAAATAGCTAGGACAACAGGTGAACATCACCATGCCCACTTTTTTTTTTTATTATACTTTAAGTTTTAGGGTACATGTGCACATTGTGCAGGTTAGTTACATATGTAAACATGTGCCATGCTGGTGCGCTGCACCCACTAACTCGTCGTCTAGCATTAGGTATATCTCCCAATGCTATCCCTCCACCCTCTCCCACCCCACAACAGTCCCCAGAGTGTGATATTCCCCTTCCTGTGTCCATGTGATCTCATTGTTCAATTCCCACCTATGAGTGAGAATATGCGGTGTTTGGTTTTTTGTTCTTGTGATAGTTTACTGAGAATGATGATTTTCAATTTCATCCATGTCCCTACAAAGGACATGAACTCATCGTTTTTTATGGATGCATAGTATTCCATGGTGTATATGTGCCACATTTTCTTAATCCAGTCTATCATTGCTGGACATTTGGGTTGGTTCCAAGTCTTTGCTATTGTGAATAATGCCGCAATAAACATACGTGTGCATGTGTCTTTATAGCAGCATGATTTATAGTCCTTTGGGTATATACCCAGTAATGGGATGGCTGGGTCAAATGGTATTTCTAGTTCTAGATCCCTGAGGAATCGCCACACTGACTTCCACAATGGTTGAGCTAGTTTACAGTCCCACCAACAGTGAGAAAAACAAGCAATGGGGAAAGGATTCCCTATTTAATAAGTGGTGCTGGGAAAACTGGCTAGCCATATGTAGAAAGCTGAAACTGGATCCCTTCCTTACAACTTATACAAAAATCAATTCAAGATGGATGAAAGACTTAAACGTTAGACCTAAAACCATAAAAACCCTAGAAGAAAACCTAGGCATTACCATTCAGGACATAGGCATGGGCAAGGACTTCATGTCTAAAACACCAAAAGCAATGGCAACAAAAGACAAAATTGACAAATGGGATCTAATTAAACTAAAGAGCTTCTGCACAGCAAAAGAAACTACCATCAGAGAGAACAGGCAACCCACAAAGTGGGAGAAAATTTTCACAACCTACTCATGTGACAAAGGGCTAATACCCAGAATCTACAATGAACTCAAACAAATGTACAAGAAAAAAACAAACAACCCCATCAAAAAGTGGGCGAAGGACATGAACAAACACTTCTCAAAAGAAGACATTTATGCAGCCAAAAAACACATGAAAAAATGCTCATCATCACTGGCCATCAGAGAAATGCAAATCAAAACCACAATGAGATACCATCTCACACCAGTTAGAATGGCAATCATTAAAAAATCATGAAACAACAGGTGCTGGAGAGGATGTGGAGAAATAGGAACACTTTTTTTTTTTTAACTTTTGATAGAGACTGGATCTTGCTATGTTGCCCAGGTTGCTTGTGAACTCCTGGGCTCAAGGAATCCTCTCATTTCAGGCTCTTCAACTGCTGGTATTACAAGCATGAACCACCATATGGGCTGGAAGCTGATTTTTAAAATACTGAGATCATATAGATGACAGCATCTGAAAAACAGACAACACCAAGCTTTATGTTAAAAGGTGTGAGGGTATCAATATTGTTGTGGCTATTGGGGAGGAAACCATTAGTAAAACCAGTAAGTTAAAGCTCTTGCTTTAAACTTTGGCTTTAATTTAACAAATGTTCTATGGAGTGACAGTATGTATGCAACCATGCTATGCCCATTCACAGAGGCAGTAGAGGGAAGAATTTCTCAAAGACAACTGTTCTAAGACTCAAATTAAACCGTACTGCGTTTGAAAAGAGAAAGTCCAGGAATTACCAAATCTTTTAGATATCAGATACAAGAGAATGCCAGGTATGCGATGATAATCAGCAATGGTTGTTCACACAATACATCAAATCAGTATTTGAATTAGCTTTTGAATTACAAGGACAAATGGATCAAGTCTAGACTCTTTAGTAGATAAATCTTATTAGGCTGAGATGTGTTTTCCCCTGTTTTTCCACAAGGAGATTACAAATTGGCAAAGCTCAGCTGCTCTCATTTTATGCTCTCACCAAGCCAAAAGCTGAAGTTCATTAATCAGTGTGTCTAAGGGTTCACTGGTTATATACCATTTTGTAGTTTCAGCTATCTTTCCAACTTCCTAAATCATCACCTTCATTTGATCTTGTTTTTTTCCACTATCACTTCTTTATTGACCATATAAAGAATGTAAGTAAGTTCTTATTTTGTTATTGTTCATTTTAGTCTAATTTCATCAAAAGATCACAATCTTTTAATTTCATTTTAATTTCAAAGATTAAATGAAACCTACATAGAAATGAGTGTAAGATTTGCATTTGCATTATTTTGGCATCAATTTGCTCTCCTCCCTCATGCACATAGAGATCATTTCCATGTACGTGATTTCAAACATCCAAGTGCTGTATTAAAAGCAGTTGTAACTTATGGTTCTCATTTTCATGATACAATTACAATATAAACTTCCTCTTGCTGCTGTAACCAATTACCACAAACGTCATGTCTTACAATAAAGTGACCGTTAGTCCAACAGTTCTGTAGTACAGAAGCCTTAAATGAAACTCACAGGGCTAACATCAAGTTTTGGGTAGGGCTGCAGTCTTTCTGAGGGCTATGTGGCATAATCTATTACTTGATATTTTTCAGCATCCAGAGGCCACCTTTATTCTTTGGAACATGACCTCATTCTTATATCCTATTTTTCTTTTTTTTTTTTTTTTTTTTGAGATGGAGTCTCCTTCTGTCACCCAGGCTGGAGTGCAGTGGCACGATCTCAGCTCACTGCAACCTCTGCCTCCCGGGTTCAAATGATTCTTCTGCCTCTGCTTCCTGAGTAGCTTGGACTACAGACACTTGCCACCACACCCAGTTAATATTTTGTATTTTTAGTAGGCATGGGGTTTCACCATGTTAGCCAGGATGGTCTCGATCTCCTGCCCTCGTGATAAACCCACCCCAGCCTCCCAAAGTGCTGGGATTAGGCGTGAGCCACCGCGCTGGGTCCTCATTCTTGTATCTTAAAAGTCAGTAATGTTGAGTAATTTCTCATGCCACCACCTCCAAGGTTGCCTTTCTTCTGCCTTCTTCTTTCATTTAAAAGGAAGTTTGTGATTTCATTGATCCCACCCATTTAAGACAATCTCTCTATCATTTTTCTGCAACCTTAATTTCACTTGAAATCTAATTTCACACTGCCGTGCCACCTAACATAATTGTATGTTAGACTCTGGGAATTAGGACATGAAAATTTTTGGGAGGCCATTCTTTGGTCTACAGCAGAAATAATTTATTTACCTGCAGATTAAAGCGTTCTATATTTTTCTCTCTCCCTTTCTAATTTTTTTAAAATAATATGAATTGCAGTAAAGAGAAAGAAAGAAAAGAAAACAAAGAAAGAAAAAGAAGGAAGGAAAGAAGGAAGGAAGGAAATAAAGAAAGAAAGAAGAAAAGAAGGAGGAAATGAGGGAAGGAAGGGAGGGAGGGAGGAAGGGAGAAAGGCAGGAAGGGAGAAAACAGAAAGCATGAACACAAGAAAGAAAGAAGGAAAGAAAGAAAAAGAAAGAGAGAGAGAAAGAAAGAAAGGAGAAAGGGAGGAAGGAAAGGAGGAAGAGAGAATGGTAAAAGGGAGGAAGGCAAAGAAACAAAGAAAATAAACAGGCAAAGGAAGGAAAGAAAAAGAGGAAAGGAAGGGAGGGAGGAAGGAAGAAATGGAGGGCGGGAGGAGGGAACAAAAAAGGAAAGAAAGCAAGAACGTGAGAAAGAAAGAAAGAATATGAGAAAAGAAGGAAGAAAAGGGAGGGAGAAAGGAAGGGAGGGATTAGGGAAGGAAGAATAAGGGAAAGACACAAAGAAGGAAAGAAGGAAGGAAGGAGAAAAAAAGAAAGAAAAAGAAAGGAAAAGAAAAAAGAAAAGAAAAGGAAGAGGAAAAGAAGAAAGGAAGGAGGAAGGCAAGGGAAGGGAAGAGAAGAGAAAGGAAGATGGAAAGAAAGAAGGAAGAACGCAAATATTAGAAATTCTGGGTTTGTTAGAGAATATGCCATACTGTTTTTTTTTTCACTTGAAAGGAAAGAGTATCTGCCATTGAAGATTGGATGTCTTGTTGGTGATATTGTTGTTCTTATCTTCCACATGATTACTGAGTTAGTGCCTAGTCTTTCCATTTCTAAGACAAAAGTGTTGATGTCGGCAAATATAATTTTGGATTTTTCCAGTTCACCTTTGATTTCTTTCCTGTTTTACCTCATGTATTTGGAGGTTCTGTTGTGAGCTGCATACCCTAATTAGTAGGATGATTACATCTTCTTGAGAATTGATTATTCTATTATCTATTATCTCTCATCTCTGATACTATTTCTTGTTCCGAACTCTGTTGTGTCTAATATCAATGTAGTCCTTCCACAGCCTTATTTTAGTGTTTCCATGATATGGCTTTCTCCATATCTTGATGATAACCTCTTTATATCTCTATATATTTGGAGCAAGATATAAAATTTAGACTTGATTTTTTAAAGATTTTTCAAGATGCGATTCTTATTTCTTTTTGTTCTATTTGACATTCTCTGAGTTTCCTATATTTGAAGTTTGATTTTCTGTCACTTCTTTTAGAATATTTTTGGCAGTTATTTTGAAAAATATTTCTTTTGCTCCATTATTTTTCCCTCTTTTCTTTTTGGGATTTCAATCATAACTAGAGTAGGTAATTTCATCTCAGTCTTATGCAGGTACTTTTTCTCAGGGTCTCAGGAATGTAGCCTTCTCACACTTCCGTTCTTTTCCTGGCTGTGTTGGTGAGCTCAGTGATATTCCTCCTTCACCTTCAAGAGCAGTTTTGTTTTGTTTTTCCTGTTTTCATACTCCCAGCATCAGGAGGATCCTAAGTGTGGCAGTTTTTGTTGCCTTCCCCTACATATTAAGTGGAATATCTTGCTCTATTAGGACTCTTATAACAAAATAACATAAACCGGGTGACTAAAAAACAACAGATATTTCTTTTTTCACATTTCTTGAGGCTGTAAGATCTCGGGTCAAGATGCTCACAAATTCAGTGTTGATGAGAGCCCATTTCATGGTTCATAGGTGGTGCCTGCTTTCTATGTCCTCACATAGTGGAAGGCACACAACAACTCCATTGAGCTTCTTTTATAAAGGCACTAATCCCATTCATAAGGGCTCGGCCCCCAAGACCTGGTCACCTCCCAAGTGTTCTGCTCTCCCTGATCTGTGTCATATACAGACTCTCTTGGATTCCTTACCAGTTGCTTGAGAGATCGCAGTGGGTTTGTGGGGAAAAAGTTTTCAAGATGATGGATCTTTCCCAACTTCTGCAGCTGTCAGCCGTCTCCCAATCTCACCAGCCCCACTTTGTCTTTAGGAATTTATTGATTATTCCAGCTTTACTTGTCATGGTGGTGCCTATTTGCGTCTGTTCTATGTAAGTGCATCCGTCCTCTTTCGCCTTGCAGGTGCTTGTTTTCCCTCACATTTTGACTCAGTTCTTGGCAACCTCGTTGCTATAAAAATAAAGTCATGACTTTGAAGTTAGTTTGGGTCTTTCATTGTTGTCAGGTTTGGAACCCTATTCCATCCCAGATCTCCAAAACCCAGACTTTTTGGGGGGTTGAAATTTTAGGGTTTCTCTTTGAATTGTAGTTTTATCTTCTTTCAGTTACCATTTGCATTTTCATAATGATTAATGAGACTAAGCTTTTTTGTGTAGTTGACTGTACCTTTGGATTTTTTCCCCAAATACCTTTTTATTTCTTCTTTTCTTTATGGTTTTAGAAAAGGTAGTTTACATAATTGCAGCTTGATTTTTTACTCAGTTAATGGCATGCTTAATGGAGAGAAAAAATATTAAATATATTTCCCTTTTTAATTACTGTGCTTTTTTCTTTTTTAAGGAAATGTTTCATTATGTTAAATTTCAGTGTTATTCTACTTAGCTATTCCTTAAATATTATAGTATTTAGGATTTCACATGTAAATTTGTAACATATCTTGAGTTTATTATGTATAGAGTAAGGCTATTTTCTCTTTTTTGTTTTTTAAGGTAAAAATCACATAATATAAAATTAACAACCACCATTTTAAAGCATACAATGCACTTGCTTTTAGCATATTCACAATGTTCCAGGGCAATTTCATCATGTCCCTTCCAAAAACCCATTATACATAAAGTTGTTACACCCTAATCTGCTTCCCTGAGCCCTAATGACCACTAATCTGATTTATATCCCAATTGATTTGCCAATTCCTAATGTTTCATGTGAATAAAATCAAGTAATATTTGTCCTTTTGTGCACTTAACAGAATGCTTTCAAATTTCACCAATATTATACCATATATAAGTACTTCATTCTTTGTTATAGCTGAAAATTGGGTGTCCATTTATGAGTCAACAAGCATATGGATTGTTTCCACTTTTTGACTGTATGAATATTACTGCTGTAAATATTCATGCACATGTTTATTTTTTGAGCACCTATGTTTTGTAAGATTAACAGCTGACTTAAGAGAAACAATGGAAGCAAGAGGCAGTAGAATAATATATTCAAAAGATGCAAAGGAAAAAAAACTCTCAGCCACGAATTCCTTATCCAGCAATTATTTTTCAAAAATGAAGATAACACAAAGACTTACCCAGATAAACAGAAATATTAACTGAAGTTGTTGCTGGCAGACCTACTATATAAAAAAATACTCTAAAATAAATTCCTAAGGCTAAAAGCAAGTTACAGAAGACAGTCACTTGAATCCACATTTTTTAAAAAGCACTGGTATAGGTAATATTGACATTATAAAAGACAGTAAAAATGCATTTTTTCTCTTTATCATAAATTGTTTATTAAATAACGTGTGTATAATGGCCGGGCACGATGGCTCACACCTGTAATCTCAGCACTTTGGGAGGCCAAGGCGGGCGTATTACAAGGCCAGGAGATCGAGACCATCCTGGCTAAGATGGTGAAACCCCGTTTGTACTAAAAATACAAAAAAATGAGCCGGCCGTGATGGCAGGCGCCTGTAGTCCCAGCTACTCGGGAGGCTGAAGCAGAAAAATGGCATGAAGCCGGGAGATGGAGCTTGCAGTGAGCAGAGATTGTGCCAGTGCACTCCAGCCTGGGTGACAGAGGGAGACTCCGTCTCAATGATAATAATAATAATATGTGCAGAATGTATTGCTGAGTATTTGACATGTAGAAATGGAACACGTCTATAACATATTTTCCAGTAACATCAAAAAGGAGGTAGTTGGAAGAAAAATGTATTGCGATAAGGTAATAACTCTAGATGGTAAAGTAATAATTACTAAAATGTATTGTTGGCTTTGTAACTTTAATAGATGTAATGTGTAAAGTGATAATACTTTAAAATGGAGGAAACAAAAGAGATTTATATAAGAATGTTGTTTCTATGTATTACTAAAAGTTTACTAGTGTAGATTGGAAGATGGTTTGAATAATTAATTTTCCATATACATATAGGGTAAACTTACAACAACAAAAATTCTCAAAAATATATAATAAAATAATTCATTAGTAATCTAAAGTTCCCTATTTTAGAAAATATTCTTTCATTGCAAAATAAAGCGATAAAGAAAAATATTTGAGAAATATATAAAACAAACGGTAAAATGGCAGACATAAATAGAATTATACCAATTATAATCTTAAATGTGAGCAGATTAAAATCCATTCCAGAAGCAGAGATTGTCAGACTGGATTAAAACAAGTGATCCCAATATACGCTGAGATGCAAGGATACTAATGGATTGAAAGTAAAAAGATGACAAAAAATATCATGCAAAGAGCAATCATAAGAACACTGAAATCATTATACTCATAACACACAATATAGACTATTAAAAATATGAATAGGATTTTAAAAGTTTATATTCTAGTGAAAAGGGGGACAACGCTTTAGGAAGACATAGCTATTACAATCATGTATGCACAGATAGGAGCTAAATTGTTTCCTCTATATAGATGCTGAAATTCTAACCACTGAATATGACCTCATTAGGAAATAGGTTCTTTGCAGCTGATCAAGTTAAGATACAATCAGATGAGCCTGAATTCAATATGACTGATGTCCTTGTGAAAAGAAGAAATTTGAGTAGAGGGAGACATACACACAGGGAGAGTACCATGTGATTATGAGGACAGAGATTAGCCAAGGAATGCCAAAGACTGCCACTAAACCACCAGAAGTGAGAAACAAGGCACAGAGCAGGCTTCCTCTCATAGCCCTTGAAGGGACCATCCCTGCTGACACCTCAATCTCAGACTTTTAGCTCCCAGGACTATAAGATTATAAGACTCTAAATGTATGTTGTTCAAGGCACCCAGTTTGTGTTACTTGGTTATGGCAGCCCTAGAAAACTAATACATGAACTAATAACAAAGCATAATAACATGAAGCAAAAATTGACAAAAGAGGAGCATCAGCAAAATGGCAGTGGAGAAAGCTGCAATCTTTCATTTCCCCACAGAAACATCACACAACTAAGAGAAACTGTCCGAATAAACTTCGCCAAAACTCTGGAAAATGGTCAAAAGATTACAACATCCAAGTGAAAGCAGACTCAAGAAAAAGACAACTGGAAAACTTTACGACATTTTTAACTTGCCTTTGCCCCAGCAAATTGGCAGTTCTGAAGTGTCAGAAGCCCACGTTCCCAGTGAGGAAGCCTGGTCCATGGTCCAAAGGAACAAGAGAAGATCTTAACCACAAATTATTATGTGTCTGTTCTGACTGGTCTGGGGGATACCTAAAGGACTCATGAAAGGCTTTTTTTTTTCTGTGTTGCTAGAATACAGAACATATAAGGAATGGACATTATTAAGAAACTCTGCAAGGAGACCTAACAAACCACAGATGCTTAGGGCAAAAATTAAAGTTTACACATATAGTAGATCACCTTCAGCACAGCAAGAAAAGTTGGAGAAGAGTATTTCAAAAACTAAGACATACAAAATCATTCACATACATGGGAGAGTCTACAAAGTCACATGTATTCATAGGTTAAGCCACATGCTGACAAATGTCATAAGAAGACACTACACTTTTACCTTGGCCGATCCCTCCCCTCAGTGCAAGCTCTGTGCAAGAGTGAACTTGAACTTCACTCAGTGCAAGAGTGAACACACACTTTGTGCCGGCTTTAAAGAACCCAGCACAAAGCCAGTCTGCATGGCCTAGAGACATATTTTGCTGGACAATGATTACTTGTTTTTCTTTTTGTTTTTCTTGTATTTGCCTGTTTGATTGGTTCCTGACATACCAGAAAATCACTGTGAAAACATTAGCTTAACATTTGTTAAGGAAACAAAAAGACTTCGGTGACCACACCTTATAAACCAAACAGTTTTGTAAATCACTTTGGAAAATTTCACTAAAAAAAAAAAAATCCTTCACAATATAATAAGTAAAGAAAATTTAAAACCACAAAACATTACTGTGTTTGTAGGGGGGGGTTCTGATTTACAGAGTAACCACATAGTAATTATAATTATTAGAATGTCCAGTTTTCAAAAACGTTACAAGGCATACAAAGAATGGGAAAGTGTGGCTCATTCAAAGGACCAAAATAAATTGACAGAAAATATCCCTAAGGAAACCCAGACATCAAACTTACCAGACAAAGACTTTAAAACAACTCTCTTCATTATACTCAAATGTCAAAAGGAAAACATAAAGAAATAAAGGAATCAGAAAAAATATTAAAAAGTAGGAATATCAGCAAAGAGATAACAGAAATTCTGGAGTGGAAAACTACAATGATAAAAATTTAAAAATCACCAGAGGGATTTAAGAGTATATTTGCACACACAGAAGAAGCCATGAACTTGAAGAGAAGAAAATGGAAAATACTGACTCTCAGAAACAGAAAGAATAAAAAATAAACAATGAGCAGAGACTAATGAATCTGTGGGACATCATCAAATAGACCAACATTCATATTCTAGAAGGATAAATTATGTTGTTAAAAAGTTTACCATTCTTTCTTTTCACCTTTCTTCCTTCCTCCTTCCCCCTCCTCCTTTTTACTTTTCTTCCTCTTCCTTTCTCTTCTTCTTTCTCTCCTTCATTATCCCTTTCACTGTTTCTCTTTCTCCCTTTCTCCTTTTTCTTTTCTTTCAATTTTCTCAATTACTAAGAGATGTTTAAGTACCCTTACCATGTTAGTAGATATGGTTATTTCTCCCTTTAGTTCTCTTTTGAGATTTATAGTCACTCAAATAAAGAGATAACCCAAACATAAGCGTCACAAACAGGCTTTCATACCATTCTTAATTTGGTCCTGTAATTCTTCATTGCTGTATTAACTTTCTGATGCTTTTAAGGATGTTTTATAACAAATTGTGTAGCTTTTTCCAATGGAATGTTTATTCTGAATTATCTAATTCATATTGTAAGTATAGAGGGAGTTTAATATAAAATTATTAAACTAATATTTGTGAAAGAATGTATTTGTGCATTTAACAAATATGTTAATCCTCAGACTGTTATTGGGCAGCTGAGCATACAGGAATAAAAATAACACAATTTTTATGTGTACAATATTTATGGAATACGTTACTGGACCCAATAAATAATTTAGTTAATAACATGACAAAGAACAGAAATTGTATACACTATAGAGCATAGTAATGGAATAATGAATGATTAAAATTATTAATATTAGGTAGAAAATGAAGGGTATCTTTGAGAGCAGAACTCAAGGAAGCAAGCAATTCGCCTTATGAGGAAAGAGTTACCTGTGGATAAAGGAGAAACTGAAAAACTTACAAGTCAAGACTTTTTGAGCAAAAAAAAAAAATACGACTATTAGTCACCAATTCAGTACAGTGAAAAAAATGTTGAAGAGATATCTTGGAAGTAAACCATGTTGTGGAAGAGCATGTAGGGTTTTGATAATCATGGGATGATTCTGAATTAATTTTAAATGCGATAGGAATATATGAGATAATTTCACCAGAGAATAATATGATTGTGTTTGCATTTCAAAGGGGTGTATCTGGTGCACTGTGTAGAATAAATAGGTTATGTGAGCAAATAAATTGGGAGGCTACTCTAATCCAGCGAAAAAAGGTAGTGACTTAGGTGAGAATGCTGTCAGGATGAGTGGTAGTAGTGGTGAGAAGTCGTTAGGCCATGGATGTATTTCATAGGACTGGCCAAGAGAACTGCAGCTAAATTGGAGTGTAGGGAGTGAAATAGAGAACTCAAAGATGACTCTCAGCAATGGAAGGTGACAGCTGTCACTGAAGCATGCTGATGCCTCTTATTAAGAGAGTTACTTGGGAATGGCAAGATCAAAATTTCTCACTTTCAAATTTATGAAAAATATTGTTTTCAGAACGAGTGACTTTGGGATCAGAAAGCCACCATTCTAATTGATGGTTCCACGACTGCACGGGCTCACACTCGCAAGAGCAAAAGTAAATCATCACAAAGGTGCTTCTTGATAATTCTAGAGAATGGAGAATTACTGTAACATCTTTCTGATTTTAGGAGAGGTAGCAGTTCCCTTTTTAGCCTAAACGCCATTTTTTTTTTTTTACAGCTCAGCCAAGAGACTCCATTATAATTTTCAAATGTGTGTAACTTAAATTCTCATATGAAATACCACTATGCTTAAATTAGTCAAAACATTTTCCCCATCTACAACTCTATCTTGTCATTGCAATCATTTTCACAAAAGTGACTGCAGCTCACAGAACCTAAAAGGAGAAAATCCAGGGTAGGTTATCTGATCTAGTTAGTTTCAAAGACAGGATCTACAGATTATTTAATATGAAATAGGTCACCTGAAATGAAGTGTTTACTGAAAACAGCTTGGATCAGCCCAGTTTTCTACCACTGAACCATGCATTTGGTTTAAAAAACACAACAACTCTGGGGAATATCAGCTGCTTCCAACTGTGTTGAAGGTGTTAAAGAAAAGAGCATAAAATTGAAAATGATCATCTGAGGCCTTTATAGTCTCTGCTCAAGAGACTAGAGTTTTCCATTCTTAACGAAACACCCAAATATCTTAATAATTGGGTAAAATCTAAATATCAGAGATAATTTTATCTTGAAGATTGTTAAATTATAATGGTGATTCACTACCTTGCCATGTCTCTGAGTCAAAAATTAGGTCTTTGTTTAGGAATCAATCATAATCTGCAATTTGGAAATAGGAAGATTTTAGAAGACTCAGACATTGACTTTCTTGTGTGCAAAAAAAAAGACATATTGAGATAAGACAAGTCTTTCCTTGCAAGGATACCTCTAATGCTCATACACCACCTCCCCTAACATTAATATAGCTTCCAGGTCACTAACCAGTGTCAGAGAGCAGCCCATGCAACTAGAAATTCAAAAGATGTCGAACATAGGGTCAAGCTTAGAATAAGACGTCTTAGCTAATTAAGTATGCTTTTTTCCCGAAAATCATATTAACAAAATCTTGGATATGTCAGAGAATGCATTCTAAGTTCACTCAACCTAGGAGGGAGAAACATAATTTTAAATTAAGAGCTGAAGCATTCTTGTCCTAACAGAAAGCAAGGAAAACGAAATATCACACCACAGGAGGGATTTCACAAATTTGTGTCAACATCAAAACCTTAAAATAGGCAAGGAGAATGCAGATTCACAATGAACTCTTGTACTTGTTTTGTTCAGAGAAGAGATGGTTCTGAGAGAATGACAGTGAACTAACCCCAGCTGGTTTAGTTGGTGCTTTCAACTGCTGCTTCTGATCAACTCCTTTAGCTAGAATAAATTGATGAGGATTTTGGCATGTGGTATTAGAGATGGTTATTAATTTTCTCCTCTTATTTGCATTGTTCAATATAGTAAATACTAGCTGTATATGGCTATTTCAATTCAAATTAATTACAATGAAATATACTTAAATATTGAATTTTTTAGTCACTCTTGGTTCATTATTGAATATCTTCAGCTAAGATTTCCCAACTAAAGACACTAAGAGCTGGCTTAGTTAACTGGTCGTCCACAAATATTGAAGCTGTTGTTAACTCCTGATATATTCTCTGCAAAGAGAATACTCATGAGCCTCCTCCTGAAATCAGCAGCCTAGAGATAGTTTTATAAACGGGATACAAGTTGGAAATCTATATACTCTTTAAGTGTTTGAAATATTAGCTTCCCAGGGAAGAAAATCAAATTCATAAGATATGTTAGGACAATTTAACTCAAGATGTTCAAAACTGAAATGACATATTCTACAACATGTGATAAAACCACCCCCTAACAACTTAAAGCAAAACAGGGATGGACCTTAAAGACCTGCCTTTTCCTCATCCCCCAGCCAGTTTTCACATCTTGCATTTTATTTTGAAAGGTCCCTATCCCCCTGGTCTCTTGTTTCTAGACTTGGCACATATTTAAGTTTGTTACCTCTCTCTACTGACTTTTCTCTCTTCAAACAGTATCTATGCCTGCCAAATGTGAACATACAAACAACAAATCAGAATGTGCCATTCTGATTTAAACTGCTTATTAGTTAATACCCTCAAGATAACATCTGGGTTCTTAGCTTCAATGAGTCAAGCCTACTTACATCTTTTTTTGTCTTTGGCTGCACATTTCCTGTCACATCCACTCCAGCAATGCCAAGCTGTGCCGGCCTTCTACCCCATCTCCATTATTTCGCCCCCCGCCGCCGCGGCTTTTTGCCCCCCCGCCGCCGCGGATTTTTCCCGCCCCGTCGCGGCGGCTTTCTCCCCCCACCGCGCCTCGGCTTTTTGTACGCTGCGGCTTTTTGCCCCCTCAACGCTAGAGCTTTTTGACCACCGCAGGTTTTTGACTCTTCACCGCTGCGAATTTTGCCGCCCTGGCTTTTTGCCCGCCAGGGCTTTGTCCCCCCCCCCCGCCGCCGCGGCTTTATCACCGCCTTGGCTTTTTCCACCCTGCCCCCGCGGCTTTTTGCCCGCCGCGGCTTTCTGCCACCCACCCGCCGCCGCGGCTTTTTGCCCCCACCCCGCCTCGGCTTTTTGCCCGCTGCGGCTTTCTGCCCTAACCCGCCGCCGCGGCTTTTTGCCCCTCCGCCGCCGCGGCTTTTTGCCCCCACCCTGCCTCGGCTTTTTGCCCGCCTCGGCTTTTTGCCCCCCGCCGCGGCCGCGGCTTTTTGCCCGACCAGGCTTTTTGCCCCACCGCCGACACAGCTTTTTGCACCCTCGCCGCCGTGGCTTTTTGCCGCCGCGGCTTTCTGCCGCCGCGGCTTTCTGCCCCCCCGCCGCCACCGCCGCTGCTTTTTGCCCCACCGCCGCCGTGGCTTTTTGCCCGCCGCGGCTTTTTACCCGCCACGGCGTTTTACCCGCCGCGGCTTTTTGCCCCCCGCTGTCACGGCTTTTTGCCCCCCCGCCGCAGCGACTTTTTCCTCGCCGCGGCTTTTTGCCGCCGCCGCTGTTGCCGCCGCTTTTTGCGCCCGCGGCTTTTTGCCGCTGTTGCCGCCGCCTTTTGCCCCCGCCGCAGCGGCTTTTTGTCCCCGCCGCCGCGGCTTTTTGCTACCGCGACTTTTTGCCCCGGTCGCCGCCGCTTTTTGCCACCGCGACTTTTTGCCCTCGCCGCCGAGGATTTTTGTCCCCGCCGCCGCGGCTCTGAGGGCGGGAGCGGCAGGCTCGGCTGCCAGCTCTACTGGCGTCCTGGCAAGGGCAGCGCCCAGGGGTGCTCCAGGTCCAGCTCTCCTGGCTTAGGGATTCCTTGCCTAGGTGCCGGCGCCCCGGGCTCCTTGCCTAGGCCCCTGTGGCCTGCATAGAGCGGCGCTGCCTGCGGAGGCGATGGGGGAGAAGAAGGATGGTGGTGGTGGGGGTGATGCGGCGGCCACGGAGGGTGGCACAGGGGCTGCGGCCAGCCGGGCGCTGCAGCAGTGCGGGCAGCTCCAGAAGCTCATCGTCATCTTCATTGGCAGCCTGTGCGGGCTGTGCACCAAGTGCGCTGTGTCCAGTGACCTCACCCAGCAGGAGATACAGACCCTGGAGGTAAGGGGTTCGGGGACCCGGGCTGGGCTCCAGGAGCAGCCCGGACACCTCCTTCGGGGCCCCAGTTCACTCCTGGCCGAGTTGCACCCTTGAGCCCACGTCACCCCCTTGGAGGCTTCCCCTCCCTCCTGCACTCGCTGATGCGGCAGCCAGAGGACCCGGGACCAGCCCTCACCTTGGGCAGGATTTGTGGAGCGGGTGTGTGGTGGGAACTGGGATGGAGGCTCCAGGGTCCCGTGGGGGTGGGGGTGGGCTGCGCGAGGACATCCCCTTACCCCCTGAATTTCCATCTGGTCCAGCCCTCTCATCTTGTAGGTGAGGAAACCGAAGGCCTGAGGGAGAAATGACTTGCCAGGAACCCCTGTTAAGGAAAATTAACAAAGTGTGGTTATTAAAGAAGAACTGAGTTGGGAGTCAGACCTGGAGGCCCGCACCCGTGGTTAAGACATTATACCACCTTGAGTCTGGCCTGTTGACTGAGGGTGAGCCACTCCATCCTCATGTGATTGTGGGGTCTTAACCTCAAAGGGTTTCCTGCAGGAAGAAGCAAATGGGTTTGCTTTCCTAGCTCTGTCCAGTACGTTAGGGACCCTGAGGACTGAAGGGATTCTTGGAGAGCCATCTGGTGTATGTCATGGGTAGGTCTTTTTTGAAGGTCAGTCTGCCCAGTGGGCTGGCTCAGCCCGAATGAACTGTCTTGAATCTTTGGAGTTGTCTGTGTACTTTTAAGGGCTTCTCAGCCTTGCACCAAAAGATCCCCCTGGAAATTAGGTGGGATAAACCTTAACTTTTGTGGAGCCTTGTGTTTGTCTTAAAAGTTCATGCACATAGCCAGGTGTGGTGGCTCCCACCTGTTATCCTTTCCTGGATCCCTTGAGTCAAGGAGTTTGAGACCAACCTGGACAATATAGTGAGACCCCATCTCTACAAAAAAGAAAATATTAGCCAGGGGTGGTTGTGAGCATCTGTAGTCCCAGCTACTACTGTGGCTGAGGCGGGAGGAGCACTTGATCCTGCACTGAGCTGTGATCTCACCAGTGTACTCCAGCCTGGGCCACAGAGCAAGACCGTGACTCAAAAAAAAAAAAAAAAAAAGACAAGAAAAATTCTTCAAGATTTTGCATTCTGTCCCACTATCCATTGGTTTTCATGTCAAGATAATGTCAGAAATTCTTTACAATTGCTTCCAGAAGGAGTAGCCTTTTGATCTAGTGCACAGGTGTCCAGTCTTTTGGCTTCTCAGGGCCACATTGGAAGAAGAATGCTCCTGGGCTGCACATAAAATACACTAATGCTAACAACAGCTGATGGGGTTAAAAAAAAAAAAAAGTTTGTGCATAATTTTCATGCTACCCACCACCAAAGATAGGTGGAAAAGTCCTTGTAGTCAAAGGGTTGGACACTGCTGATCTAGTGTCTTGTTGTCCGTTTTGGCTTTCTCCCTGATTCCAGAATGCAGGTAGAGATGTAGAGACATGGTCTCAGGACAGCTGTTGAGATAAAAAAATTTGTTGTCATTTATTCCCAAGCACAGCTGTTTCTCATTGCATTGAAAAAGTCTCCATTCAAACTGCTGTCACATATAAAATCCATTTATGTAAGTCTGTATTTTTCTGTTGTCTTGGCCTTTGTAGGCAGTAGTGTGTTTTAACCGAGCAAACTGTCCTTCCAAATAATGAAGCCGAAGTCAGCCTACCTACTTGCCATTTTTCTTCCACTTCCATTTTTGTAACCTCAGAATAATTGTAAGAATGAATTAAGATTTGTGTTTAAGGCCAGGCACAGTGTCTCAGGCCTGCAATCTCAGCACTTTGGGAGGCGGAGACTGTTGTATCGCTTGAGCTCAGGAGTTGAAGACCAGCCTGGGCAACATACTGAGACTCCGTCTTGTATAATTTAATTAAAATTTAAAAAAAGAAGAGAAAAAGACTTGTGTTTAAAATTTAAAAAAAGGGGGGAAAGTGTAATGCAAAATGTGGACTATGCCAGCTATGATTGGGAAAACTAGTTTTTCATACAGCATTATCTGTAGACTTGTATTAGCAGCATACTGGTCATAAGCGTTCTGCTTTCCTCAAATATGATGAGGTAAGCTAATTTAAAGTGTGTTGGGGCTTTCTGCTGCGTGGCTCCTGGAGGTGTTGAGTCCCAATTTCGCCAATTAATTTGGGTTTAGTTTTGACGTGGATAAGGGAGACCAGCTTCATTCATGGTGTACACACAGTTTTGCCAATAAGGTAAAAGAAAAGCCACCTGAATGTTCCTACTCATTAGATGCTATCTGGAGAGCTCCTACCCCACCCCCACCAAGGCCCGGGCCATTAAAAAGACTCAATGCAGTCTTTCTGTATCTCATACTGTATTCTGCAAGATACTCCTGTGAAAGAAAGTTGTGCTGCATCAGTCATCTCCCTCTTGAAGGTCCCTGCGGATGAGGATTTGTGTTTTGAAAGTGTTGAGACTTCCTGCAACAACAATTCTCAAACTTATTTGTCCATGGGATCTTTTCTTCCACTGAATGTAGTTGGGGAGACACGGCCTTAAGCCTTGAGCAGAGAAAGAGACAAGAAACTGTTGGCTCACTTACAACCAAGTGTTGTGTTTATGTTTTAGGTTTTTATGAAACTGAGATGCCGTTTGAGGTTCTAAATGAAATTGGGTGGTTGAAGAGAGGCTGGTATCCCTGTAGACTTAGCCAGCCATGAGAAGTTGCCTTTTGTTGAAGGAGGTGTTTTACAAAGGGAAATAGGGTGTCTCCTGGGCATCGCATTAGCAATTAAATACATGTATCACTGAAATGAAATGAAATGATGAAATGATGAAATGAAATGATGAAATTAAACGAAATGATGAAATGAAGAAATGAAATAATGAGATGAAATGATGAAATGAAACGAAATGATGAAATGGAATGATGAAATGAAATAATGAAATGATGACATGAAATGGGGAAATGAAATGAAATGAAATAATGAAATGAAATAATGAAGTGAAATGAAATGAAATGATGAAATGATGAAATGAAATGAAAAGATGAAATGATGAATTGAGGAAATGATATGAAATGATGAAATGAAATGATGAAATGAAGTGAATGATGAAATGATGAAAAAATGAAATTAAATGATGAATTGATGAAATGAAATGATGAGATGAAAAGGTGAAATGAAACGAAATGATTAAATGAAATGAGGAGATGAAAAGATGAAATGAAATGATGAGATGAAATGAAATGATGTGATGAAATGATGAGATGAAGTGAAATGATGAAATTATGAAATGTAATGAAATGATGAAATGGAATGATGAAATGAAATGATGAAATGAAATTGTGAAATGAAATGAGGAAATGAAATGGAATGATGAAATGATGAAGTGAAATGATGAAATGATGAAATGAAATGAAAAGATCAAATGGTGAAATGAAGAAATGATATGAAATGAAATGAAATGATGAAATGAAGTGAAATGATTAAATGATGAAATGAAATGATGAATTGATGAAATGATCAAATGAAATGACGAGATGAAAAGATGAAATGAAATGATGAAATGACGAGATGAAAAGATGAAATGAGATGAAATGATGAGATGAAATGAAATCATGAGATGATGAAATGATGAGATGAAGTGAAATGAAATGAGATGACGAAATGCAACAATGAGAAGAAATGAAATAAAGGATGAAATGATGAGATGAAATGATGAAAGGATGAAATGAAATGATGAAATGAGGAAATGAAATGATGAAATGATGGAATGAAAAGATGAAATGTTGAAATATGAAATGATGAAATGATGACATGAAGTCAAATGATGAAATGATGAAATAAATGAAATGATGAAATGAAATGAGATGAAATGAAATCATGAGATGAAATGATGAAATGAGATGAAGTGAAATGACGAAATGAAATATTGAGATGAAGTGATGAAATGAAATGAAACAATGAAATGAAGTGAAATGAAATGAGATGAAATAATGAGATGAAATGATGAATTGATGAAATGAAATGAGATGAAAAGATGAAATGAAATGAAATGATGAAATGAAATGATGAGATGGAAAGATGAAATGAGATGAAATGAAATCATGAGATGAAATGATGAAATGATGAAATGAAGTGAAATGATGAAATGAAATGAAATGTTGAGATGAAATGATGAAATGAAATGAAATAATGAAATGAAATGATGAAATGATGCGATGAAATGAAATCATGAGATGAAATGATGAAGTGATGAGATGAAGTGAAATGAAATGATGAAATGGAATGATGAAATGAAATGGTGAAATGAAATGAGGAAATGAAATGAAATGATGAAATGATGAAGTGAAATGATGAAATGAAATGATGAAATGATGAAATGAAATGAAAAGATCAAATGGTGAAATGAAGAAATGATATGAAATGATGAAATGAAATGAAGTGATGAAATGAAGTGAAATGATTAAATGATGTAATGAAATGAAATGATGAAATGATGAATTGATGAAATGATCAAATGAAATGAGATGAAAAGATGAAATGAAATGAAATGATGAAATGAAATGACGAGATGAAAAGATGAAATGAGATGAAATGATGAGATGAAATGAAATCGTGAGATGATGAAATGGTGAGATGAAGTGAAATGATGAAATGATGGAATGACGAAATGCAACAATGAGAAGAAATTATGAAATGAAATAATGAAATGAAAGGATGAAATGATGAGATGAAATGATGAAAGGATGAAATGAAATGATGAAATGAGGAAATGAAATGATGAAGTGAAATGATGAAATGATGGAATGAAAAGATGAAATGATGAAATGATATGAAATGATGAAATGACATGAAATCAAATGATGCAATGATGAAATAAATGAAATGAAATGATGAAATGAAATGAGATGAAATGATGAAATGATGAGATGAAAAGATGAAATGATGAGATGAAATGAAATGAAATCATGAGATGAAATGATGAAATGAGATAAAGTGAAATGACGAAATGAAATGTTGAGATGAAGTGATGAAATGCAATGATGAAATGAAATGAAACAATGAAATGAAGTGAAATGAAATGAGATGAAATGATGAGATGAAATGATGAATTGATGAAATGAGATGATAAGATGAAATGAAATGATGAAATGAGATGAAAAGATGAAATGATGAGATGAAATGAAATGATGAGATGAAATGAAATGATGAGATGAAATGATGAAATGATGAGAAATGTTGAGATGAAATGATGAAATGAAATGAAAGAATGAAATGAAATGATAAAATGAGATGAAATGATGAGATGAAATGATGAAATGAAAGGATGAAATGAAATGATGAAATGATGAAATGAAAGGATGAAATGAGGAAATGAAATGAAATGATGAAAAGAAATGAAATAATGAAATGAAATGATGTAATAGATGAACCAAAAATACTTATTCACTTTTTTTCTTGGCATCCTTCTAAGAGTATTTTAGTGAGGTTAATTTCTAAAAATAAATTGCTATTCAATGGCTATACAGTTGGCCTTTGCACCACAGGGGTTTGAACTGTGCACGTCCACTTAGCAAAACCAACAATTCTACATCCTTATCCACACCCTGCCCATGAAAAGGATGAGGATGAAGACCTGTTTGATCATCTACTTCCATTTAATAACTAGTAAATCTATTTTCCTTATGATTTTCTTTTTTCTTTTGTCTGGCATGTTTGTTAAGAATACAGTATATAAGACATATAACATATTAAATATGTGTTAATTGACTGTGTTATTTGTAAGGCTTACAGTAGGCTATTAGTAGTTAAGTTTTGGGGGAGTCAAAGTTATAGTGGATTTTCTACTGTGCAGGGGGCCAGCACCCCAACCTCCGTGTTGCTTAAGGGTCAACTGTACATGTTATTTCCTTTCCTGTAAGAGAAAAATGAGAAGGTCTTTTCTCCAATAAGTGTCTTCAAAATGTAGCAGATTTGAAATGTGTTGGCGCCACCATTTTGCGTCTCATTTTGAAAACTTATTATTTAAAATCGTACTAAAGCCTACCTTACTTTTCCAACCTTAGAAAAAATGTTCCAAAGAAAAGGGGTGAAACCATGCTAGTTTGCCCTGAAATTTGAAATTATCTTTTAAAAATATATTTTGACATTAATTACTTCCAAACTAGAGATCAGTTGCATACAAATGGCAGGTCACCCTAATCCACCCTATGACTGCACTTAGATTCATGAGGGATTGTGCCATCTAGAAAGGGCAGAGAGGAGGAATAGAGTGCTCTGCGTCTTGAAATATAAACATGCACATAGCCACATGCTTTGATTCTGTTGTCACTGTGTACTTACTGCTAGGAAGAGGGCATGTTTGTGTATTTTTATGCAAATTATTATCCAAGTTGTTAATGATTTACGCTTTCAGAACCATATAAAGATATTTTTCCTTTCAGATATAAACTATCTTGCATTGTTCTTCTGATCATATGAGGGATAAATTTGCCTAAATATTCTTCAGACCATAATAGTATGTCCTTATAAATGCCAGTAGCAAGAGTAGAATCAACCACAACTGCCTTAGTAATTATTTAAAGCATGTCTGCCTATAAGTAATTGGCATTTTATATAATCAAGAATATTTGATATAATAATCTCTCAACTATTTGAAACACGGCTCACATGTATTAATTTTTTAAGCAAATATATATATAATATCAGTGTACATGAAACTAAATTTTGGACTTTAGCACAGCTTCTTAGAATCCTGACTTAAATGTCTACAGTAATAGTTGGCTTAAAAAAATTTAGCACACTGTCACTATGATGAAAAAAATTACTATAAAATATTTAAAAAATTGTTCCACCCTAACATTTAGAATATTTTCACATTTGTGGTTAAAACCTATAGTGATTGTTCTTAGAATTTAGATAAAAAATGTTCCAGAAAGATTGAAGAGAAGCACTTTAGTCAATTTTTAGTTGTTGAAGCATGAAGAAATGGCATTTCATTGACATTTTAAAAATTATTCAGATTCCCTCTTTGAATTCAAGAGTTTCAAAGATATCTTATTTTAAAATACCAAAATAGGAATAGGATATGAAGGGCTGGTTATGAGTAATATGATACAATTTTATGAGATGACGAGATTACAATAACAATACCTCCTCTCATAGAATAGCCAGCAAGTCTCCACTAAATAACAGTGCCTTGATTTTATAGATGTTTAATCATGGATATTGAGTTAATGTGAACCATTTGTAGACACAGGAGTTTATTAAAGACTTATATAATATCTTTCAAGTATTTAGAATAGTGTTGAAATTAAGCCTGCATCCCCACGATTTTCAGCGGTGCTGATGCCTAATAAACTCAGCCCCTTGCATGCCAAAATTGGCTTAAAGCCCATCTGTTACCCAAGCTACACTTCAAGCATCAAGGTTCAAAAATGTGATTTTGAATATGCAAGAGTTTGAGGAATTCACTACTCACACTTTCTTGAACAGTCTATCCAAGTGCATCAAGCAAAATGTGAGTAAAGAAATTTTGACCAAAGGATTGATAGTAATGTTGAATACATTTAATAGTAGATAAGATTAAAAGGTGAAAGTGAGGGTGAGAAGAGTGTATGAATGCTTTGTGTTCTGACAAAGAGAATGTAACACCCAGGTCCTACCTGCTTGGATGCATTGCCAGTGCCCACCGTAGGCCATTTTATCCAGGTTTTTAGGTTTTGTCTTGTTTTGTTTGGTTTTTTCCTTTTAAGGAGTGTTAGTCCAAGACCAATAACTCCGTAACTGGTAGATTTGGAAGACTTTAATAGTGCTTAACATTTTGTACATAGCTTTATAACAGTTTTCTTTTTCTTTTTTTTCTGAGAGATTCTTTTCAATATACCCCATCATGGTTGAAATCAAAAATCATTGCTTATTTAAAATCTACAACTGCTGATGTTTTGTAACGTTCGCATTCCAGGTAATTGTTTTTTTGTGCATTTTCTGTATTTTTCTCCATCAGTCTACCTAGACATTTGTTAGATTTAATACTTTAATATTTTTCTGAAAAAGTGAGCTTTTGCATTTTTAAATATATACCCAGTTGCTTTAATTCTGCTTTTTCGTGTACTATTTCCTCGTTTTTTTTGTTTTTTGTTTTTTTTTTTTTTTTTGACACGGAGTCTTGCTCTGTCACCCAAGCTGGAGTGCAGTCGCGTGATCTCTACTCACTGCAACTTCCACCCCCCACGTTCAAGCAATTCTCCCACCTCAGCCTCCCGAGTAGCTGGGATTGCAGATGCATGCCACCATGCCAGGCTAATTTTTGTATATTTAGTAGAGAGTGGGTTTCACCATGTTAGAACAGGCTGGTCTCGAACTCCTGACCTCAGGTGATCCACCTGCCTCGGCCTCCCAAAGTGCTGGGATTACAGGCGTGAACAATGGCGCCTGGCTATCTCCTTCATTCTTTATGTTTATTTTACTGGTTTTATCTCTCTCTCTCTCACTGTTTCTCTCCTTCTCACATTCACTTTGCAGTTGTCAAATAGCCCAGGTGATGTTACAGATTTACTCCTTATAAAAGGAGGCATTACACATTACACATGCATCTTAGTGGCCTTACAAAAGTGTTTGGTTTATTTGTATTGACTATTCACCTTTAAAATATTTCAATATTCATTAAAATAGCTTCCAACCAATATTATTACACTTATGTTTCTAACTTTCATTTTTGTATTGATATCTGCCTTCATTGCTGTTTGTTTAGGAAATATATTCTGTGTCATGTTATTTCCGTGAAAATTGTTTGAATTTGTGGTATTCGTATGGTCTAGAAAATGTTAATTTTTGTAAGTATTCTGTATGAATATGAAAATAACATGAATTATAATATTGATGTTCCTTATATAATATTTGCCCTTTTTAAAATCCACTAGCTTCTTTTAAAACTTACTCTTTTAATTTTTTCTTTTATCTATTACTGAAAGACGTGTGTTTGAAATGTCTATAATATTTGGGGGCTTATCCGTTTCTACTTACTTTCTGATATTTTTGCTTTATATAATTTGACTCTCTCTCTACATACGTGTGTGTCTGTGTGTGTGAGAGAGAGTGTGTGGTTTGTGTGTCTATATATATGTATGTATCAGGCTAATGCACATTTAAGTCATCACATCTTCTTAATAACTTAAAACTTTTATCACACTGGTTAGACTAACTTCTTTTAATAAATGTTTCTAACTTACATTCTATTTTGTCTACATAGCAACTTTTTAAAAAATTATATTCATGTAGTATGTTTGTATGTATATCATATATACACAGTATCTGTATTGTTTGAACTTCAAAGTTTCTGTAAATTTATATATTAGTTGTGTCTCTTGTAACTATGATAGAGACGGATGTTTTAAATTTTGCCAATCTTTGTATTTTAACAAAAACATTGTCTACTTAGGTTTAAGTTAATCTTTGATCATTTATACTTAATTTTGTATTATTAATTTGTTGTGTGTATATATATATATATATAATGTCTCATTTTCTCCTATCACTTTCTGTCTTCTTGTTTTAAAATTATGACTTTTATTTTTATTGTTTTCATAGACACAACAGAGAAATGCATAATGTCCAGTCAATTTATTAAAGTTCCAAAGTCGGTCGCACGCAGTGGCTCACGCCTGTAATCTCAACACTTCGGGAGGCCGAGGCGTGTGGATCACGAGGTCAGGAGTTGGAGACTAGCCTGACCAACATGGTGAAACCCCGTCTCTACTAAAAATACAAAAATTAGCCAGGCATGGTGGCACGCGGCTGTAATCCCCGCTACTCAGGAGGCTGAGGCAGGAGAATTGCTTGAACCTGGGAGGCAGAGGTTGCAGTGAGCGGAGATGACGCCACCGCACTCCAGCCTGGGAGAAAGAGTGAATGAGACTCCTTCTCAAAAAAAAAAAAAAAAAAAAAAAAAAAAAAAAAGTTGCAAAGTCATACCTTTCTGCTCTTGTCAGACAATTAAGGGGTCTTTGAATACTTCAGCCCTAATAATTTCCTTCCTAACATATATATTGCAGTGTTTATCTAATTTTAAATATCCTTTTGTTTCAACACCTAATTTTCTATTTTGATCTATCTGTATATTTACAATATATTTTCCTCTGTGTTCATTCTTTGATTTCAGAACTTCAATCTTTCTGAAGCATGTTTTCAGAGTTTCCTTTGAGTTTCTTTAGTGGAATTCTGCTGGTGGTGTTTTGTTTTTTGTCTCTAAATATGTTATTTAGCCATAGGTTGATGAATATTTTTCTTGGTTGAGAATTTCAGAATGGCATTATTATTCTTAACAAATAATATTGTTTATTTTACCTTTCATGCTTTCAGATTTCAATATGATTAAAGGTAATTTGATTTTTCTAGTGCTAATTGAAATATTTTTCCCTTCCTGATTGTTTACTATTTCTCTAGGAGATATGTAGATGTAGGTTTATCTCCATTGTAGCTTGCTTAGCATGCATAGAAGTTTTGAATATGTGGATTAGTGTCTTACAAAAGTCTAGAGAACTTTCAGCCAAAATACCATCACATATTGTCCCTTCCCAGTTCCCTTCTTCTATGAGAACACTCACTAAACACATGCTACACTTTCTCACTGTATGTTCCATGTCTCTTCATGATTCTGTCCACATTGTGCCTTTATTTAAATTTTCTGTAATGCATTCTGAAATATTTATGAACTCTCACCATGGCCATGTCTAATCTGATGAGTTCATTTTTGAGTTTTTAATTTAAAATGCTATATACAAACTACTTTTCAAATTTACTACATCAATTTTTTAGTCTCCTAAATATATATTCATTTTTTTAAAATTTTTGAAAGCAAATGTGCTTTATAATCTAACAGTGATATTTCTACTAATGAACCTTTGTGGATCTGTTTGTACTCTTTTTCTGCTTTCCTTTCAAATGGTGGAATATCATTTCCTTGCGTACTTAGATGTCTTTGAATGACAAAGATTTATTTTTCTCTGAAAATTATTATTGTGCACTTTTGCATATTAGTAAGAACAAAATTTGCCAAAGAGAATTTGAATTTTTTGTGAGTCTACTAAAGGCACCACCATTCTGGGACCACATTATATTAATTCTTGGCCTAAAGGTGTTTGGACGTATGTTTGGACAGCACATTTAAACAATTTTTAAATTAATTGCTGTAAATCATTAATGATTTTCTTTAAATCTGTCCAATCTCAAGTCATTTTTATTTGCCATTTCCAGGGAATGTGAAATGAGACTAATTTACCTCTGATTCTTCTTTAGACTGAGGATATAAATTTTGGTGCTAGCTTTAGGGAAGAGCTCCTGTGTGATGCCCTATCTTGGGAAACACTATGTATTTCTTTACTGTCCTATGTGATGTATGACAGTAGGAATCTGTACACATTCATTTTGCTACATGTCCGTAGGGCAAAATCAGTTTCAGTGTTTAGGTGTATTTTGTCTGCTCCCTGCATTCCCATAGTTTTGACCTTATATTTTACTCTTTTTTTTTTGTGAACATACCAATGCTTCAATTTTTTTCCAGTAATATAATCAACTATACTATAAGAGAAAAATTTTGATAAAACACAAATTTCATGTTTTCCTACTCTAATTGGTTTTTACGTAAAAATACAGGTAAAATTTATTTGTGCTTTTTTGCTATTATTTTTTGCTATTCTCTGTTTGTCTATGTCTTCACCACATAGACACAATTAGGGAATTTTGTACACTCTTGTGCCAACTGCTTTGATAGGAACAAAATGTATTTCTCGAACTCCTAGGTATAAAACTTAAGTATCCACGATTTAAATTCTTTTTTGCTCACTTCTATTATGTTTCCAGTCTCAATAGAAATCGATGCCAATCCAGAAATACAAGCATTATTCTAATACTTCTCACACATTACTGATATAGATTAAATTTTCTAGATCTCCTTAAATACTATCATTTTTCACTACTTGAATCTTAACTGTTAAGTTCAACATTTTCTGTAATATTAATATATTGTGAAAATTTCCTTACTTTCTTATTTGTCCCAGGTTCAATGTTTTGCAGTCTCTACCTCACCCTGTGAAGCATAAACATTGTACATGCTGTACAAATAATACATCGTTCATGTACTTAGTGATTGCACAATTTTTATTTGGTTGACAATAGCTAATGTTTTCTTCTTCATTTTCTATTTCCTGATTTTTCTTTATTTAGTATATACTACATTGTCATAAAAATAAGAACGTTTTACAAACTAAAGCAAAAGCAACCCTAGGAATAAAATGCACAAATAAAATATATAAACATACGTTTAGATGTACCACGTACCCTTGTAATTTATTTAGACTTTTAATTTTAGTACAATTTTAATTAAAGTCTGTGTTTTATCTGTCATCGTCTTAGTATTTTTTATATAACAAATTGTGTAAATCAAAAAGTCTCAATGTCATTATAAACTATCTTGGCAGAGGTTGATCTCCAAGGAATAATTTCTATCCTAAATTATACCAATCCAAATTTCACTCTACCGTAATTCTTTTAATCAGTTTCAGAGGAATAATAAATTTCAAAATTGTTCAAGGTACTTCTTTTAGTTCAAGTACCTTTTGACAGGTGTAAAACTGTAGACAGACTGATACATACATATTCTAATTGACTCAAAATTATATGGGACCTATTTTAAAATCTAGATTTTAAAATGTGTCAACATACACATGTTCTCCTTGTGAAATAATTGCTTTTTATTCTCTGGATAGAATAATTTAATCTTTAAACCTTCCATTCACTCTTAGAAACAAAATACTACATAAGGATATGCTTATAAAAATAATTCCCAACTAGCTTTTCAGTTCAGAAATATATGTGAAGAATCATCAAACATCTAATGGATTTCAAGGAGAAATGGGTTAGTAATTTATTCCATATGTCTCAAATTTTCCTAGACTCAAGGCTTCCTTTTAAATAATTGTAGGCGTTTAAGAAACCATGTAAACTAAAAAGAAGAAATTGTGACGCTGCCGCTTAGGCTTTTTAAGTCTTTGGACATGATTCAATATATTTTTTAAATTGTATCTTAATTAGACATTGTGAGTTCACCATCTTCCTGTCAATATAGCATCCAAGCTGATTATCATAGATTACAAGTTCAACTATCAACTGTGTTCTGAGAGTCTAAAAAAATAAATGAACATATTTGTTTGGGTATTCTTAAAGCAGGAGTGAGGACACAGTGAAAGTGAGACAAGGAAAAGAGAACAAAATAAAACAGGAAAGATAGAAAAGCCAATACCACACGTGTTAAGAGGTAAGTTCCTGTGTTAGATATCTGGGTTTAATTTTATGGGAAGCTATGTGGGGCATGCCTCAGAATTACATCACTGAATCCAGGGAGATTCTTCTTAGTTACCCTCACCTTTTCTTTCCACTTCATGCCCAGTAACAAGTTCCCGTGCTGCTAGAGAAAGTCCTCAGCTAGAAACTGGTGCAAATTCTGGAGATGAGACCTTGTAGAGTGTTAAGAATGGTTTTCTTCCCAGCAGCTACAGGTAAGGAATAGGGGCTGGGCTATTAATACATCTGCTACAAACGAATAAAGCCCTTATGCTCCTTTTGGTGATCGACAATGTATTTAAAAATATTAGATGATCAAGAAGGGCTGCAGAAAGGAGGAAACAGAAACAAACAGCACACCTCTTGGTTTATTTGTATTCATTTCATCAGTTTCAAGGAAAATATGTTGGGAGTTCCTGGCATAGAGATGTCACAAAGACATGTTTTCAATAGTAGTGCTATCCCTAGGGCAGAGATGACCCAGAGAAAGCCCAAGTGGCTGCTGGAACAAAGTCAGACATCGTGCCACCTGTCCACACTCCTTGGCTCTGCCATCATGCTGAAGATCGCTTTAAAGGACTGGCTTCCCTCCCCCCAAAATGAAAAGAGCACAAACTGAGAAACTGAATGTGGGAGACAGCAGTGGATTATGCTGTTCTCAGGGCTCACCTCAGGTTTGGAAGCATTCTTTCAAATTAACCCATCTCAGGCCATCTGCAGAGAGGAAAGGTGGTACCTAACTTTTTTTCTTGTCAGCATTTGGTAGGGGTGTTTTATTGACCAAATATGTTCCCACAACCTAGTTTTTTGTGAGTAACTAAATATAGTAGAGTTTTAAATTTTATCATCAAAATCTATAGACAATTTTTGATGAAAATAGACTCCATCTCTATGTCCTGCTTTTCTTCTTCTTATTAATTACATTGCTGTATAAAAGAACAAGACTTCAGAATCAAGAATATCTTGTCTCTTGGCATTGAATTTATACAAGGTGCTCTTTCTTTAATGCTGTCTCAAAGGACATATTTTTACTCATTAAAAAGGAAGATCGGAATCTAGTTGTATGCGCTGCTCCAACATATTAATAATTAAAATTAGGAGGTAAATGTGGTCAAAACTATAGAAAGACTGAGATGTCATTTATATTGATTACTGTATAGCATTCTACAAACAGAAATTGTTAAATAAGTTTATATAAATATTTTGTAGCATTTCAAATATTTGAGTGCTTGACGTTTCTCCTCTTCTATGGTTCAGATTATCAATTTGAAGACTTACTCCGCTAGTTAATATGTTTTTAGTCTCGTTCGAGTATTATATAAAAGCAATTTTCAGTTAAATGTGTTCTGCTTACATAAAACATTACAAATTATTGAGGATTTAATTACTTATTCATGTTCCTGTAATGTCTTTAGAAGATTTTCTTATTATTACCTATCAATATATGTATGCTTTGTCAAAGAAAAATCAAACATATATATCATTGAAATTGAAACTTTTTAAAAGTACTTAATTCTATTGAAAAACCACATCCATAGGAACAATTACAATATAATATTGTGAACATGTAAACACATACCCTACGTCTATTTTATGTATAAGCATGTATGATTAAAAATATAGTGAAGAATTTTTAAACCTAGTATTATAAAGTAAAAATTAGTTAACTTCTGATGATTATTTGTTAATTAAGATAAAATTATTTTGATTTGGGTGATTTTAAATAAAGAAAAATATTAAATTACATGACAAAAATTCTTTATAAAATGTTTATGATTTTTACATTGGTTTTATCACTTTTTCCACTATTTTATTTTAAGATGACCTGCCTTGTTTAAAACACTGTATTCATCTTAATTAAATTAGATTCCATTTGTAAAATAATTAACAAATGATTTGCTCTATTTTACAGTGCGGTTATAAACTGAGTCAGTATCTCAAGATTTGATCCCCATTATCATCATCTGTGGCCCTATTTGTTTTATAAATGTATTGTCTTTTTCCATGCCTTTCACATCTCTATTGCTTTTTCATTTTTCTCTTTGTCCCTTATAGGGAGCATTGCCTATCTCTAGATTAAGCAAAAGTTGCATCATAAAAAAGCACAATAACCTGCTCAATCTTTCTCACACAGAGAAATGTTTGTTAAGTAATTAAAGTGTAGATGATGATACAAAGACCTTGATTAAATTAGATAACAAAGTACCCTTGTGATTCAGAATATGAATGGTATTTAATTTCTTTGAAATCATTAATTGCTGAGTGACATTAATTAATGCCAATTTTCCAGAAGATGTTCTAGTGAGTGAAATGTATACAACGTGCAAAAGATTCAGAACTCTGAAGGGTAACATTATTCTATAATTAAGAATTAAGAATTAATTCACATCATTTATTGGGGAGAAATAATTTTTAAGAATTAATGACTGAGAAAATGTTTTTATTTTTTACTTAGAAAATTATTTTGTGCATGAGCATTACCGCAAGTTTTGCAAGAAACATAAATTTAAAGAAACAATTATGTGCACAAGATGAATTTAATAACATCTTGATATATTCCATGATTGCGGTTTTATTTGGTAAATCTTTAAATGCACACCATTTAACGATAATAAATGAATCTTGGAAACCTTGTAGGTAAGGGTAAATATTAGGATGCATCCAGTTACATTTACACACACATACATGCATACAGACTGATTCACGTGTGTATATATATATATGAATTTACCAATTGATGTTAACTAATATTTATAAGAGCCAGTTGGATTGATATATATTGTTGAACCTGAAAAATATTTATTATATACATGTTTAAAATACACACAGAAATAAATAGCAATTGCACTAGGTATTTGAAACTGTACTAAAATATAAGCTGTGAACATTTTGTGATCATTACAAATTCTTACACTGAATAAATATTTTTATTTTTACAATATTAATATGTTTGATACCTGTGTACATTTTTTACAATGTGTTATTTTATTTTTGTCATAGAGTCATGTCATGCATAATAACATTTTAGTCAAAGATGGATTACATATACAAAAGTGGTCCCATGAGATTATAATATATATTTTTACATACTTTTCTACGTTTAAGTATGTTTAGATACATAACCTCTTACCACTGTGCTCTTATTGCCTGCAGTATTCAGTAGAGTAATGTAGTACACAGATTTGTAGCCTAGGAGAAAGAGGCTATACCATATAACCTAAACGTGGTAGGCTGTACAATCTAGGTGTTTGTAATATTCTCTGTGATGTTTGCAAAATGATGAAATTGCCTATGAATACATCTGTTAAAACGTATCCCTATCATTCAGTGATGTGTGACTGTACTAAAATGCTCAATGTAAGTTTCAATGCCCTCCATAAAATTGTTGTACTGTGAAATGCAAATCTCTCACCCATGGCCTGAATATGTTTGCAAACTAAGCAGATCATGGGAAGGAGAATGTGCTGGCATCGCTGGGATGATTTTCTCACACTACATGAATAATATCTACAGACTTCGTGAATATGAGCCACTTGCATAGAGTTAAAGTAGACATCTCTTTGCTGGGAAATTTATCAAATGGGAGTATGAAGTGTTTTTACAAGATACTTGTTTGTTTGTAGCTGGTAGGCCTACAGTGGCTCATGGCAATGGTTGAGGTTGCTAAGATTTGGTGGAAGAAGGCAAAATGAGATGGCCACTTATATGGTATATGGATCACTTGTTTCTGTTGAGTTACAAACTCAGCTGGCTATTTCTCCAATGTTAGTTATTTGGAGAAAAAAAAACGTGATGGTAATTTTGGGGTAACAAATACAATATTTGATGAAAGCAAATTTATTGAGGGTTAGACAAACTACAAGATACTTTAGGCTGCAAAGTCAACACAAGACTTCTGGCCCAAATTGTGAAGAGTTTGCGTCCAGCTGCACAGTTCAAAGGAAGAGGCCATGTAAGAAGATTCTCACTTCTGACACCAACTGCCAGTTCAGGGGTTTCCCCTGAACACCCTCAGTTTCAAGAGTTTACTAGAAAGACTCACAGAACTCATTGAATGCCACTGTACTCATGGTTTATAATAGAGAAAGGGTAGAAATTAGGACCAATAGAAGAGACATATCATATAAGGTGGAATCTAGGAGATTTTGAATGTTAAGTTTCCATTGTCTTCAGGACATATTACCTGTCACTGTTGTACAACAACAAACATGGAGTACTACCAACCTGGGGAGCTCACCTGATGCTAACAAGACACTATTTACAAAATGAAAAGACAAATGAAAGGATGAGATAAGATGACGTTCCACATTAAGGCACTGGAACGATTAGCAAACTAAACCTAAAGCAAGCAGAAGGAAGAAAATTAAAATTAGAGAAATTAATAATTTATAACAATAATATTTGTTAGTGTTGAATAATTGATATTACTTCTTGACTAGCTTTTTTAAAAAAGAGAAATATTCACTTCCCAATTTATTCTGTGGGGCCAGTGTTACCTTGATACAAAAATTAGTCCAAATAGCATAGAAAAATAAAACTACTATAAGTATAAATGCAAACTTCCTTAAAAAATACTAACAAATCAGATCTAGCAACATATAAAAGAATTATACACTATGACAAAGTGAAATTTATACAAGTAATCCCAGGTTGGTTTAACAGCCCAAAATCCATTAAGGTAATACATCTTATCCATAGAATAAGAAACGAGAATTGCATGATCACGTCGATAGATTCGGAAAAGACATTTAACAGAATCCAAATGCTTTAATGACTAAAAATAAAAATAAAAACTCAATGAACCAGGAATAGAGAACTTTCTACACCTGATACATGGCACCTGTGAAAAGCCAACAGCAAGCATGCAACTTAATGCTAAAAGATGCTTTCCCGCTATGGTCAGAGATATATACTTTGATAGGATATATACTTTGACCTCTTCTAGTCAACACTGTACTAAAGATTTTATGCAGGGCAAATCGGCAACTAAAAAAATAAGAGTCACCCATACTGAACAGGAAGAAATAAAACTTTATTTGAAAATAACATTCTTGTATATAGAAAATTTTAAGGAATCCACCGAACGATAGAACTCGTAAATTATTTCAGCAATATTACAGCAAACAAGGTAAATGTACAAAAATCAATTGCACACATCTGCAATGAAAACCCCAAAATGAATTTAAGAAAACACTTCAATTTAAAATAGCATCAAAAAAAGAAATAATAATTAATTTGGAAAATGTGATACAAGATTTTACTCTGAAAATTAAAAATTATTGTTTAAAGAATATTTAAATAATTAGCAAACACCTTACACCCATGAATTGGACTATTTAATATTGTAGTACTTTACAATTTGAACTACAGATTTGATGAAATCCCTGCAAGTATCCCAACAGACTTCTGTCTAGAAACTGACAAGCTGATTCTAAAATACACATGGAATTGTAAGGGACTCAAAATAGCCAAAATAATCTTGAGAAAAGAAAACATGTTAGGATAATTCACACCCCCATGCTCCAAACCTTACTGCAAAGTATCGGTAATCAAGACAACACAATACTGATGAAGGAAAAATATATAGATTGATGGAAGAGAATTGAGAGTCCATATATAAAACTATGTGTCTACAGTCAATGGATTCTTACAGTGTTACCATGTGCAATTCAATGAGGAAGAGACAGTCTTTGAACAAACTGGGTCAACAACGTACACATGGATCACCACTTGCAAAATAATAAATTCGAACCCTTACCCCAAAGCATACAAAAATATTAACTCAAATGAATTAAAGACACACATGCAAGAGGTAGAATAAAGCATATGGGAAAGTCTTCAGGATTTTGGATCTAGCAAAGAAATAGCTGTAACCCCAAAAACATGAGCAACAAAATAAAAATTAGATATTTAAAATTTCTTAAAAATTAAAGACATTGGTGTTTCAAAGGACAAACAAGCAAGTCAAAAGGCAGCTCAAAAATTGTGAGAAGATATTTGAAAAACACGTATCTATATGTCTGTATATATATATGTATCTTGAATATAGAAAAATTGTTTTAACTCCGTCACAAATATCCCAACTCAAAACTGATAAATGATAGGAATAGATGTGTTTCCCAAGAAGATACACGAACGGTCAATAATCCCATAAAAATATACTCAATAACATCACTCATCAGGCAACTACAAATCAAAACCACAGTTAGATACTCTATGGGTAGAACTGGCCACCTTGGAAAATAATTTGATGGCTTCTAAATATATGAAACATAGAATTGTCATATGACCCAGAAATTTATTCCTAGGTATACACCCAGATTATTGGAAAGAGGTGTTCAAACACAAATTGTACACAAGTATTTTTAGCAGCAGTATTTAAAATAGCCGAAGGCTGAACACAACTCAAATGTCAATAAAAATATTATTGGATAAACAAAATGTTATATCCAAGAAATTGAATGTTATACAGTTATAAAAGGAAATAAAGTACCAATACGTACATGAACCTTGATAGCATTATGCCAACTGAAAGAAGCCAGGCAGAAAAGGCCACCTATTGTATGATTCTATTTAGATGAAAACAGACTAGGAAAATCTATAGAGACAGAAAACAGATTTGTGGTTGCTTAGGATTGAGTAGGGGATGGGTGCATAGGAGGTTAACAGCTAGGGAAGGTGGGGTTTCTTTTTGAAGTGATGAAAATGCTCTAAAATTCATTGTGATGATGGCTCCACTTATCTGTGCATATACTAAAAGCCACTGACTTGTAGACATTAATGTGTGCACTCTACACTATGTAAATTATATCTCAATAAATCCTTTCAAAAATACACAGAAGAGTAAGGGGTTTTGGAATGCTGCAGCTGGGAGGCAGTTTGAAATACTGAATAGGCCTCATCGAGAATGTGAAGTTTCAGTAAAGACTTGAGGAAGTTGAATGAGCTGATCAATGGATATATGGAGGGCTATCTTTCCAAGCCAAGAAATTAACTAGAGTCTTGACCATAAGGCAGCAGCATGTTGGCATGTCCAGAGGACAGTGAGGTGGCCAGGACCACTGGTAAGATCAAGGGTGAAGATATAAAAGAATTTTGGCAGTTAACATGTGGCAGATGATGATGGGCTTGCAGATCATTGTAAGAAATGTTGTTTTGGCCGGGCGCGGTGGCTCACGCCTGTAATCCCAGCACTTTGGGAGGCCGAGGCGGGTGGATCACGAGGTCAGGAGATCGAGACCATCCTGGCTAACAAGGTGAAACCCCGTCTCTACTAAAAATACAAAAAATTAGCCGGGCGTGGTAGCGGGCGCCTGTAGTCCCAGCTACTCGGGAGGCTGAGGCAGGAGAATGGCGTGAACCCGGGAGGCGGAGCTTGCAGTGAGCCGAGATCGCGCCACTGCACTCCAGCCTGGGCGACAGAGCGAGACTCCGTCTCAAAAAAAAAAAAAAAAAGAAAAAGAAATGTTGTTTTTAGTGTACATGAAATGGGGAGACAAATCATTATCCCATTATCAATATTTTAATAAATTGGATCCATGAACCAAATCCAATGAGATTAAATCAATTAATAATAATATGCAAATTTGTATTAAAATTAAAAGAATTACTTGCACATTTGAGAACAGGAGAGACATGATTTTTATCAGCAATAATAAACATTATTAATTTTAATTGTGATCAGCTAATTGAGATTAATTGCAATACATCATGCTTTATAATGTGACTGCCAAAAGGAAAATATGATTGTAATCTTATACTACATCTATCAATGTCTTTTATACATAAGAGTATAGAGTAAGCCCGTAGTTTTCAAAGCCAACCTATGAAGCAGTGACATCTTATGCAAGTTTGCTGCTTTCTGCCACAGTGATCCTTGGTCAGCGGGCACAAATTGTTTTACAAACGCCCCCTAGGTCTAAAAGTAGTTTGGATCACAATGAACACAGAAACACCTTCATCCCTTCAGAAATACCTATCAATTACTTCCAATACAGAATGAAAAATTGACAAAGGAAATATGTGGATTGTAAAAATGCCAGTTAGCTTGCAACTACATGAAAGAAAAATGCCATTTTTATTACATTAGGTCATTGTTTCACATGAGTTTTGGTATAGCAAAATGTTGAACCAAGGGAAAAGAGACATGAATTAATGAAGTCTTAAGATATCAAGAATTTGAAAGAAAAGGCAGGTCATCTTTGAAGGTTAGTGACATAGCATTCATCTTCTGTTGTCACCTTTCCTGTCATTCCCTGTATGCCTGATGGACAGGTTTCACTCAAGTTCAGAGAACAGCATGCAAAATTAGCTACCAATTAATCTTTAGGAAGTGAGCTGCATTTCTAGCCAGACTGAGCTTACGTTTTAGCAGGAAGCATTTTTGGGAAATGTTTATGTTAGAGTTGGCCCTTCTTGACAAGGTGAGACATAAATGTCTACTTTATAGACATGAATTAAGATGGGAAGATATTTGGGGGAATCATTTACTCAAACGCTAAATAATAAAGGTACACAAAGGGCAAATTATACTAGATTTCTTTCCCACTTGTTTTCTATGTCTCATGCAATTCACCTTGATTCCCTTCAGTTTCTGTTTAATGTAGAAAGTGGCATTTTCATTATTTTAAGCTTCTAGCACAATGAAAGAATTTCTCTTTTTCATGAACAGGATCATACATGAAAAGGAGGAAGAGTGTCCTATATCATATTTATTGTTCAACAAAACACTGCTCCACGGCTTAAATTCAGTTTAAGAAAGAGAATTTGTTGAACATCTAACACATACATAAAAGGCAGTAAAGACACATGAGAAGAGGGCAGGATATTGAAGTATACAGACTTCAATGCTGAGTTTTATATCTTAGGGAGTTACTCCACCTTACAGAGGCTCAATTTCCCCTGATTTAGGAAGGCGATGCTAATGGGTATTGCATAGGTGTAAGTATAAAAATGTTGTATTGAAGAGAATCCCACAAGCTTGGTATAAGGCAGAAAATAAATTGATGTGACATGAATAAGTAGTTTATTACATTTGTATGCTACCTGCGGACTAGAGGAAGCAAGAAACACAGCCACTATGCTTGATTAGCATTATAGGGATGGTACAATGATTGTTGCCAGAAGCTGGGGGGAGGAAGAAATGGGGAAGTATTGTTTAATGGGTATAGAGTTTCAGTTTTACAAGATGAAACGAATTATGGAGATGGATGGTAGGGATGGCTGCACAATGTTATGACTATATTTAGTACCACTGAACTGTACACTTAAAATGGTTAACCGAGTACATTTTATGTTATGTGTATTTTACCACAATAAAAAAATAAAATACCTTAGGAACATTTTCATGAAAAAGCCCACATAAAATTCATTTTAATGCACGTGTTTATGCATAGCTTTCTATTTTTCTCTTTTCCCTTTACATTCCTAATTCTAATCAGAGAAGGGAATCCCCTCTGTACCTCCAGGATATTCAGTAAAGACCACTGGAGGTTCATGCCCTAGTGACAGTGCTCATTTAGCTCCAAATTACAGATGGCTCTAGACTAACTCAACAAAGCTTAAAGAGAAGATTTAAAACAACAACAGACAAATACTCATCCTGAAGTTACTGAACTGCCTGCCACAACATTGTTCAAAGGTAGCCAATCAAATCTAGATATTCAATAGCATAACATCAAAATACCCAAAAAAAACTCTGAAATGCAAAGAAGCCGTAAGATATATATAATTAAGATATATATTAACAGGATAAAAATAAGTCATTTATAAATGACAAAAAAGAAGGAAATTTCAAGGTTCTTAAAGTAAATATATTTTATAAATACATATAGATAAATACATATATATGTCAAGGTACTTAAATGAAAATTAAACATAGGAGAAAAATAGAAGTTATAAAATGAAAAATGTGACATATATAGATGAAAAATAAATATTTGAAATAAAAATTCCATGACATAGAATAAGTAATGGATTTTACCCTAACATCAGAAAATTTATAGAACAAATTAGAAGCATTACAAACTAAAGGACAAATGGTAAACTAAAATAAGAAAACCAGAAACTCACTGATACGTCAGACAATATGCATCAGTGTAACATACATGTAATCAACATCTCAAAAAGGATGGGTGGGGTAATTATAGGTGAATAAAGAATGGTACACTCATTCCTGAGGGCACCGAGGAGGGAGGATAGCTTTAGATTTCTAAGGGAGGGTATTATCCATTCATGAAGGTCCAACCCCATGACCAAACACCTCCCAGTGAGCCCCACCTGCAACATTGGGGATCAAATTTTAACATGAGTTTGGAAGGGGCAAGCATTCAAACCATAGCAAGAGTTAAATTTCCTTTTTAAGAAAATCACTGATATGATTCCACTTCGCCATAGATAAAAACTAGTATTTCAGCCTACCATTGAGTGTGCTTATAGCTCACCAAAAGGGCACTCTGTCTCGGGAATACAGATTTGCCTAGAGGTATCCTATTGCAGTCAAAGAAAGAGCAATGAGGGATAGAAAAGGTTAGTGATGGAGACACCAGCGCTGCATTTTGCAACAAACAATGTAAAAACTTTACGGATTGGTTCTGCTAACTTACTACAGTTTACATGCCTCTCAGGTGGGAGAATTGTTGCGTTTTTTCTTAAGATAGAAAAGCAATTCAGATAATCTGAAATCTCCACAAGAAGGATAAGAAGCACAGCAGAAACTATTCTAGG